>NC_000006.12:20060000-20363030 GCF_000001405.40 Homo sapiens
AAAAGCTGAGGATCCATCAGACCCAGGTGGGTGTTGGCGTGGCTCTCATGGACTGGGCATGCTTCCCCAGAGCCCAGGTGGAGGGCCGCCCACAGCTTGGAAGTCTGGAAGCCCACTGCCCTGGCACGGAGTGGTGCAGGGGTGTGGGAGCACGCAGCCCTCGCCAGAATGAAAGCCGTCCTAGGGAAATGGGATAGGCCCCAGTTTACCAAGGAAGGTGGGAATACAGCTCTTTTTAGAGGCCTTAAAAGTGAGGAGAGGATTAAAATTAATTTAAAACTTCACAGGAAGCCTGCATAATGAAAACAAAACTTGATTGCAATGCTGGCTGGCACACTGTGGATCTGGAAAAGCTCACACAGCAGAGCTCTGGATAGGTTGGAGCTCACTGGGGAGATAACAACAAAACTATAGTGATGGTGATGATGATGATGATGATGATGTTAGTGGTGGTGGGGGTGGCAGTGATGGCGAAACAAAAGTCTTATCAGCCAATCTCTCATGGATCACAAAGCCCTGAGGCACTTTCATAATGTGTTCATTCATTTACTTATTCTCCCAGCAAAAGTTGTTGACCATGTAGTATGGACTAGCATGATCCTAAGTCCATTAATAAATCACCAGACCCCATGCTCAAGAAGCAGAGACAGGCATATCGACACATGATTCTAAAATTCCACATAAAAGTGTTTGGCAGAAGAAGAACAGGGTGCCATGAGAACACTTAGGAGGGGTAGCTAATTTAGACTGGGGGTTCAAGAGAGGTTTCTAAGAGGAGCTGATGCCTAGACTGAAGGTAGATGAAGGAGGTATGTGCAGAAAATGCAGAAGCCTAAGGGTGAGAGTACAGGTCATTCTGCAAAACTCAAGTGCAGGTTGAAGTGTGAAGGAGGAAAAGAAGAGCAGAGGCTGGAATGGCAAAAGCTGGTCCAGCCCTATATGCTGTGTGTACTAAACAGGGGTAAGGGTGAGGGGAGATCTTTGGGCCAAAGTAATTACAGATGAAATATACACGCACACACACACATGCACACACACACACACACACACACACACACACACTCAGAGTGGTAGCTGGACTTCAACACGGCGACCAACAATCCCCACTCCTTGTGTAGCCCTCCTCCCAATACTGTACTAATATTAGTGACCCATAGAGCACTGTGACCAATAGAACATGCCAGAAGTGATGGTATGCCACTTCTGAGATTAGGTTATAAAGGACATTGCAGTTTTGCTCTCTCCAATCACTCACTCTGGGGGAAACCAGCTGCCATGTCTTGAAGCAGCCCTTTGATGAAATCCACCTGGCAACAAACAGAGACCTTGTGAGTGAGCTTGAAGCAAACACTTCAGCCCCAGTCAATTTTCAGATGACTGCAGCCTCGTGAGAAACCATGAGCCAGAACTACCCAGCTCAAGTGTTTCTGAGCTTCAGAAACTGTGGGCGATACTAAATGTTGGTTATATAAAAGCTGCTAAGCTTTGGGCTAATTTGTTATGCAGCAACAGATAGCTAATACACCTAATAACATGGGCAAAACATATATATATTCCTATGTTAAAGAGCAGGTTGTGAAGAAACACATTTAATATGATCCTCCTTTTTACACATTACAGATTAGTTTGTTGTATTTATAAGGGTAAAGTCTTTTTTATTAATCTTTGTATCAAATGAACCATAAAAGTAATTTTAAAATATAAAGCTCCATAATAGTGTCAATTAAGGCCTGTAAATAGTATGAAAAGCAGATCGCCAGAGGCTTTTTTTTTTTTAAGACAGTGTCTTGCTCCTACCCAGGCTGGAGTACAGTGATATAGTTATAGCTCACTGCAACCTTGAACTCCTTAGCTCAAGTGGTCCTCCCACCTCAGCCTCCTGAGTAGCTGGGACTGCAGGCACATGCCACCACACCTGGGTGATTTATTTTTTATTTTTTGTATGGATAGGGTCTCACTATGTTGCCCAGGCCGGTCTCAAACTCCCAGCCTCAAGCGATCCTCTCACCTCAACCTCCCAAATAGCTGGGACTACAGGTGCATGCCACCACACCCGGCCACAAGAGGCATTTTTAAATGACAAGCTAATTCTGCAGAGCGTTGTGAAACTAGAGAGTTAAACTCACACTATGCCTCAGTTGTAGGTAGAAGTCCTGACTGTGGTTGAGAGCAGGAAGGAAGCCACCTCCTCAGCAGAGAGATATATTAACCAGAAGAGCATAGCAAAACGAGCTGAGGCAGGCCAGATGATTTTCAAGCCAGTTTTTGTGTGTGTGAGCTGCAGAGCAGGACAGACACCCAGAAAGGCCAAGCTATTCCAAAGAAGGTTAGAAGGGGTTGAGTTGGCAAAAGAGGAAAATGTACCTGCTCAAGGATTCTCAAAGTTGGGAGAAAGGCAGCCCTGACATTCTGGCTTCAGCAAGAAGAACCAGGAAGAAGTCCCAGTGGATGTGAAAACCTGTCCTCATGTAAGGTACCCCAGGGACACCCCTCAGTGGGGTGACTGGAGCTAGCCCACCATGCTGACCTCCTGTGTGTCACACAAATGTTGTTTGCTTGCCTTCTCTATCGCATTGGGCACAATGTCCCTCAATTATCGATTAAGTACAATAACATTAAGTATCTGTTTCTTGCCATCCTAACACCTTTTCTCCTAAACAGTGTTTTCCTGTATTGAAGACTTAGTATTTGTTGTAAAAGTGATGCTTAAGGACATATCAGCTTTTTCTTTTTGTTGTTGTTTTTTTCTTTCTTGACTCTTGGGGAACAGGAGGCTCTTAAAGAGTATTAGCCACAGATGTTTGAGAAACTCTCCCAAACAATGCCTCTCTGCATGAAGATATCCTGGTCTCTGGGCATCAGGGTGACAGATCACCATTAAATTCCCTATCTACCGAGAGGGGAATGCTCTGTTCTTGTTACTGAATGCCAGGGGTTTAGCCTAGGTCATGTTGCTTGCTGCACAGAAAGCCAATCACTGAGGCAATGAGTATTGCCAGGGAAGAAGGCTTTATTACAGGTAACATCAGCTGGAGAGACCAGAGACAAGCCTCAAATCCGTCTCTTTCCCCGACTGAAGTTAGGAGTTTATGTAGTTGGGGAGGAAAGCAAGAGGGGCAAGGAAGAGGAGTTGGGCAACAGGCAGCAGGTGTGTCTCATTGTTTAAATATAAGTTTCTCAAGGTTAAGTTCTATGGGCATCTGGCTTATTGTAAAATTGGTCTGGTTTCATTCTCGGTGGAAAGGACACTGGCACAATAGGGTGGGGCCAAGTGAAGACCCATCTGGTCTCCTCATTGAAAAGGCCCACTCACCATTGGACACCAAAGTCTTTGATGGAGTTTGGAGTGGGATTATGAATTACAGTGTCCACAAAGGAGGAAGGATAGAGAGGACACTAGTTATACAAATGGTAAAGAAATAATGGAAATACATCCAAGAAGAGTTTATTAAATTTTTCTCTAGTTATGGGCTTGGAACAGAGCCAAGTTTATCATATTGACTTGAATCAGTCCTCAACTTCAATAGGCATTTATCCAAAAGACCAAGTTCCCAACCCATTGTATGTTTAGATTTAAAGATAATGGCTTTACCTACTCCCACTAAATAGGACCCTGTTTTTCTACATGTACATATGACACTTATTTTTATTTGTGATGGAGATATTAATCTCAGGGCATGCCTTGTTGCCTTCTCCAGGGTACTGGGGAAGCCCTCAGTCTCCACAGTCTGAAGTGAAGTATACACACACCAAATTGCTGTATTCTTTCCACCAAATAAACGGGTTCCTCTTAGGTGTTTTCCTACATAAAAGAGCTCCTTGTGATCTTATGCACTCCATAAAATAGCACAAACATGGTGAAACATAGTTAAGCCAAAAGAGCTGCATTAACTACTCAAGCGACTACTACTGCCAACACAAAATATGAATCACTAAGCAAAACGGGATCCTTAGGAATGATGGTTTATATTGGTTATTGATTTAATAAACATTTCAGTTAAAAAAATTATTCACTTTTCATCACTATACATGGACAATTGGCTATAATCTTTCTCTGAGATACACGCCATCACTCACAAACTCAAGTTTTACATTGTCACTCAAAATCGATGACAAAATGAGGGAACTTTGCATCCCTGTTTTTTTTCAAGTGTAGATGGACTTCTAATTTTTTTACATGTAGAAATGCCTAAAATTATGGATACAGTTTGGCAAGATTCTGTTAAAGAATTTAAGGAAAGATAGAAATGTTGCCTTATTTCATAGACTGGCTAACAGTGGAAGCTGACATCTGTCAAGTATGTTGTCATACCTGGACATCATTGTTGAGGCAGGAAGAGCGGGTTTTATCAGATTTCTTGACTGTAAAATCTGCATTCCACTGAAAATTCAGCATGTTTACAGCACATCACAATGTCTCCCTCGTTGCCACCTACTCTTTTATTTTATTTGTATAACTATGCAGTTCTGTTACTTGGAAGGATGTTTGAGATGGATCACAAAACCTGCAGACTCTGTTAACCTGATGTGACATTGGAGCTACTAGGATTCCTTTAAAAACCATTAGCATGCTTTAAAAAGAGATCGAACTCAGATGGTAGTGAAAAATGTCAGTCTCATGGACGTGGCTAGAATGAGCAAATGCTTTGCCTCTTGAATTCTGGCCGTTTCAGCGGGGAGGTAGGCAAACTGACCTTGGGGCTGCTCATGTGGAGGGCACAGCCTTCTGACATTGTCTACTTTTAAATGCTTCCTGAGACTTCTTGCCTATGCGCCATCTTTTGCCAATGACTTTGTTTAACCAAGTTCCTGGGCAACTAGGACTCGCTGCCTCTTTGCTGCAAGGTCTATCGTAGGTTATTAAATTTTTGGCTTAAACAGTTTATAAAAATACTTTCTATAAAACAGATTTAGCAATAGGCAGACGCTTTCTCTGACTAGTGGAGTCCACTAGGCAGATGGTACTGTTTCTTGGCTATTGGGATGAATTCTCTGTGGGAAGCTGCTTAACCACTTTGTATTAGTTTGATTTAAGGCCTTGATGTGATAGGCTTGTGGTTTAAAAATATTAAAGATATTAAGATTTAATTCACTAAAATGTATTCCGAGGGGGGTGGAGATTTTATACTTTTATACTTGTTTAGATAGCCTGTATTTTAGCAACCTAAAGTTTAATGCCTGAATTTCCTCCAAAAAAATGGCAAATAAAATTGTATATGAATATGCATTTTAAAATTTGATGGCAAAATAAATCACTGGTGTATTGGAAAGACCATGGACAATGGAGTCAGACAGACCTAAGTTTAAATCCCAGATTTCCTACTTGTTATTACTTAACCTCTCTGGATCTGTTTTCTTTTCTATAAAATGAGGATTCGCATCCCCTCTCCACCTCCTAGGTTATCACTACAATGTGCCTTATAAAAAATGGCATTTGACTGCAGATGAGTTCTTGAGACCAGAGACTTACCTTGATATTCCTAATGCAGGCTGGGCATATAGTCAGAGTCCAAAATGTTTCCTGATGTAAATTAAGTTGATGTTGAGCCATTGGGAGGTTGTGAGTTCATTTTCCATCACTTAAGTGATACTGACAGATTTCCTGCCAAGTGGACTCACAGTAAACAGGACTCCAGGCTCCCACCAATAAAATAAAAGAAAAATGGCTCCAGAGAGGATCCTCCAGCTGGTCCAAAAGTAATCCCAGTATAAAATATTAGGCTTGTTTGTTTACTTAAGCCTCTGCCAACTGTGAATTTAACACTCAGAAATGCATATGCAAAATAATGGTTCCATGTTTTGAGACAAAAGTTTCACTTGTCTGCTAAGAGTTTTGGCACCACAACCAGCAGCAGATAAGTTCACTGGGTCTCTTACCCTGACAATGTTTGAGAACTTGAGAACCCAAGATTTCAGTTCTAGTATTAGCTCTTCAGCTAACCACTCTGGACCATGGAAGGTCTTGAAATCTCCTTATCACTGACCTACCCATGAGGGCAATCTCTGGGTCAGTGGAATAAAGATTATCACTCCCTTTTTCAAAATGGGGAAAGAGGAATCATCACAAAGTGATTTGCCATGCCGAGAGTGCCTCCCTGAACAGGGAAATAGGCCTTGAAACCTTGGGAACAGGGCAGCCACTTTTTAATTTTAATTTTCAAATAAGTAGTAATTCACATTATTCAATGTGTATATATATTATATAACATATAATTATAATTTTATATATAATATATACACATAACATAAACAGACCCTTCACCAAAGAGCATATAAGGAGCATATAAGGATGGCAAATAAGCACATTATGGACTGCTAGAGAATTTCAAATAAAACCCGCAATGAAATAGCTCAACCTAGTAAAGTGGCTAAAATGCAAAATATTGACAACATCAAATGCTAGTGAGGATGGGAGGCAACCAGAACGCTCATACACTGTTGGAGGAAATGGAAAAAGTATATCCACTTTGGAAGAGATTGGCAGTTTCTTATAATGGTACACACACGTTTGCCACACAACTCAGCAATCCCACCTCTGGGTATTTGCCCAACAGTAATGAAAACATGCTCATACAAAAGCATGTCCATAAATATTTGGAACAGCTCTATTCACAGCTGCCCAAATGGGAAACAGCCTGAATGTCTAACAGGTGAATGGATATACAGAAAAACATCCATGCCATGGAATTCTCTTCACTAAGCAAAAGAAACAAACCGTTGACATGCACAGCAGCTTGGATGAGTCTCAAAGGCATCATTCTGAGTAAAGGAAGTCAGTCTCAGGTTACGTACAGTATAATATTGTGTTAGGCCGTTCTCACGTTGCCATGAAGAAATACCTGAGACTGGGTAATTTATAAAGAAAAGAGGTTTTATTGGTTCATGGTTCTGCAATGCTATTGGAAGCATGGTGGCAGCACCTGCTCAGCTTCTGGGGAGGCCTCAGGAAGCTTACAATCATGGCAGAAGATGAAAGGGGGGCTGGTGTCTTACATGGCAAGAGTGGAAGGAAGAGAGAGAGGGAGAAGGGAGGTGCCACACATTTTTCTTCAACCAGATCTCGGGAGAACTCACTATCGAAAAAACATCACCAAGCCATGAGGGATCCGCCCCTGTGACCCAAACACTGCCCACCAGTCTCCACTTTTAACACTGCGGATTGCACTTCAACATGAGGTTTTTAGGGGACAACATCCAAATCATATCAAATATTCATATGACATTCTTGAAAAGACAAAACTACAGCAAGAAGGAGAAAGCTGTCATAATTAGAGAAACAGTCTAAGCCCGCCCAGGAACACAGCCCCGTTACACCCCAGAGTCAGTGTAGGTGTCCCAGGAAGATCTCCCTGACGCCCCTCCATCACCCTGCTATGCTCCAGTAGCAAAGCATTTCAAACCGTTCTATTTCTTAAATTGTTTTAAATTGACACATTGTAATTATACATTTTATGGGTAAAGTTTGATGTTTCAATACATACATGCGTTGTATAATGATTAAATCAGGGTAGTTAGCATATCCAGCACCTCATGCTTTTATCATTGCTTTGCAGTGAGACAGCCCATCATATTTTAAATTATCAGTTTACACACTTAGAAGCCTCTCAAAGCCAGGAGCCAAGTCTTTTTCATCATCATATTCTTTGGGGAGCATTTCCGTTTATAAATGTTTATGTAATCCATAGCGCTGTGACCCCTTGCTCCTGGCACAGTCCCGGACATACAGTAGGAACTCAATCAATGTTGGTCCAACTTCAGTGTTGGATTCTGCAAGGAGAGAGGGATTTAAGAGCCCTCTCAGGAGTTTCTAGAATCCTTACGTCATGGTCATAACTAAAGTCTCGAGTTGGCAACCTCCAAATTATGGGCCACAACGTCATAATATCAGTTGATCGGCAGAACTTCAGGACACTGCTTACCATAATTGCTATAATTTTTTCTCTCTTCCTTTCCAAAAAAAAATGCAAAAAATTTCAAGTGTCTCCATGTACCACTGGACAAAGGAAATGCCCTGTGATGCAAACATTTGTTAATAATGATAGCAATGGTCCCTGTTTTTCCAAATACAAGGAGCCTTTAGCTTTTTGTTCAACTCATCACTTCTGTAAAATCATAGACTGTTCTTCCTGACTTTTTCACAGGGTCCTCAGACTTAGAATTCATAAAATCACAGCATTCTAGAACTGCATGGAGCCTGGGAGCTTCCAATTCAGTCTTCCTTCTTAAAGCTGCTTCCACCTTAAAGAGACTCATTTCTTTTAGAGCTGCTTAAAACAGTGCAAATCTTACCTTTTCACTTAATTACAATCTTGCATTTTGCTTTTCACTTAATTACAATCTTGCATTTTGCAAATACTTTGCTGGTTTCAGAAACCGGTGTTCTGGGTTTTGTTGATGCTGCTGCTGCTTCTGTTGTTGTTGTTGTTGTTGTGTTATTAGCTTTGGCAGTGTTAGCATTGGCAGCTGAGAGTCCCTGATTCACAATCCGGTGCTTTATTTGCCAAGTGTAGACACAACCCAAAAGCGGGAAGCTGAGCGCCCAAAGGAAGAGGGGCCGGTCCCCCTGGCATTGTGTGCTTTGCAGAGAGGAAATGAGAACCCACCAGGCCGGCTCCTTCCCCTCACCCTATCTCCCGAATGCAGTTTTTCCAATAATTTAATAACATTCACAGGGATATTAGATTAATTGGATTTTAATTCCGAATGACTGTGAAAGCGGAGAAATGAGTCACCAGCTCATGCTAATGAGAAGATCTATTAAGGGCTCTTTTCTGATAGACACATACAGCAGGGTTATAAATATTTCATATCTAATTAATTGAATTTTGCCCCCTATATATGACACTGCCCTGAAACATCAATCAAACAGGGCCAGAGAAAGAACAGAGGGATGGAAGAAAAACTAAGCGTTTCTTTGGAACAGCAACAACACAACTACCGGCCCTTCCCTCCCTCCCAGCCCCTGAAACATTCCCCCCACCATGAGAACCCCTGCCATTCGCAGGGGGCCTGCCGAGAGGAGCTGGAAGCATTTACACCAACTGCAGCTGGTTCCATACGGCGGGGAAATTAATGTTAATTAATCAGACAGCAGTTTTATACAAGGCTGTGTGCAGAAGGTTATTCGAGTCCTACTGCAAATAGATTTATAGGTGTAATTGCTATGTTGAATGACCCTCTGTAAATAGGCTCATTAAACTGGCCATCAGTCAAAAAGTCTAATTGTAGCCATGCAGTAGCCTGCAATCGGGAACATGTGGCTCTCGATAAACAGCTCGCCCATGGCAGCCTGCGCTCTGGACGGTTTAGATAGGGCTGCTGGTCGTACTTCAGGTGGCCCCAGTTTCTCTGCCTCCCTCAGTTCATTATCTCGGCAGGAAGGCGGAAGCATGCCATCCGCCCAGCTTTATCCTCTTCCTGTCTGTTGGCCCCTGGAGAGCATATGGAAGTCTGCAATGGCAAGCACCCAGTGGAGACCCTGTGCAGAGCAGGTGAATACAGTTTTCTGAGAGGCATGAATAATCACCACCCTGCTCCGTTATCTTGCCGGTGTGGTCATGGTTGGGCAAGGACAAGTAGCCAGGCATGTACAGGGCGTGCATGGACCGCATCTCTGAACATCCCACAGCCATTTACAAGCTCCCTGTCAAATTCGTATTCTCTGTTCTTTTTATTCCCCCACACTCCCATATTCAAAGAATAAATACAATTTATTTTTCTCCATATATGAAACAAAGAAAACCAAGCTGTAGTTATAACTGAAAGTCTCTGAAAGCTTTCTGGAGTGAATTGTGTCTATTTAATTAAAAATAACAAATGTCTATCAATAGGGGTCTGAGTGTCTACATTTTGACATTTATAGACAATGGAATACCAAGGACATATTTAAGATAATTTTCATGGAGATCGATATTTATTAATCCAGAAAGCTGTCTATGATGTATATTTGCATGGTCAAAAAAGCAGATTACAGAACAGATATAATGTGTTTCCATATATTTATCCATGGCTGAATAAGCAGAGAAAATGTAAGGTTTTTTTCTTGATGTCTCTCCATTCCCTCTCATAATCTCCCATTCAGCAGTTAGTAGAAAGCAAAAAGCAAACACACAGAAAACGAAATTTCTAATTTTGATTAAGCTCAACCCAATCTGAGCATGTAAATGGTCCTTTCACTAATACTCTGTCTCTTTTAGGAAAACTTCCCAGTTTCTACATGGCTTCTTATGCTGGTTAATTTTGTGTCAACTTGACTGGGCTACAGGGTGCCCAGATGTTTCATTAATCATTATGATGGGCGAGTCTGTGAGGGTGTTTCTGGATGAGATTCGCATTTACATTGGGAGATTGAGCAAAGCAAATTGCCCTCCCCAATTTGGGTGAGCTTCATCCAATCTGTGGAAGGCTTGAATGGAACAAAAAGGCTGAGTAAGGGAGAATTCACTGTCTTTCTGTCTGTCTTGGAGCTGGACATTGGTCTTCTCATGCCTTCAGAGTCACACTTGGCCTCGAATTTCCACCATCAGCTTCTCAGGCTTTTAGCTTCAGACTGAAACTCAACTATCAGCTCTCCTGGGTCTCCAGCTTGCCAACTACACATCTTAAGACTTCTTAGCCTCCATAACCATGTAAGCCAATTCTTTATAATGACTCTCTTTATATAGTGCTTTTACTGGTTCTATTTGTCTGGAGAACCCTTACTAATATACTCTCTTTACCCACTTCTCTTCCCTAGATGTTAGCCAGGCATGTGAGCTGAGAACTGTGTGTTTGGCGGAGGGAAGAGCCAGGTCTTTGATGGTCTTTTGAGTAGTCTCTGGTGCCTGAGGCAGTGTCCTTTGTCCCTCAGCTAACTTCTGTGGCCATTGGTCTCTTTCTCAGCTTGCCCAGAGTGGGAACTCCTTCCTGATTGATTCAGGTTTGCATGGGCTTCTCAAGCCTCAGACCCCAGATCTCTTTCAAGCTCCCCATCCAGTCTGCAGGCCCAGGTGCTCACCCAGCTTTGTAGCCAAGTCATTGGGCTTCACCTTGAGAAACTCCCAAAGCAGGCCCTCTGGGCCTCCATCCATCACCCACCCCACATAGAACTTGAGGAAATCAAGAAACAACCTCAGGCTTCCCTTGGCCTGACTGTGCTCACCTTCGAGATGGTGCAGCTGTGTTCAAACTGGGGTTAGGATGTGTTGAGAGGGGACTTCTTCCCAGAGTCCTAAGAGTCACCTCCTCTGCCTTCCACATTACCCTCCCTTATGAAACACACCTCCTCCGTCACAGGGCCTGTGCCTGGAACCCCAGGATGGACTCCCTCTCTCTCCCTCAGTTCCCTTCTCACCCTCATCTAGAGCTGGAAAAAAAGAAGTCTTCCCTTACTTTCCCTACATCCTACCCTCCTTTTGCTTACAAGTGGCAAGTCTTGTGATAAGCAGATTCCTCTAGGTTAGGCCCTTGAGAGATGGAAGAGAGAGGATCAAGTTACTTGGGAAATGCTCTCTCTAGACCCTACCCTGTTTACTATGTTGCCTTCTAATCTATTTTGTATGCCAGAAGCTGGAAATGGCCTTATTCTTTCTCTTTGTGTACCTTCTTTTAAAAAATCCTAAGTTTTCCCAAGTCTGATGAATATCTAGTGCCAACCTGGAAAAAGGTCCAAGCTGTAAAACAAAAAACAAAACGGTACAATAGTAATGCTAAAATATTATCTTGTTAGTATTTATATATGCCTAGAATCATGTCTGAAAGAATATTCACCACAAAGATATTGTTAACTATTTCTGAATACCATAGTCCCCGCTGATCTGCGGTTTCACTTTCTACGGTTTCAGTTACCTGAGATCACCTATAGCCTGAAAATATTAAATGAAAAATTCCAGAAATAAACAAATCATAAGTTTTAAGTTGCACACTGTCCTGAGCAGCGTGATGAAATCTCACACCATCCTGCACCATCCCATGTGAAACGTGAATCCTCCCTTTGTCCAGCCTATCCACGTTGGAGATGCTCCCTGCTCGTTACACACTTAGAAGCCCTCTTGGTTATCAGATTCAAAAAAACATAGCATATAGAGAATTTGGTACTATTGGAGGTTGCAGTCATACACTGGGGGTCTTGGAATATATTCCCTGTGGATAAGGGAGAACTACTGTGGTAGGAATAGGAAATTAGGATGATTTGTAACTTTCTTCATTTTGCTGACGCCAGCTTTTGTGGCGTTAAGAGAGTCAGTTCCTTCATTAACAGCACATACTGAGGGACCACCACGCTCAGGCTCCATTCTAGGGGCTGGGAATGTAGTGGTGTACAGGAGAGGCGGGAGAAGGGATCCACTGAAGGACCACTGTGGCCCAACCCATGTTTCAAAGGCATTGCTCCAGCTGCGTTGCTGAGAATAGAGTAGAGGCAGGGCGCGATGCCAGGCTGGAAGCAGGACTAGTTATGAGGCTCCAGCAATGTTCTGGGAGAGCAACGTCAGTATTTCCCTGGTTTAAATTGCTGACCCCACGTATTGGTTGCCTACAGCTGCTGTAACAAAGCATCAGACTTAGTGGCTTAAAACAACACAAAATTGTTACCTTACAGTTCTGGAGGTCAGAAGCCAAAATTAGTTTTATTGGGATAAATGTTCTTGAGCAGGGCTGCATCCCTTCAGGAGACTAGAGGAAAAGCCTTTTTCTTCCCCATTCCAGCCTCTAAAGGCTGCCCACATTCCTTGGCTCAGGGCCCTCTTCCATCTTCAAAGCCAGCAATGGTGGGTGGAGTCTCTCATTTTGTATCATTTGTGATTAATTGGGCCCATCCAGATAATCTAGGATAGTCTCCCTATTTTAAGGTCAACTGATTAACAACCATAATTCCATCTGCCACGTTAATTCCCATTTGCCATGGAATATATTCATACATTCTAGGGATTAGGGTGTGGACATCTTTGTGGGGGAGGTCATAATTCTGCCTACCCTATCCCAGCAGGCCAATAAGAGTCTCCCATGAGATTTTTTTTTTTTTTTTTTTTGAGACAGGTTTTCACTCCTTGGAGTGCAATGGTGTGATTTCAGCTCACTGCAACCTCCATCTCCCAGGCTCAAGTGATTCTCCTCCCTCAGCCTCCCAAGTAGCTAGGACTACAGGAACACATCACCACTCCCAGATGATTTTTGTATTTTTTTTGTAAAGATGGGGGTCACCATGTTGCCCAGGCTGGTCTTGAACTCCTGTGTTCAAGTGATCCGCCTACCTTGGCTTCACAAAGTGCCAGGATTACAGGTGTGAGCCATCGTGCCTGGCCCCCTGATATTTAGCATTGTCACTCAGAGCCATTCATCGATCAGGTTTCTGATTTGACCCTATAGAGTGTGAGAATTAAATGAGATAACCTCAGCTCTTATTTACATAATAAGTTACATATTAAAACTCATATAACTATAATATAGTTGCAGTCATATATTAAATGCTCAATAAAGATTAGTTTCTATTGGTATCACTAAATATCTTTAGAGATGGGCTTAATTGTCTGTGCTTAAGTCTCCCTATTATTTTAACTTCAATGCATTTACTAATGACATTTGCTGAGTACTAGCCATATGCCAGGTGCTTTGTATGCACTATTCATTTAATCTTTAATACATCCCTTTGAGATAATTACTAGTATTATCCCATAATAAAAATGAAAAAAATGAGACATTAAACAAAATGAAGTCACATGGTCAAGGGCATACAACCCAGAAATGGCAGCAGCAGCATCGGAATCCCAGGCTCATAACTTTAACTCTAATCTGCTCCAGTGTTCATGACAGCACTGTGACTTGAGAGCTGAGAAGATGTGAAGGGTGCTTTTCACCAGTTACACAAGAATAACTGATTTATCATTTTAAATTTTTTTCTCATAAAAATGACATATGATCATTGTAAAAGATTCCAAACAATCCAGAAAAGTGATTTCTTTTGATTCCAGGTAACACAAAAATGTCAAATTCGTTTAAATAAAACAAAGGATTCATTCTTCTTGGGGAAGATTGAGCAGATACTGCTGCTGCCATTTCTGGCTGTATGCCCTTGACCATGTGACTTCGTTTTTTTTAATATCTCATTTTTTTCATTTTTATTATGGGATAATACTAGTAATGATCTCAAAGGGATGTATTAAAGATTCATTCTTCTTGGGGAAGAATGAATTTTAAGATTAAGTTCATGGAGCCCAAGAACAGAAATGCCACATGGTCTCCCAAGGAACTCACTCAACCAGAATCTCAGGAAATAATTTAAAAAGCGGTCTGCATGTTCAATTTTTTCAGAAAGGGAAGTGGTTACCTATATTTTGTCAAGTCAGTCAACAAACATTCATCGAGGGCAACTCTATGCCAGACATTGTGGGAAAGACGAGAAAACCATGGTTGAGAGTTTCTGAAAATGGCAGACTAAGATGGTGAATAGGAGGCAAGATTAGCTTGCAGCTCCCACTCAGGCAGAGCGGCCTGCGGAGACTCACATCATGAACTTTTGCTCCAAGAACTACCACAGATACATACCAGGAAAGCCGAGAGAATCCACAGACCCTTTGAAGGAACTGGATCACCACTGCAGGCTCCCTGAGATGCTGAAAAACTGTGAGTCTACTTGCTTTCTCAAAGGGGAGACTCATGGTCTGGAGCAAGTTCTCAGCCCTGGTCATCGGATGCCTGGAAATAGAGTCAGTGCTGTTGTAGGGGCATGGTGGGAGTGAGACCAGCCTTTAGGATGGCAGGCTGCATCAGAGCAGGGTGAAACCTGTGACTGCCCTCTTTTCCCTACTTCCCTGGCAACTTGTATGACTCAGCAGAGGCAAATATTCCCTGGGAATATAACTCCATTGGACTGGGAAGCACACCTCCATCCCCCACAGCAGCTGCAGCAAGCCCTGCCCAAGGAGAGGCTGAGCTCAGACATGCCTATCCCTGCCCCAAGCTGGTGGCCTTTTTCTACCCACCCTGATAGCCAAAGACAAAGGTCATAAACTCTTGGGAGCTCTACGGCCCTGCTCACTGCCTGGGAAACCTGAATACTTAACCAGGTGTCCCTAGGGCAAGTTTGCATCCTCTCTATAGGACTGCAGCTGACACGCTCTTGAAAAAGCACCACCTCCTGGCTGGAGGCCAACACAAAACCAGGGCACTAAACAAAAACACAATCAAGGACCCACACAGAGTCCACTTCACTCCCCTGCCACCTCCACTGAAGCAGGTGTTGGTATCCATAGATGCAAGACCTGAAGGCGGGTCACATCACAGGACTCTTTGCAGATACTCCCCAGTACCCCAACCCGGAGCCAAGTAGCTCCACTGGGTGGCCAGACCCAGAAGAGCAAAAACAGTCACTACAGTTTGGCTCTCAGGGAGCCCCATTCCTGGGGGAAGGGAGAACATCACATCAAGGAGCACCCCATGGGACAAAAGAATCTGAACAACAGCCCTTGAGTCGTAGCTAGATCTTCCCTCTGAGAGAGTCCACCCAAATGAGAATCAGAAAAACAGTTCTGGTAATATGACAAAACAAGGTTCTTTAACACCCCCAAAAGATCATACCAGCTCACCAGCAATGGAATCAAACCAAGACAAAATCTCTGAATTGACAGAAAACGAATAAGGTCAAGAAAGTCAATTATTAAGCTAATCAAGGAGCCACCAGAGAAAGTTGAAGTCCAATTTAAAGAAATCAAGAACATGATACAGGATATGAAGGGAAAATTCTTCAGTGAAATAGACTGCATAAATAAAAAACAATCACAATTTCTGGAAATCAAGGACACACTTAGAGAAATGCAAAATGCACTGGAAAGCCTCAGCAATAGAATTGAACAAGCATAAGAAAAAACTTCAGAGCTTGAAGACAAGGCTTTGAATTAACCCAATCTATTAAAGACAAGGAAAAAATAATTTTTTAAAAAATGAACATAGCCTTTAAGAAGTTTGGGACTGTGTTAAATATCCAAACCTAAGAATAACTGGTGTTCCTGAGGAAGAGAAATCCAAAAGTTTGCAAAACATATTTGAGGAAATAATCGAAGAAAACTACCCTGGCCTTGATACAGATCTAGACATCCAAATACAAGAAGCTCAAAGAACACCTGGGAAATTCACTGCAAAAAGATCATTGCCGAGGCACATAGTCATCAGGCTATCTAAAGTCAAGACAAAGGAAAGAATCTAAAGAGCTGCGAGGCAAAAGCATCAGGTAACCTATAAAGGAAAACCTATCAGATTAACAGCAGATTTCTCAGCAGGAACCCTACAAACTACAAGAGATTGGGGTCCTATTTTAGCCTCCTTAAACAAAGCAATTATCAGCCAAGAATTTTGTATCCAGCAAAACTAAGCTTTAGAAGTAAAAGAAAGATATAGTCTTTTCCAGAAAAACAAATGCAGAGAGAATTCGCCACTTCCAAGCCAGCACCACAAGAACTGCTAAAAGGAGCTCTAAATCTTGAAACAAATCCTTGAAATACACCAAAATATAACCTCACAAATCTCACAGGACCTCTATAACAATAACACAATGAAAAAAAAAAAGGTATTGAGGCAACAAATAGCACAATGAATAGTACCTCGCATCTCAATACTCACATTGAACATAAATGGCCTAAATGCTCCACTTAAAAGATACAGAATGGCAGAAAGGATAAGAATTCACCAACCAAGTTTCTGCTGTCTTCAGGATACTCACCCAAAACATAAGGACCCACATAAACTTAAGGTAAAGGGGTGGAAAAAGATATTCCTTGCAAATGGACACCAAAAGTAAGCAGGAGTACCTATTCTTATATCAGAAAAAGCAAACTTTAAAGCAACAGCAGTTAAAAAAGACAAAGAGGGATATTATACAATGATAAAAGGACTAGTTCAAAAGGAAAATAGGGACACAATTCTAAATATATACACACCTAACACTGGAGCTCTCAAGTTTATAAAACAACTACTACTAGACCTAAAAGATGAGATAGATAGCAACACAATAATAGTGGGGGACTTTAATACTCTACTGACAACACTAGACAGGTCATCAAGACAGAAAGTCAACAAAGAAACAATGGGCCTAAACTATACCCTACAACAAACAGACTTAATAGATATTTACAGAATGTTCTACCCAACAACTGCAGAATGTACATTCTATTCATCAGCACATGGAATATTCTTCAAGTTAGACCATATGATAGGCCACAAAACAAGTCTCAGTAAATTTAAGAAAATTGAATTTATATCAGATAGTCTCTCAGACAACAGTAGAATAAAATTGGAAATCAACTCCAGAAAGAACCCCCAAAACCATGCAAATACATGGAAATTAAATAACCTGCTCCTGAATGATCATTGGATCAACAATGAAATTAAGATGGAAATTAAAAAATTCTTTGAACTGAATGATAATAGTGACACAACCTATCAAAACCTCTGGGATACAGCAAAAGCAGTGCTAAGAGGAAAGTTCATAGCATTAAATGCCTACATCAGAAAGTCTGAAAACAAATAGACAATGTAAGGTCCCACCTTACAGAACTAGAGAAACAAGAACAACCCAAACCCAAACCCAGCAGAAGAAAAGAAATAACAAAGATCAGAGCAGAAATAAATGAAATTGAAAAAAAAACAATATAAAAGATAAATGAAATAAAAAGGTGGTTCTTTGAAAATATAAATAAAATTGATGGACCATTAGCAAGATTAACCAAGGAAAGAAAAGAGAAGATCCAAATAAGCTCAATTAGAAACGAAATGGGAGCTATTACAACTGATGCCACAGAAATACAAAAGATTATTCCAAGCTACTATGAAAACCTTTATGCACATAAACTAGAAAACGTAGAGGAGATGGATAAATTCATGGAAATATACAACCCTCTTAGATTAAACCAGGAAGATACAGAATCTCTGAACAGACCAATAACAAGCACCAAGGGTGAAATGGTAATTTTAAAATTGCCAACAAAAAAAAAAGTCCAGGACCAGATGGATTCACAGCTGAATTCTAATAGTCATTGAAAGAAGAATTGGTACCAATCCTATTGACAGTATTCCAAAAGATAAAGAAAGAGGGAATCCTCCCTAACTCATTCTATGAAGCCAGTATTACCCTAATACTGAAACCAGGGAAGGACATAACAAAAAAAGAAAACTGCAGACCAATATCCCTGATGAACATAGATGCAAAAATCCTCAACAAAATACTAGCAAACCAAATCCAACAGCATATCAAAAAGATAATCCACCATGATTAAGTGGGTTTCATACCAGGGATGCAGGGATGGTTTAACATATGTAAGTCAATAAATGTGATATATCACATAAACAGAATTAACAACAAATCACATGATCATCTCAATAGATGCAGAAAAAGCGTTTGACAAAATCCTTTATGATTAAAACTCTCAGCAAAATCAGCATAGAAGGGACACATCTTCAGGCCATCTATGACAAACCCACAGCCAACCTTATGCTGAATGGGGAAAGGATGAAAGCATTCCCCCTGAGAACTGGAACAAGACAAGGATGCCCACTTTCACCACTTCTATTCAACGTAGTACTGGAAGTCCTAGCCAGAGCAATCAGACAACAGGAAGAAATAAATGGCATCCAAATCCGTAAAGAGGAAGTCAAACTGTTGTTGTTTGCTGGTGATATGATAATATGCCTAGAAAACCCTAAAGACTCATCCAAAAAGCTCCTAGAACTGATACATGAATTCAGCAAAGTTTCCAGATAAAAAATTAATGTACACAAATCAGTAGTTCTGCTATACACCAACAGCGACCAAGCTGAGAATCAAATCAAGAACTCAACCACTTTCAGAATAGCTGCAAAAAAAATATATATATATATATACTTAGGAATATACCTAACCAAGGATATAAAAGATCTCTACAAGACAAACTACAAAACACTGCTGAAAGCGATCATAGATGACACAAACAAATGGAGACATATCCCACACTTACGGATGGATAGAATCAATATTGTGAAAACGACCATACTGAGAAAAATGACCACACTACAAATTCAGTGCAATTTCTATTTAAAAAAAAAAACCACCATCATTCTTCACAGAACTAGAAAAAAGTTCTAAAATTCATGTGGAACCAAAAAAGAGCCTGCATAGCCAAAGCAAGACTAAGCAAAAAGAACAAATCTGGAGGCATCACATTACTCAACTTAAAACTATACTATAAGGACATAGTCACCAAAACAGCATGGTACTGGTATAAACATAAGCATATAGAACAATAGGCATATAGACAACCCAGAAATAAAGCCAAATACTTACAGCCAACTGATCTTCAACAAAGAAAACAAAAATATAAAGTGGGGAAAGGATATCCTATTCAACAAATTCTGCTGGGATAATTGACAGCCACATGTGGAAGAATGAAACTGGATCTTCATCTCTCATCCTAAACAAAAATCAACTCAAGATGGATCAAAGACTTAAATCTAAGACATGAAACCATAAAGATTCTAGAAGATAACATTGGAAAAGCCCCTCTAGACACTGGCTTAGGCAAAGACTTCATGACCAAGAACCCAAAAGCAAATGCAAGAAAAACAAAGATAAATAGATGGGGCTTAGTTAAACTAAAAAGCTTCTGCACAGCAAAAGAAATAAGAGTTAACACACAACCCACAGAGTGGGAGAAAATCTTCACAATCTATATATCTGACAAAGGACTAATATCCAGAATCTACAAAGAACTCAAATTGGCAAAAAAAACAAACAAACAATCCCATGAAAAAGTGAGCCAAGATATGAATAGACTATTCTCAAAAGAAGATATCCAAAAGAGCAAAGCTGGAGGCATCACATGACCTGACTTCAAACTATACTACAAGGCTACAGTAACCAAAACAGCATGGTACTGGTACCAAAACAGAGATATAAATCAATGGAACAGAACAGAGCCCTCAGAAATAATACCACATATCTACAACTATCTGATCTTTGACAAACCTGAGAAAAACAAGCAATGGGGAAAGGATTCCCTATTTAATAAATGGTGCTGGGAAAACTGGCTAGCCATATGTAGAAAGCTGAAACTGGATCCCTTCCTTACACCTTATACAAAAATCAATTCAAGATGGATTAAAGACTTACACGTTAGACCTAAAACCATAAAAACCCTAGAAGAAAACCTAGGCATTACCATTCAGGACATAGGCATGGGCAAGGACTTCATGTCTAAAATACCAAAAGCAATGGCAACAAAAGCCAAAATTGACAAATGGGATCTAGTTAAACTAAAGAGCTTCTGCACAGCAAAAGAAACTACCATCAGAGTGAACAGGCAACCTACAAAATGGGAGAAAATTTTCACAACCTACTCATCTGACAAAGGGCTAATATCCAGAATCTACAATGAACTCAAACAAATTTACAAGAAAAAAACAAACAACCCCATCAAAAAGTGGGCGAAGAACATGAACAGACACTTCTCAAAAGAAGACATTTATGCAGCCAAAAAACACATGAAAAAATGCTCACCATCACTGGCCATCAGAGAAATGCAAATCAAAACCACAATGAGATACCATCTCACACCAGTTAGAATGGCAATCATTAAAAAGTCAGGAAACAAGAGGTGCTGGAGAGGATGTGGAGAAATAGGAACACTTTTACACTGTTGGTGGGACTGTAAACTAGTTCAACCATTGTGGAAGTCAGTGTGGCGATTCCTCAGGGATCTAGAACTAGAAATACCATTTGACCCAGCCATCCCATTATTGGGTATATACCCAAAGGACTATAAATCATGCTGCTATAAAGACACATGCACACGTATGTTTATTGCAACACTATTCACAATAGCAAAGACTTGGAACCAACCCAAATGTCCAACAATGATACACTGGATTAAGAAAATGTGGCACATATACACCATGGAATAGTATGCAGCCATAAAAAATGATGAGTTCATGTCCTTTGTAGGGACATGGATGAAGCTGGAAACCATCATTCTCAGCAAACTATCGCAAGAACAAAAAACCAAACACCACATATTCTCACTCATAGGTGGGAATTGAACAATGAGAACACATGGACACAGGAAGGGGAACATCACACTCTGGGGACTGTTGTGGTGGGGGGGTAGGGGGGAGGGATAGCTTTAAGAGATATACCTAATGCTAAATGACGAGTTAATGGGTGCAGCAAACCAGCATGGCACATGTATACATATGTAACTAACCTGCACATTGTGCACATGTACCCTAAAACTTAAAGTATAATAATAATAAAATAAAATAAAATAAAAGAAGATATACAAATGGACAAGTACATGGAAAAATGCTCAACATCACTAATGATGTTGAGGGAAGTACAAATCAAAACCACAATGCAATACCACCTCATTCTTGCAAGAATGGCCATAATCAAAAAACCAAAAATTAATAGATGTTGGTGTGGATGTGGTGAAAAAGGAACACTTTTACACTGTTGGTGGGAATGTAAACTAGTACCACCACTATGGAAAACAGTGTGGAGATTCCTTAAAGAACTAAAGGTAGATCTACCATTTGATCCAGCAATACCACTACTAGGTATCTACTGAGAAGAAAAGAAGTCATTGTATGAAAAAGATACTTGCACATGCATGTTTGTAGCAGCACAATTTGCAATTGCAAAAATCTGGAACCAGCCCAAATGCCCATCAATCAACAAGTGGATAAAGAAAATGTGGTGTGTATATATATATGTGTATATACATATATATATATGGTGTGTGTGTGTGTGTGTGTATATATATATGAAATGTACACACACCATGAATTACTACTCATGGAATACATATATATGTGTGTGTGTGTATATATATATACACACACACACATATATATGTACATATATGTATATATAGTATATATATGTACATATATGTATATATATATATATACACACACACACACAGACACCATGGAATACTACTCAGCCATAAAAAGGAATGAAATAATGGCATTTGCAGAAATCTGGATGAAATCAGAGATTATTATTCTAAGTAAAGTAACTCAGGAATGGAAAACCAAACATTATATGTTTTCACTCATATATGGGAGTTAAGCTACAAGGATGCAAAGGCATAAGAATGATACATTGGACTTTGGGGACTTGGGGGAAAGGGGGTGTGGTGGCGCACAAAAGATTACACATTGGGTATAGTGTACACTGCCTGGGTGATGGGTGCACCAAAATCTCAGAAATCACCACTAAATAACTTATTCATATAACCAAACACTACCTGTTCCCCAAAAACCAATTGAAATAAAAAAATTCAGGCTGTGATATCTCATGACCACCCTTCTGTCAACCAACCTCTTTTGCTAGCACCCTGATTAGCCATTACCTTGGTCTGTTTCCAGGATCCATCCAGTGAGAGTACAAACCAGCAGCATATGATTAAGTTAGCCTGTTCCCTTTGTCGGGCTTTGCAAACGAGAGGAAGAGGGATCAGCCTAACTCCAAACACAACATCAACTTCTTGGAGATACTAGTACTGTGCCCAAATCTTCAATGGCAGATTCCTAGAAAATCAGACCTTAACGAGACCTATATTTTCATACTACAACTTTTCTCTTCAACACCTGGCAAATATTCCATATTATATAATTAGTCACACGTGTCAAACATCTGGTTGTCACATTCTGACTTGATCCAGAGATACTGCTAACTATTCCTATCGAGTAGTGAGAAGGAAAATATTTATGATTAATACCAGTTCAATAACCAGGGAAGGATTTAGCCTTCCTGTCTCTTTGAATTATCATATCATTGCACTTTTTTTCTTCTCCTCTTCAGTCTTTGATCATTTCTTTCTACCTTCTTTTGCTTCCAAACTAAGAGTGTTTCCAAGGTTATGACCTTAGAAACAGACGTTTTTTGTTCTTTGAAAGTTATAAAGAACTCAAGTATTTTTTTAAAAGTCTCCTTTTTTCAATGGTAAATAGATTCTTAATGACCCTACAAGTGGTGCGAAGACTATAACTGTAGAAGAGTAATTCTACAATTACTTATTATGTAGAATTGTATTATGTAATTATGTAGAATTGCATTATGTAATTATGTAGAATTACTCTTCTACAGTTATAGTCTGCCAAAGTTTGGTAATTGTTATTTTGTCTTTGGCTAGAAAATTATCTGTTTTCTTTACATTTTCCAATACATTATAGAATTGCATATAATATCCTTTTATAATTATTTTCACCATGTGAAAACCTGCGGTTGCATCTCCATTTTCATTCCAAAGCTGAACACATTTGTTTTCCTTTCTATCCAACCTTTAAATGTTGGGCTTTCTTAGCCTTCTTCTCTATTCCACTTGCTCCTTAGACAACATCACCCATGCTCACGGCTTCAGTTGCCATCTATGTGCTAAATGGCCTCAAACTATTATCTTCAGCACAGAACCCGTCCCTGATTTCTGGAGCTACAAATCCACTGCCTACTCTAACTCTCCTCTTGGATATTTTAAAGATATCTTATATAAGTTGTACAAAATAGAACTTAGCATCATTCTCTTTAAGCCTGCATCTCCTACTCTCCCTTATTTCAGTGAATGGCATCACCCATTGGCTCTACATCCTTCTCCACTCGTGTCTACTTCGTGTCCTAAATACCTCTTGATTCCATCCACTCCTCTCCAACTCCACTGCGACCACTCAACACCAAGTTACCGTAAGCATTCTCTTAGATGCCTACACTGCCTGCTAAATGGGCTCCATGTGCTGTATCCCCTTTTGTCCTCTTTTAATGGCTTCTCTTACTGCAGTCTAAGCAATCTCTTTTAAAATCGTGAAATAATTTCAGACTTACAGAAAAGTTGCAAAAGCAGCATGAAGAATTTATTGCACCTGGGTTCTCCAAATATTAATTTTTCCTGAATTCTGAGCATCAACAAGTATTAATATTTTATCATGTTTTATCATGGGTCATTTGTTTTCATAGTAACTCTCATTCTCATTCATTCTATCTCTACTTTTTCTCCTAAGCCATTTGAGAGTAAGTTACACACAAGATGCCCTTCTACCCTTAAGTATTATAGTGTGCAAAGACAAGGATATTCTTTGAGATAGCCTCAATACAATTATGAAAATCAGGAAATTGACATTGATCTAAGGTCTAATCTATAGATATTTTTCAATTTTTTCCAGTTGTCTCACTAATGCCCTTTATAGCAAGAGAAAAAAGTGCTGGTCCAGAATCCATCCCAGATCACATGTTGCCATGTCTCCTCAGTCTCCTTCAACCTGGAACAGTTCCTCAGTCTTTCCCTGTCTTTTGATACTTCACTGTGTAAGTATGTGTGTGTGTTTTAAAAGAATACAGGGAACTTTGTAGAATGTCCCTCCCATTGTGTGTGTCTTATGTTTTCCCACAATCTGATCCAGGCATGCGTTGTTAGCAGAAGTATCACAGAGTGATGTTATGTTCTTCTCAGTGCATTACATGAGGAGGTACATGATGCTGATTCATCCATTAGTGGTAATGGTAACTTTGATCACTTGGTTAGAGTGGTGTCTGATAGCTTTCTCTATTTATTTTTTTTCCCTTGGCAGTCAGTAAGTATTTTGTGGCAAAGTACTTTGACACTATATAAATATCCTGTTTCTCATCAAACTTTCACCCATAAAATTTAGCATTACATGATCTGCTCTGCTTTGAACTTTGTAATAACTTCTCATGCCTTTAAGATAAACTCTGAAATGCTTAATGTAGCCAGAGGCCCTGAATGGTCTGGTTCTTGCTTACATTATCAGCCTCATTATGAGCTGCTTTCCCCCTTGCTCTCAACTCTAATCACACTGGCCACTTTCAGTTCTTTGCTAATGCACTGCACACCTTCCCTATTCAGGATTTTTACATAGGCTCTTCCTTCTTCCCGGAATGTGTGCCCCCCAGTTTCCTTTTTGCTTAGTTAAGCCTAGCTGAGCACAGATGTCACATCTACAAAGAAGCGTTCTCTGTTCCCTCACACTAAGTTGAGTCCCATGTCCCTTTTTCATAGTTGTAGGGCTCACTGTTGGTTGCCTGTCATTGTTCTTCCTCTGAGATAAGTGAACAAATTCCCATTAAAAGGGAACAATTAGAGAATACAAAACATTTGAAATCAAGCACATGAAATGTTTAAATTCAATAAGAATAATGAACTATAAATTAACGTATGACTAATAAGAGTCCCAGAGAGGGAGAAGGGATAGCAAAAGGAGGAAACTTTCAAATAAATAATAAAAGAAAATTTCCCAGTACTGTGGAAACTTGACTTTGCATATTGCAAGGATCTACCGAATGTCCAGAATAGTAAATAAAGAATGACCCACACCAAGACATAAAGAAATATCAAAACATGACACATTTCTATAACTAAAAACTTCTGGAGCCAAAAATAAAAACAATCTACAATGGAGCAACTGATGGAGGTTTATTTTTCCTTAAACTTCTAAAGGAAAATGGCTTTCATCCATAAATTCTATACCCTATCAACCTCTTAATAAAGTTTTGAGTAGACTAGACATCATGTCTCATGCAATCTTTCTCCTGAACAATCTTTCTCTCTTACTCCAGTGGAGTAGCATCAGAAGAAAGATTGAAGTAAAAAAAAAATGGAGAAAACCAAGAAAGAGTTATGCAAAAGACTCCAAGAAACAGGGGATTCAATAGAGGAGAGTGGCAAAGGCAAGTCCCAGGTGGATGAAGATAAGCAGCCACCCAAGAGAGCAAGGAGTCTAGATTGAAGGAAAACAGAAGGCTTCAGGAAGGTATCTCTGGGGGGGTGGGGTGGTTAAAAGTGGAATTGATCAATATTCTGAAGATATTGACCATGTGAGAAATAATACTGAGAGACACTCATGAGATATATGAGATAGTTGGGAAGGATGACCAATAGGTATAAAGAAAACTGGGCAAATGATAGACAAGACAATTATTAATCTAGGCAAAATAGAAGTTGTTCAAGAAAGGAAATGTTATCATGACACACCACTTGGCTCCAGGGTGGACAATATTTACATAAGAACACAATGTAAATATTGAATCTTAGGAGAGTAGAGGAAGGTTAAGTGAATAGAGGTTTAAAGAGGTACAAAGAACCATAATAGGAAGTCAACGAAACGAATGAGGTCTAAAATGGGTAAATGAAAAAATGTCAGTAGGATGCTAAGTAGAAATATGGAGATGAAATAACTGAAGAAAGATATGCAGAGTTGAAGTTGGGTGCCTCTGGAAGGCAGGACTGGGGAAGGAGCAGGAGCAGAAAAGGGCAGAGCAGTGTGCAGGAAGAGCATTCCAAGCAAGAGGCTGCTAAGGTCACTGCAATCCCAGGTCAATTTACCAAGCACCTTTTTCAGACCCCAGGTTCCTCCAGGCAGAGATACCAATCCGTTAGTGTCACAGATGTGACACATGCATACATAATTACATAACTAATGACACAGATGTAACCAGAGAGGATGGAAGAAGTGATGCACCTGTAGTATTCCAGAAATTGTTAAAGACACATGTTTAGGTTTCATTATTTATATTAGGTTCGTGCAAAAGTAATTGTGGTTTTTGCCATTAAAAGTAATGGCAAAATTACTTTTTGCCACAATTTGATTGTGGATTCTGTGCTTATAAATTAATGCTGGTTGGTTTTCTTCCAATTGCCTTCAAATAATTTAATGTTTCTAAAGTTAAAATTATATGTTATTTATAGATACTATTGCTTACTAAACTGGTCTACCGGGATTTCTATTGTGTTAAATGTTCTCCTACATGTAAATTAGTGAGCAAAACATAAGTGTACTGCTCAGTTATCACAAAGTGAACACCTGTGAAAAACTATCTCGATCAAGAAAGAGTGCGCTAGCCCCCTAGAAGCACCTCTTCTGCCCACACCCAATCACTACACCTTCCTCTTCCTCAAAAGTAACTGTCATGACTTCTAATAATATACCTGAGTTTTTCTTGGTTTTTGGACTTTACATAAAATGGGGTCCTGTAATATGTATTTATTTGTCTGGATTTTTTGCTTTTTTCTTTTATATGTATTGTGGAAGTACTTTTGTATATAGACCTTGTATTTCATGATTTTGCTAAGCTCACTTATCAATTCTAATAACTTATCTGTATGTATTTCCTATAGGATTTCTATGTATAAAACTATAAAACTCTATTTAATAAAAAATCTCTTCCATTCCAACCCTTTTCTCCTGTATTTCTTTTTCTTGCCTTATTGCATTTACTAGTAATTCTAATACATGTTTTCTTGTCCCTAATTTCAAGGAAAAAGCTTTCAACTTTTCACTATCACATGTTGGTTGCTATAGGTTTTTGTGTGTTCATTAGATAAAAGAAGCTCCTTTCTATTGCTGACTTGCCAAGGATTTTAACATCTTGAGTAGATCTTGAATGTATCCAATTGCTTGTCATGTACCTATTAAAATGATCATTATAATATCTCTTCTTTATTCTGTGAGCATGCTATATACCAAACTGGCATTCCCAAAATCAACCAATCTGAGCAAGGTTTATTATCCTTTTGACATATTGCTCCATTCACTTCATTAATATTTTGTTCAGGGTTTCTGAGTAGGATTCACCTGTAGTTTTCTTATAATGTTTGTTATATTTTGTATCAAGGTTATTCAAACATTAGAGATTATCTTTGTTCTTTACTATTCTTTGAAAAAGTTGCAAAAGTTTAGCGTTACTTCTTTCTTAAATATTTGGAAGAATTCACCATTGAGACTCTGAGGCTAAAGTTTTCCTCGTGGGAAAGTTGGCAATTATAGATCCCATTTATTTAATAGTTATAAGATTATTCTGATTTTTATATTCCTTGTTGTGTCAGTTTTGGTCAGTTGTGACCTTTTAAAGAACATGTCAATTTCATCTAACTCATCAAACTTACTGTTTAAAGCTGTTCATGATATTCTTATAATCTTTTAAATTTGCATTTGAAAAGGATCCTGTTTGCATCAGGATCTATGGTATTGTCTCCTTTTTGATACCTGGTAATAGTTGTTTGTGTTTTCTATCTATTTTTCTTAAATCAGTATATCCAGGAGTTTATCAATTTTATTGCTCCTTTTTCAAGAATGAACTTTCAGTCTTACTGATCCTCTTTATTGACTGTTTTCTATTTCATTAACTTTTCCTCTTACCTTTATTCTCTCCTTTCTAACTTTTTGGGGAGTTTAATTTTCTTACGTGATGCTAACCTCTGAGATGAAAGTTTAGATCATTTATTTCCATACCTTGTTCTTTCCTAACATATAAATTTAAGGCTATAAATTTTAAGCATGACTTTAACAGTACCCCACCCATCTGGTTTAGTAGTAGTAGTAGCACCTTTGTCACTTTGAATCAATTATTTTAATCAATTATTTTAAAAATATTAGATCTACCTTTAATCACATTCCCTCATAAGCCTCTAAACTATTTTTTAAGTTATCTTCTTTTATTTTATCATTTTTTATTTTTTGAGACAGAGTGTCACTCTGTTGCCCAGGCTGGAGTGCAGTGGCACAATCTCGGCTCACGGCAACCTCCGTCTCCTGGGTTCAAGTGATTCTCCTGCCTCAGATTCCCAAGTAGCTGGGACTACAGGTGCGTGTCACCACACCCAGCTAATTTTTTGTATTTTTAGTAGAGACAGGGTTTCACCGTGTTAGCCAGGATGGTGTCCATCTCATGACCTCGTGATCCGCCTGCCTTGGCCTCCCAAAGTGCTGGGATTATAGGCGTGAGCCACTGTGCCCAGCCTTATCTTCATATATTAATTTGACAGAGGAGGGGGAAACTTTCAACTTCCCATTGTATAGAGGACAGGTGAGAAGGATGCGGCACACCTGCCTGTTTGGTCCCACATTCAAGCTTCATTCTTCCCACCCAAATTCCTCAGCAAGACTTCTCAGTTGATTACTCCCTTCTCTGAGCCTCTGTAGTATTTGACGTCCGCTTTACTCATTTTGACACTTGACAATAAGCCTTCTTACTGTGCTACTTTTTCAGGTGTGCACGGATTTTCAATCAACCTATTGTGATAAGAAGAGGTACTAGATCCTTACAAATATTTTGCGTCTCCGTTAGCATGTTGCATGGTGCTAGATGTGTGAATCACAGTCGGTAATCACGTAAGACACAGGCAGAGCAGGTGTATGGGTAGAGGGGACAGGGCTAGCGTGCCCTGCCCACATACTCTCAACACTCATGTTTCCTGTGCAGGCAGCAGCTTCTTACTGCAATCCTCTACAACTGCGCCAAGGGGCTCTCTCCAACTGCTGAGCATGCTTTTCCTACCTCCAGGACATTCTATGATGCTGGGAGTTGTGTCAGTGACAAACGAGAGTTGGTCCATGAGCACCCCAGCCTCCTCTTCTCTCCAGTGGAATGAATGAGGTGTGCTCTGTGCAGTCTCACAGAGTTACCTGGTGTGCTGAGCCCCAGAGCCCACAGTGGTCATCTGCTAATCAATGCACTCTGCATTAGCATCCGTCCCTTCCCTGCCTCACCTCCCCATTCCAAATGCTTCCTGAGATCACTTCCCAAACAAACTACTTTTACTTAAATTCAATCCTCATCTCAGGGTCTACATATGGGGAAATAACCCAAGACTGTCTGTCGGCCTTTCCTTCTCTCTAAAGGGATTATCCATCATTCGGAGATTAACAAAGCTTAAAAAACAATTTTTTTCTGTTTCTTACTTTTTCTGCTTCCCAATTTTATTTACATGACCAAAACAAACAAATTTTAAATACAAGTTATAAGTTATTCAAGTAGCACAAGAAGAATTTTTGGCATAATTATTTATTTATTTATTTATTTATTTTGAGATGGAGTCTCGCTGTGTCATGCAGGCTGGAGTGCAGTGGCATGATCTTGGCTCACTGCAACCTCCATCTCCCAGGTTCAAGTGATTCTCCTGCCTCAGGCTCCCGAGTAGCTGGGATTACAGGTATGTGCCACCATACCTGGCTAATTTTTGTATTTTTTGTAGAGATGGGGTTTCACCATGTTGGCCAGGCTGGTCTCCTGGCCCCAAGTGATCCGTCTGCCTCGGTCTCCCAAAGTGCTGTTACTAAAGGTGTGAGGCACCGTGCCCTGCCAATATAATTCTTAAAATGAACTTGAGCAGTTTGGCGACGCCTGACCTAAGTCCTAGGGGAAAGCCCAGGGTTTCGATTCTGTTGCCATCACTTACTGTGGGTGTGTCCATGGGAAACTCACTCAAGTTATTCAGGCCTCAGGTTCCTAATTTTAAAACGGATAGTAACATCTGGTTCCACTAACTTTAGATTGTTGGTTTGGGAAACAAAGGAAATAATGTAAGAGAAAGCACTTTATAAACTGAATTACAAACAAAACGTGGGATGAAATAGAGTGTCACCTCTTTTCATGAGGTTCTGGAACTAGTCTTGCAGTGTTTAGAAAACTAATCACAAGAAAGAGAAAAAATGAAGGGAGGAAGGAAAGAATAGACTTGCCTAAAAGATAGGTTGTTTCGAAATATTTTCCCCCACGATGGTAAGACATAAACTCAATCTGTGAATTTTATCCAAGTCCCAGGTTTTGTTGAGAAACAAGTGAGCTGGGAAGGAAGAACTAGAAAGATTAATTCACTGCATTGCTTGGCCTAGTAACCATGGGCCAGAAGAGAACCTATGCCTACTTCACACTTCCGTGTGTGAACAAGGCATGTTATTTATTGTGTCTGCTAGGCACAGAGTGAAGACTTCAATATTTGCCAGAATGTTTGTGCTTCTTTCTAAATTCAGAAACTTGCCTAAATGGCTGGACGCAGTGGCTCAGGCCTGTAATCCCTGCACTTTGGGAGACTGAGGTGGGCAGATCACCTGAGGTCAGGAGTTCGAGACTACCCTGGCCAACATGGCAAAACCCTGTCTCTACAAAAAATACAAAAATTAGCTGGTTGTGGTGGCGCACGCCTGTAATCCCAGCTACTTCGGAGGCTGAGGCAGGAGAACTGCTTGAACCCAGGAGGTGGAGGTTGCAGTGAGCTGAGATCACATCACTGGCACTCTAGCCTGGGCGACAGAGTGAGACTCCATCCTTCCGCTCCCCTACCTCCCCGCCCGCAAAAAAAAACTTGCCTAACTGCTCCAACCATAAAACTGAAATGTCAGTGGTGGAAGATAACATATAAAACACCTGTATTTTCCTTTAAGTCATTCAGAACTTATTACCTAGGAAACAAAATACTACAAAGTTATAGGCCAAAAAATAAGTGTTGAGAAGCTCACTACTGGAAATAAAGAGGTTCAGAAGAGTGTGAAGAAAAACATCAAATTATGGAATGTTAGAAGCAGAAGCAACCATGCTGGTCAGCTTATTTAATACCCACCTTTTACACACAAGAAACTTGATCTCCAAAGAACTTATATGACCCCATATCACAATGACCTATTTCCACTATATCATCATTTGAGAATTCTGTCAGCTTCATAACTCATATTATGGTTTAACTCATTTAATCCCCACAATTCTGAAGAGTAATTATAATTGCTAGCATTCCTCCTAAGAAGAAAAGTATTCAGAGCCGGTTGCTCACTTTTTTTATGGTCACACAGCATGTAGAGGCAGAAATTTGCCTTAAATGAAGCTATTTTGCCTTCAGCATCTCTGCTCCTTGGAGTTTACACACCCTCCTGTGTGCTTTTTTCCTACAGTGGAGAGAGGACAGGGCAGGGAAACAATTCATTATTTGACCCTATAGCAATAGGGTCATTAAAATCTGACCTTTACTCCGAAAGACTATCATTTACTGTTCAAAAGAAACACCAGACAGTGACTCACGCCTGTAATCCCAGCACTTTGGGAGGCTGAGGCGGGCTGATCACGAGGTCAGGAGTTCGAGACCAGCCCGGCCAATACAGTGAAACCCTGTCTCTACTAAAAAATACAAAAATTAGCCTGGCATGGTGGCACACACCTGTAGTCCCAGCTACTCAGGAGGCTGAGGCAGGAGAATCGCTTGAACCCAGGAAGCGGAGGTTGCAGTGAGCCGAGATCATACCACTGCACTCCAGCCTGGGCGACAGAGCAAGACTCCATCTCCAAAACAAACAAACAAAAAAAAACCAGAGGTTAAAGTGGCAATTGCTAAGCATTCTAAGCATTCAGAGTGTGAATGAACAAATGAATGAATGAACAAATGAATGCTTGACTTCCTAATTCAACATGGAAATCATCAGAAATTACCTCACATGGCCACAAGATGTCACTACTTCACACCACTTCAGAAAAATCACATTCTAAGTCAAGAATTTTAGATCCTTTGGACAGAGGGAATTTCTTGTTCCTCATTGAGAAAGGCTTAGTTATTTTGCATGTGTTTTGGGACTGCTTCCTTGTTTTCTCTTAAGTCTATCTACCTCAAGAGATACTGCAAAACGTAGACTTTAAATGAAGGCTGAGGCTGAATGCTCTTAAGCTGGGAAGCATTAATCAAGAAGTCAATCACTCACCTGTTTCCAGGGACTTCTCAGCAAAAACAAAGGCAGGATTGACACTTTGACTACTCTGTTACCCTGCTCTGTTTGCAAAGCTTTCTCTCAGCACTTTCTTGTAATTCTACCTCTCTCATTGCTTCAGATTCACAAAAAAACAGTGATTCAGCAACATCCAAAAGGCAGCACACTGGGGTTTTAAATAGTGCTTTCTTCTTGAAATGTTTGCCTCACACCTTCCTTACCGGGAATAAGGTTCAAATTACTGCAGTGAGTTTACATAAGCTATTAATGCATTTAATTATTCAGTTCAGGGCTGTCCTGGGCTTATTGGTATTTTTTTTTAAGTATCATGAGACTCCAGTTTGCAAATCATCATTTCAAGTTCTTAAAAGTTTTTATACACCAAAATAATGTTAACCAAGCTTGATATTTCAACTTCAGCTATATTTAACATTGATAAAATAAACTTCAAATTTATTTTGATGGAAATATTTTATTCATGAGATCAACTGATGCTTGTAGATTGATTTTTAACAGTCCTAGAAAGTTTTAGAGTTTGATGTATTTTATTGGCATTCTCTATTAGATTCCCCTTCCTAACATTTCTTATTGAAATTGTTGATAAATAATCTTCATCAATTAGCCATTCAAGTTTGATGGGGCTGAGAAGGAAGGAAGCTCATTCATAAAAAGAAGCTGCTTGGTGGGTTTGGGGATCATTCAACTTTATAGGCCAAAAAAGCTGTTTTGCCTTAAAGGTCCATATTTCACACCACTTCAGAAAAATCCCATTCCAAGTCAAGAATTTTAGATCCTTTGGACAGAGGGAATTTCTTGTTCATCATTGAGAAAGGCTTAGTTATTTTGCATACGTTTTGGGACCACTTCCTTGTTTTCTCTTAAATCTACCTCAAGAGATACCGCAAAAAATGTAGACTTTAAATGAAGCCTGAGGCTGAATGCTCTAAAGCTGGGAAGAATTAATCAAGAATTTCTGGTGATTTCCATGTTGAATTAGGAAGTCGAGCATTCATTTATTTGTTCATTCATTCATTCACACTCTGAATGCTTAGAATGCTCAGCAATCGCCACCTTAACTTCTTAGGAAGAACAAATACATCCCATTTACTGAGAGGCTAAACAAACAGTCACTCGCCAGGCAAAGGGTTAAACGGTTCAGAGAAGGAGGCCTCAATCTCCACATTGTGATGGACTATACAATATGTAAAAGTCATTTCTTACTAGCAATAGTTTAAAGAGTTAAGGTTTGCAAGTGATTTTCCACTTAAAATTAAATAAATTACCTAACCGCATTCAAGTCAACCCCCATTACAACTTCACTGGATTTCATTCCTTGCTATGCTCATTAGAGCAGGAGAGAAAGAGACGGGAGATTTCATGGCATGTGGACATTCTCATCCTGTAAAGTTAAATGGAAAATTAAAATTCCAAACTCTATAGGAAGCATTAGACTTTTCCACAGATAAATGCCGATACCAAAGAACAACCAGAAATATAAAACAACAAAACAAAACAAACCTTCAACACAAAAACTAGAAATAAAATGCCAACAGGGGCTGGGATTATAGATGCCTTATTCCTTTTCTGTATTTTCAAATTTTTCTAAAAGGAATATATTTTTTAAATAAAGCAGCAGAAACCAAATGCCCAACCATTAGGGGACTGCTTTTCAAAATTATAGCACATTTATTTACACACTATTATGCAGCCATCAAAAACAACTTTTAGGAAGTTTCTGCAATAATATGGAGAAATGCTTATGATGTAAAACATTTGCAACAACTTGAAAAGCTCGATGCAGGGCACAGAATTTCTCTGAAAGGCCACATAAGAAGATAACACTGGCTGCATCCAGATGATGAAAACAGAGAGCTGAAGGTAGGCCTAGCAGGGAGAATTACTTTTTTTTGAGACAAGTCCCACTCTGTCACCCAGGCTGGAGTGCAATGGCACAAACTCGGCTCACTGCAACCTCCGACTCCCAGGTTCAAGTAATTCTCCTGCCTCAGCCTGCTGAGTAGCTGGGATTATAGGCGTGCAACACCATGCCCGGCTAATTTTTGTATTTTTTAGTAGAGACGTGGTTTCATCATGTTGGTCAGGCTGGTCTTGAACTCCTGACCTCATTATCCACCCACCTCAGCCTTCCAAAGCGCTGGGAGTACAGGAATGAGCCACCGCACCTGGCCTGAGAATTACATTTCTCTATACATTTTTTCTCACTGATCCAATTGGCAAAACATAAGAGTCTGCTAATACCAAGTACTGATGAGAATGTGGACAAAGAAAAACTGTTACACATTTTGGGGAAAGAAAAAACGCATACAACCAGCTGGAGAACAAGAGCACCCGAGCAAGCTGAGAGTGCATTTCTTTACACTAAGATCCTGCAATGCCACTGCATGATGTCCACCCTGTCACCAGAGAAATACAAAAGAACGTTCACCATAGCACAGTTTATTACCACAGAAACAGCAAGAACCACTAAAGGTCTCTATGGGTTGAACTGTATCCTTCCTGAATTCATATGTTGAAGTCCTAACCCCCAGGACTTCAGAATGTGAATGGATACAAGGTCTCTGAAAAGGTAAATAAGTTAAAATGAGGTCATTAGGGTGGGCTTTAATCCAATATGACTGGTGACCTTATAAGTAGAGGAGATGGTCAAGCATGGTGGCTCATGCCTGTAATCCCAGCACTTTGGGAGGCCAAGGCAGGCGGATCGCCTAAGGTCAGGAGTTTGAGACCAGCCTAGCCAACATGGCAAAACCTGTCTCTACTAAAAATACAAAAAAATTAGCCGGATATGGTAGCGGGCGCCTGTAATCCCAGTTGCCTGGAAGGCTGAGGCAGGAGAATCCCTTGAACCCAGGAGGTGAGGTTGCAGTGAGCCAAGATTGCACCACTTCACTGCAGCCTGGGTGACAGAGCGAGACTCCGTCTCAAAAAAAAAAAAAAAAAAAAAAAAGGAGATTAGGACAAGACACACAGAGGGAAGACCATGTGAGGACACAGTAGGGAGACAGCAGCCACAAGCCAAGAGGAGAGGCCTCAGAAGAAACCAAACTTGCTGACACCTTGATCTCAGACTTCTAACCTCCAGAACCATGAGACAATGTTTATGTTGTTTAAGCCATGCGGCTTGTGGTACTTGGTTATGGCAGGGCTAGCCAGTTCATCGGGAGGAGCACAGATGAATACATTCTCAGTTATACAGACAATGAGACACTACATAGTCTCTAACAGAACCACTAACTACCAAAAGCTGTAAAAGACGGAAGTCCAGTATGGACTCCCAGGAAATGGAAAACTCGTAGGAACTTCGTTCCAGCATGCTGGACTTACCCCACCCGAATCCTAGAGGCCCAGAGAACTTGATTGAGCACCACCATCAAGGGAAAGCCTGGACTTTAAGGGACTAGGAAATAGAGAGCCATAGGCTCAATTTCACTAGGGCCATTTCTAGTGCTGGTCACTAAATGCAGGGGCCAGAACCCCAAACTCAACCCACCTATCCGAGATGGCCCCTCTTCATTATCCCAGAGAAAATCCTGCCATGGCTAATGGAATTCATTCATTCCCTCATTTGTTCAACTAACATTGATCCAATACCCTTTTGAGTCAGAGACTTGCCAGGTATGAAGAAATGAGTTGTCAGGCACCTGGCAATCTGGTTGGGGAAGGACAAATGACATCAAGCTAATCACAACACAAGGTGTTATCAGGGATCTATGAGCAGAAGCTAGAAGTGAGAAGGACTTCACAGGAAAAATAGCAACTTGTACGGCACATTTTCTCTGTCTAAAAGGCCTTCTGCCCTTTTTGCTTTGGGAAGTGCCTATTCAAAAAATGTTGTTCTTTTAGGCAGCAGAACTTAAAGTTACAAAGGCACCAAGTCACAAACGCTGGCTGCATATGGAACAGCTGCCTGCCTGAAAGGAGGGCCAGGAACCCAGGCTGGTGAGGGTGGAAGGGAAGGGCATGGGTTTTATGGTGTAGACAGCAGGAGCTGGCAGGAGTTTTGATGAAGAGGAGCATCCTGAAGGGCTCACCAGGAAGAGTCCCAGGCAGCAGCATGGAGGACTGGAGGGAAAAGGTTACCAGTGACCATGCAGAAAACTTGTCCCAGCATCTGGTGGCTTTTCCAGACCAGCGGACACAGAGACAGTTGCAACCTGGGACTGCAGCTGGAAATGCTGAAAGGCCATTTTGCCCATCAAGCAGACAATAGACCGAAAGAAAGCCAGGGATGAATGGACGATTGATTGTAGCCAGCAACTGCTTAGACAGTGTAAATCGTAATGCCAAAAGTGCATATCCCCTATGAATTTTCTTTGTTCGAGAACAAAAGGGGCCATTGGATCCTGAGGGCCATGTGGACACAGAAAGGCTTTTTTCTAGAAAATTGTTCCCCGTCTGCCTCCACAGGTTGGATCAGCAGTTACAATAAAACTGTCTGTGAGGCTGCGTAGGATCGGAGGCCAACCCACACTCGGAGAGTGCAGACTTATAGGTCCCCAGGAAACACCCACCTCACCTGGACACTCATTTTCAGGCCTAAGAAGGGTGTTCCCAGCTGAGAAAATGTCCCAGGAAAGATAGAGGGCTCCTCTGAGACCCACCGTGCTGGGTGTTTTTTAGAGAAAGCATGGCTATTTGTGGGAAGTACACCCTAGTGGGTCAAGAGAAGGTGCTTCCACCCTCATCTCTGCTACAGAAGTGATCTGTGATGCCTGGGGCAAGACATTAAACCACCCACCCACCCTGAGCCTCAGTTTCCTCAAATGTAAAAAATAAGATGAAGCCAGTACTTCCCAAACCTGGCTGTACATCAGAATTTGTGGGAAGCTCGTTAAGAATACTGATTCCCAGGCATGGCTTCAGACCAACTGAATCAGAATATCTGGGGAGTGGGACCCAGGAGTCTGTTTGTAATCAAAAATCTGTGAGGGCATCTGTTTCCTGCGGATCCCTAAGGTCTACCGCTTTATAAGATGCCCCTGGATTTAGAAATTCAAATAATGGAGAACATAGCTCCATTCCCCAACCCCATGGCTAGTATTTTGTATTTCTCGAGATTGATTCTTGAGGGAGGCTTAGGTTACTGCTGGGCATATTTTAGTCTGTTCTCTTATCTCCTCCCAATGCCAGCCTAAACTAGAAACAGGTTTAGTTCTCTTTTTAAAGATGAAATGTGTCTCCAGCTATGGTAGTAGAGGGGAACATTACGTAAGAATCCAGTAATTCTCCACCTTCCTATTCTTAAAGGTCTCCCTGACCAGGCCACCCACTGGGAATTTCCTTTCTCCTCAGGCCCCAATTTTCTGCCATCTCTTTATTCCACTGAGTAGTCTCTGCCCAATTTCCCCAAAGTTTACATATACCAGCTACTTAAAATCTAGGCCAAACTTCGCATATCTCAAAATGCATTAAAAGAACCATGTTAAACAAAAGGTCTTTTAGGAACACAAAGCAATCACAGATGTTCCAAAAGGCCTTCTTTTTGATGTAAACAATTTAGCTAGGCTCTCACCTCCCCATTCCACCAGGATATAATCACCATTAACCACTGGGAAGAAGGTTATGGTAACACGACCATTATCCCACGTTGATATCAATCACACCGTTCCCCTGAGAAAAGGGAATGGTGACCATCAGCAACTTAACAGCAAATCTATCTCCCCACTCCTTGCGTGTTTAGCAAGCTCCCCAAGTGACAAGGCCAGCTGGTCAGCATTTGGAAACCACTAGACCAGGTGAGTGCTGGAGTTACTTCCAGCTTTAAAACTCCGTTTCTTTGAAAATGAACGTGCTCTGCACCAGGTGGTGGGATGGACCCTGGAGTCAGCCAAACCAGGATTCCAACCTCAGCTCCTCCACTAACTAGCTGGATGACTGTCGTCAAGTTACTGGCTACTTGCTTTCCACATTTGCAAAAGAGAATACTGCCAAGTTCACAGACTGTGTTAGGAATGCATGTGAAAGTAGCTGCCAATAACTTAGTTTTCTTTGTCTTAGCACAGAGTAAGTAGCGTCAGATAATTTTAGCGCATTAGACAAAGCTCACATGGGCTGCACCTTCTCTAAGCAAATACCTTTCCTCTGGAGCTTCATGAAGTCTTTCACTAAGTCTGCAAACTTCACTAAAGATCCCTCCGGAGGGGGATTGGCCACCCTACTACCCCTACGGGGAACCATGAGAGATCAGTCTGCTCCACTGGGTACCTGCTGCATTGATTGGCACTGACATGTTGCAAGCTCAATACCCAATTTCAGCACAAGGGCAAGCTTAACTTCACCTGGACATGAGGCTGGAGAGCAGTGATGCTGCTGTCCTGGGTAACTCTCAACACTGTAAAATGAGATCACTCTAAGAAAACAAGAATCAGGCAATCCATCACTTTATAATTTCTGAATGCTGGAGTTCTCCTGGGCACTCCTACTGTGCACTCCTCCGGATCATGTCTTTCTGGGCATATCGTGAACTCTCCAAGAGCAGAGAATGGGGGACTTCAGCATCTTTTACCTGCAGTGCCTCACAGAGTACCAGGCCCACACCAGACATGACACATTTGATAAATAAGTGAATGCATTAATTAATGGAAGGGTGGACCAGAGGGGTTCAGACTATGTAAACTGGCTGCCTGAGTAATTATATCACGTAATGTACTTTCAGAATTCCCTGAAAACACAAGCCTTTATTTCGGAAACTAATTCTGAAAAGCAGAAATGATGTTTCCCAGTGCAAAAGTGACTCAGTCAAAACTGTCAAGGGCAATGATGCATTAAACTAATTCATTCAATCCCTCATTCATTCAACAAACACTTACTGAATCTTCATTACAGGACAGGCACTATGCCAAATCCCAGAGACAAGAAGAGAAAAAAGATGTGGTCCCTGGAGGAGCCAGGCATCAATCACTTTCTTTAAGCTTCCTGTGTGGTTCCAATGTGCAGTGGGAGTTGAAAAGGACCGTCTGGGAGCCTGCAGAGTAATGGAGGGACACACGCCGCACCAGTTCTGGGGGTCACCTGCTAACTCCTCTGTTCTTCTTCCAGTTTTCTTCTCCCGCCTTTTTCTCTCTTAGCCAGTCAAAATCTCAGACTGAATTATTTATTGCTTTTTGCAACCACTGAATAATATCTGAATAATATTCTTGCTCCATATAGTTACCTTCAAAGTACAAAAAAAAAAAACAACTGCAATATTTTAGATTTGGCTTTTTCAAAAACAAAACCAGAAAGTGTATTTATTTTCAACTGAAAGCTCACATTCCAATAAGTATTTATGAACTGCATCTTATATTTAGGACAACTTGGAAATCTAAGGTAATAAAAACAGTCCCAACCTTCCGTCTAAATGTTGGTCCTCAGTTGAAATCTTTTTCTATGGGTAAGTGGTTTTCAGAAGAAAAAGGATGCTAATCAGTCTCCTATGTGTTGTTCTTTTTATACAGAATAAAGCCTCATGTTTGTGTCCCAGGGCCTAACACCAAGTCTGACATATAGCATCCATAAGCTCAACTCCTAGAGGTTTGACTTCTCCTCATCCCATAAGGAGTAATCAATTCTGGGCAGTCACTAGTGGGACCAATGGCCCCAGCTTGCCCAGGACTGAGGGCTTGAGAGAGTCCTTGGCAAACCAGGGCAGCTGGTCACCAAAGCAGACACCTCTGCTCTCATTACCAAGTTCTTCTTTCAGACATGAGGATACTTACATTACATACAGTGAAACCTGATCATCAATCACATTGTAAATTCAAAGACTTCACTGTAATATGATTATTCCACATACTCCACACCAATGGTAATATTTACCATTTTTGCTAGTTTGCAAGATGTACATTTTTCTTGGTCTCGTACCTCAAACTATTCTTGGTGGAGACAAACTCTGACAGATTTTAGATACCTACAACCCCCTTCCCCTACCCACTATCTAAGATTCTTCCTGGGACAGCGAAGTAGGGTTGCCCCAAGATTTCCTTGTTAAAGTGGGGTGAGACTCATGCACTAGCTCACATCTACTACTTCTTAACTTCCACTGTCCCAAATAAGGACTAAAGTTTGGGTTCTAGTACTCTCCCCCAGCACCAGGACTGTTTACATGCTGTAGAGGAACAGGCACATCACATTCACATTTCACTATCCTAAGAGAAGCAGCAGTAGGACACCTTATGGACCTGTGTCTCTATTGACACAGACAAAAAGCAATTATTCCCATCAGAAACATTTCTTTTATATGGGAACATACTGTTTATTCAATAAGAAATTAATTTTTTATCGTTGGATTTGAATAAATTTTCTTCTCCCAAGCAATCTGATTGGCAGTACACCATTGCAGCATATACTTTATTATTATCATCATTATTATTTTCCACAACATTTAATACCAAGTTTCCTTCTCTCACATAGAATATTACCCAATAGAAGTCTCCAAAAGGGGCCATAGCACATTCATAACAAAGATAGAAAAGAAAACTTTCAATGTCTGCTTTCCAATATGATGATTCAACTAAAACAAAGCTGAATTTCTCAGCTATGAAACTGAAAAAATGAAAATCAGCCCATGTGTACATCACGGCCAGCCATGATCATTAACACCTCCATGAAATGAGGGAGAAAAGAGAGAAACAACTGCTTCTTCTTACCAAACTTCTATATAACTTCAAATTACTTTAAAAAAATTTCCTAAAAGGCATTCTGCTGCCTTTCTGAGGCATGAACATTTGGGTGTCTTCTCAAGACCAACCCCGGGCAAGCAGGTGGCGCCTGTGAAATGGAAAACATTCGGAAAACAGCAGCCCCTCTTCAGCTCCATGTACAGGAGACTTTCTGATTTCCAATCTTGGCTCAGGTCAGAAGAAAAAGGGGAAAGGTTACATTCCTGGAAAGAAAATACAGCCTATTTGAGGGCATGCCTGACTTTCAGTCCATGCACTAGTCCTCTTGGCTCGTAGAGTTTTCAGTGCCCTGAAACCATGATCCCTCTGCCTCCATGGTCCTCTGAGTGTAGTTATTATGTCTGCAAACCAGTAATGTCACAAGTCAAAGGGTCTGGGGCTTCCCAGGGAACCACTATGACTGAGTATATTCTGATTTGAGAAACCTGTGACAAGTCTTCTCAGCACTCGCCTTCTAATTTTTGGAGCCGATGCCTGGGTTCCCAGCATCCAGGTCACAGTAGCTGGAAATCATGCAGGAAGGGCAAAAAGCCAGCAGCCCAGAATGGACTGTCTCTGCAGCTCTGGCACATTCTCTACACATCGCCACACCACTCAAATGTCCTATAAAATATCAAAACCAATAACCTGGACATGGCCGATTAATCTGTACAAAAAGGCTTTATAAAAATACTCCCGGCCGGGCGCGGTGGCTCACGCCTGTAATCCCAGCACTTTGGGAGGCCGAGGCGGGCGGATCACGAGGTCAGGAGATCGAGACCATCCCGGCTAAAACGGTGAAACCCCGTCTCTACTAAAAATACAAAAAATTAGCCGGGCGTAGTGGCGGGCGCCTGTAGTCCCAGCTACTTGGGAGGCTGAGGCAGGAGAATGGCGTGAACCCGGGAGGCGGAGCTTGCAGTGAGCCGAGATCCCGCCACTGCACTCCAGCCTGGGCGACAGAGCGAGACTCCGTCTCAAAAAAAAAAAAAAAAAAAAAAAAAAAAAAATACTCCCTGCACTTTAAAAAAGAACAAAATAAAGATGCATGTAAACATCGCCTCTAAGCCACCGGAGGAGCCCTTGAAGCCTTGTCATCTCATCTTTCGAACGTTCTGCAGTTTTGCTTGTTCCGCTTCTCTTGGAGGTATCAATCTGTTTTTCTCTTATTAATAGAGTTCAGAGTCTGAGGCCGCCTTTGCGTATGAGCTTGTGGTTTCATTGGCAGAAATAGTATTATCAGGAGACTTATGATGTGCAAATAAAAGTACATGGACCTGGGAATAAAAATATACAAAAATTATATTTCAAATAAGGATGTAGATGGGAAACACCACCTAATTATATCACCTACAGTATGACAAGTGAGAGCACCGCTTTTGGCAGTAGGAGGCCTGTCTACACTCAGGCTTCCCTCAATCTGCTCCACAGATAACTCCCTTTGGTAGGTGAGCGGGTCACAGATAGACTGAAACCACAAAACTGGGCAGGGCAAACCAACTGGCTCATCTGTGGATACACACGGTACCGTCCCATTGACATAACAGGCTAACCAACAGAATTAACCCCACGACAGCCAGACACCCCCAATATTCAAAGTCTAAGGACTCCCAAGACCAAATTCAAACCCAATACTGTCATATGACACTTAATGACATTTCAGCCAATGATGGACCACATTAATGATGATGGCCCCATAAGATTATAATAGAACTGAAAAATTCCTATCACCTAGTGACGTCGTAGCCATCGTAATGTCATAGTGTAATGCATTGTTCACATGTTTGTGGTAATGCTGGAGTAAACAATAGTATGCTGCCAGTTGAATAAAAGGCCAGCACATACTATTACATACAATACATAGTACTTGATAATGACAATGAATGATTATGTAACTGGTTTATATATTTACAATACTATACTTTCCCATTGTTATTTTGGCATATACTCCTTCTACCTATTAAGAAAAAAAAGTTAACTGTAAAACAGCCTCAGGCAGGTCCTTCAGGAGGGATTCCAGAGGCACTGTTATCACAGGAGATGACAGCTCCATGCATGTTATTGCCTCTGAAGACCTCCCACAATGGAACAAGATGTGGAGGTGGAAGACAGTGATATTGATGATCCTGATCTTGTGTAGCCTAGGCTGATGGGTGTTTGTGTCTTAATTTTTAACAAAAAAGGTTTCAAAAGTAAAAAAACAAAATAGAAAAAAGCTTACAAAAAATATAAAGAAAAATGTTTGTATACCTGTACCACGTTTTTGTTGTTGTTGTTTTGGTTTTTTGTTTGTTTGTTTGTTTGTTTGTTGTTGAGATGGAGTTTCACTCTTGTTGCCCAGGTTGGAGTGCAATGGTGTGATCTCGGCTCACCGCAACCTCCAACTCCTGGGTTCAAACGATTCTCCTGCCTCAGCCTTCCAAGTAGCTGGGACTACATGCGCCACCACGCTCGGCCAATTTTGTATTCTTAGTAGAGACAAGGTTTCTCCATGTTGGTCAGGCTGGTCTCGAACTCCCAGCCTCAGGTGATGCACCCACCTCAGCCTCCCAAACTGCTGGGATTGCAGGCATGAGCCACCATGCCCGGCCACCATGTTTGTTTTAACCAAAGTGTTTTATTATGAAAGAGTCCGTTTTTAAAACATTTAAAGTTTATAAAGTAAAGAAAGTTACAGGAAGCTAAGGTTAATTTATTATTGAGGAAAAGTTTTCTTAATAAATTTAGTACAGACTAAGTGTATGGTGTTTCTAAAGTCTACAGTAGTGCACAGTAATATCCTAGGCCTTCACATTCACTCACCACTCACTCACTGACTCACCCAGAGCAACTTCCAGGCCTGCAAGCTCCATTCATGGTAATACAGGTGTATCCTTTTTTATCTTTGCCAGATTTTTACTGTACCTTCTCTATGTTTAGATACACAAATACTTATTGTGTTCAAATTGCCTACAGTATTCAGTACGGTAACATACTGTACCGGTTTGCAGTCTATGAGCAGTAGGCTATCCCATATAGCCTCAGTATATAGTAGCCTGACTATACTATCTAGTTTGTGCAAGTACACTCTATGATGTTCAAACAACAATGAAATTGCCTAATGATGCATTTCTCAGAACATATCCCTGTTGGTAAGCAACGTATGACTGTATTCTATTCCTTAAACACAATGCAACTAACACTTTAACCCATTGCTCTACTCAAGTATAAAAGGTTCTTCTTTTGTGTCTTATGAGCCAGAAGAATCCCAATTCTGAAAATCCAGTCCATAACCCTAAAAATAACTGTCATCTAAACTAATAAAAAAAACAAGTTTTGCTTTTGATGTTTGTGGACTTCTATTGCAAAGTGTAGTATTCAGCAGTATGCACAATGTAGATATCCAATAAATACTGGGCCTATCAATACCTGCAAGTAATTAGAAACAGCTGCATTGGCACAACTGTTCTAGATCCATTTGGAAAGGTTCAACTTATACTTTCCCTAATGCTTTTTGAAGAATAAAGGAAAATAATGTTGGGAGGGAGGAAAGCACAATTGATTTATGCATCATTCCCCAACTTCTGTGATTACAAGGTCAGGCACATTAGAATCAGATAACTCACATATGCCCCTAAACTTCCCCATCCTTTAGCAGGAGGAATGCCTCCCTGACAATATTTATAGAATAGTGAAGAGCTCGAACAGAAGCAAACATACATGCATTCATTTATCCTTTCAATATGCATTTACTGCTTAGGATATGCAAAACAATAAACTGGATCTACAAAAAGGCATCAGCCTCCACCCCTTCCCATGTGAGAATGGAAACAAGACAAGCACATCATTAACAGCTGTTTAACCAGGGAAGGGGTAAGCAGCAACAGCAAGTGACCATCTAATCTACTGTCTAAACCAAGACATTATTGAGAGTGGAAAAAGTGCTCCACAGATAAACACGGTGATTTAACAGGTATAGACTGGGATTCTCATGGGCACACCCTGGCCATAGGTAACTCCAGCTTTCAAAATATGCACATCCAAAATATGTCATACTTTGTTCTTGAGCTTTGCCTTAATCTTTCATATGTGGCCAAATCTACACTGGAACAATTACATTAGGTAAAATCCAGCTACTTTGAACATCAAGTGGAAAACACCTAGTAAGGTTTAGTAACCTCTTCTGACATTTCATATTTCTCTACAATTTTAAGGAATATTTCATCTATTATGGAAAGACTAAACTAACATTTATTGATCATGTCAGGCACTGACCTAAGGACTCAGATATAAAGATGAATTAGGCAGGGTTCCTGCTCTCAAGGAGTTTGCCATCTACGAAAGTTTCTACGCAAATTCTAACGTTCTGGCCAGGCGCAGTGGCTCAGGCCTGTAATCCCAGCACTTTGGGAGGCCAAGGTGGGTAGATTGCTTGAGTCCAAGAGTTTGAGACCAGCCTGGGCAACATGGCAAAACCCCATCTCTACAAAAATAAAAAAATTAGGCGGGTGCGGTCGCACGTGCCTGTAATCCCAGCTACTCGGGAGGCTGAGGTGGGAGGCTGAGGTGGGAGGATCACCTGAACCAGGAGGCAGAGGCTGGGGCAAGCTGAGATCACAATCGCGCCACTGCACTCCAGCCTCGGCAACGGAGGAGACCCCAACTCAAAAAACAAATAGAAAAACAAATTCTAACGTTATTACCCACTGAATTTAAGAAAGAGTTATCCAATTCAAGACAAAATGATGTATGTGAATTTGCTTTGCAAAATGATTTCATAGAAAGGTTCTTTCATAATATATTTAAGTATTCACTTGGGCTCATTTACAACTTAAAGAAGTTAGACTGAGCACTCTAAGGCTGAGATCTGAAGCCACTCTAGACTGAACACTGACTACACCTAACAACGAAGTACAAGTGAAATTTCAATGTTAAGCAATGAGGATCTACTGAGAAAAGGGTTTGCATACAACTGTGGTTTACTGCTAGCTACTGAATTTAGCCCAAGGGGAGGAACAGATCTGGAACGCAACCAGGCCTGCCTTCACTAAAAAGCTACGCAATTTTATTTCTTCGCCAGATTCAGGGATTTTCTTAAAAGATTATGAAAACACTGTTTGAGGTGTAATCAATCTGGAATAGCCACTGGCAATATGTGGCTGTTAAAATTCTAATTAATTAAAATTCAATAAAATCGAAAATTCAGTTCCTCTGTCCCACTAGGTGCATTTCAAATCCTCAAGGGCCACACATGTTGGGTGGCCAGCATCTCAGATGGCACAGATGTAGATCATTTCCGTCATCATAGAAACTCCTTTTTTTTTTTGAGATGGAGTCTCGCTCTGTCACTCAAGCTGGAGTGCAATGGCGTGATCTCAGCTCACTGCAATCTCCACCTGCCGGGTTCAAGCAATTCTCCTGCCTCAGCCTCCTGAGTAGCTGGGACTACAGGCACATGCCACCATGCCCAGCTACTTTTTTGTATAATTAGTACAGACAGGGTTTCACCATGCTGGCCAGGCTGGTCTCAAACTCCTGACCTCATAATCCACTTGCCTCTGCCTCCCAAAGTGCTGGGATTACAGGCATGAGCCACCGCGCCCGACCATCATAGAAACTTCTATTGGACAGAGCTGATCTAGACAGGAAACTTAAATTCAATAAATAACTAGAAACCAGAAAATATCCTAGGTTGGATCATCTAAAATAGGCCTACTTGACCCAAAAAATGTCAACTCCTGTTTCATCCTAAACAAAGGTGTTTTTAAAAAAATATTCTGGGGTGATTTTAAAAAGAAGTGAAAAGCTACTTGATAATTTAATTCTGCCCCTTGAGTTCCTGCCTACGCCTAGTTGTTATGCTTTAGTTGGTTAAACACAATATTATCACTAGCAAATCACTTATTGTGATCCCCAAGCAGTAGTTTGCATCCAAAATAACTTCTCCTAAAGAACTTTTTAGTAACTCCACTACTGATATTGCTATTAAGGGAATACTGAGTCTGAAACTCAGGTTTAACATTTAGCTGCTGTGTAAATTCTGTTACTCACCCTCTCTTGAGTCTCCACTTCCTCATGCGACAAACAGGGACACTGATACCTACCCCACCGCTCTCCTCAGCTCACCTCCCTCCACCTTGGATTCTATGTTCTGCCCACATTCACGTTTCTCTGGTCTTCAGTGCTCGGAGCTTCGTGCTACACTATGGGGGGCTACATGACGGGGCTTTTCCAGGCTGTTTCCAAGTCTGGAGCATGGCCCACAATGCCCTCCTTGCCCACCGCGCTCACACATACTGAGCCTGCTTCACTCCCACTGCACAACCTCCAGGACTGAGCTCAAAAAGATGCCCCCAGTGCCTAGGCTGAGGCAGATTCCTGTTACATACTCTCTTAAAACTCTATACCATTCACTCAGAGTATGATCTCAGCATGTATTTATACATGTGTCAATTACTCCCTGTCTTTTCCATCAAGCTATCACCCCAGTGAGAGCAGAAATGATCTCTCTATTTTGCTTTCCATTCTAGCTCCAGATTCTAGCACAATGCCTAGCACACTACAGGTATTACGTGATACTGAGTGGAATACAGGCACTTCTGCTATAATATGATCAATATATTCCTTAAAAATCTTGTATGAGGCAATATCAGGGGCTTAGAATACCAGGGCTTACAGGAAAAAAAAAAAAGCATGTTAGAAATAGATAATTCAAAACCTAGGAGGACTCTGTAACAAAAACAGAGCTTTAAAGGAGACAATTTGGACAGCCCCTGCAGACAGCTCAATGGTGCCAAAGGCTGCTTCCGGGCATGTTAAAAATGTAGAGGACAAAAGGGCAAATGTTGGCTTGAGGGCATGGACAAATGGGAATGAAATTGGAGCCGGAAGCATGTGGGGCTGCCCTAGGTGGGCACAAGGAGGCAGAAGCAGTCAGAATGCTGGCTTGGGGATACGCCTCTCTGAGGAGGGAGCCCCAGTGAAGGGGGCTCCTGTTTGAGGTGTAATCAATCTGGAATAATCGCTGGCAACACGTGGCTGTTAAAAGTCTAATTAATTAAAATTCAATAAAATTGAAAATTCGGTTTCTCTGTGCCACTAGCTGCATTTCCAATGCTCAATGGCCACACATGTTGGGTTTCTCACCTAGGACTGAAATGACTCCTACCTCTCTAGCAGCTGAACTGAGGGCTTCTTTTTGGCTGAAGCTTATAATTCTCTTCCCACTCTTCTGGCACCCCTTTGCATAGAAAAATTTGGGTATAAACCAGTACAGCTTCCATGTTATATTGACATAACTTCTTATCACCTAACTCCTAGTATAAAAGCATATATTGTAACAGCATGGACTTCATTGATGAGTGTTATATGGTTCCCTCAACCTTCTCTTTCTATAGCCTCAAAAAAATCATCCCACTTATAGACACTGATACACATATTGAGTAGTAAAAAATTCTTCAATCCATTCATGACCCCTCCATCGGCTATAGGGAATTCCCAACTTAGGAAGAAGGTGTGTTTGCACTGTTTATTTCTAAGTAACTATTTAAAAAATGATACGATGTTCCAAAGTTAACCTAGAAAAGCCTGTGCAACTCATTAAATAATACAAGGTAGCATTTATTGAGTACAGACTATATGCCAGATACTGGCCAGAGCCCTCTGCACATTTATCTCATTAATTCTAACACTCAGTACTAAAGACGGTGCTCTGAGGTGAATTTTCTTCTCAGCCTCATTTTCCAGTTGAGAAAACACAGGTAAAAGAGGCTAACAACTTGTCAAAGATCACACACAATCAGTTCACAAGAGCATGTGCTCAACCACTTCACAACAGTGGAGAAATACAATTCATTACACATAACTGTGAAAGAATAAAAGTCAGCAATTAGAGGTTTGCAGTTCACCTGGAGCACAGGTGTTTGACTATAAAGGTTGGTCTGTGGTGCGAGCCTCCTCCTCCTCCAGCCTCAATTCCACATATACCCCTCCAACACGTGCAACTGGCAACATAAATCCCCCATCAGCCTCACCAGGGAGTCCTTCTGCACACCACTCGATCAGGCAATGACAGCCTCAGCCGCATCCCCCGCTCCTGCCTCCATTTCTGTCCTGCTCTCAGAACACGTCATAGTCCCCAGTACAGCCTACCCCCCAGGAGAAAGAGCTAAGGGCAGCAAATTTACCCTCTGAGTTTTTACTCAGGGTCCATCCCTTCAAAATATACTGCCATGAGGGGGCCCCTGGATGACATTCTGAATGGCTTAAGGGATTCCTGTCAACAGTGCTTGTATGTATTGGAATTTGTACATTGGTGTCTCCAGGACAGCCACTTCCTCTTAAAGCTTCTATGGACACTTCCCACACTGAAGCCCCAGTTAGAAGTGTTTAGGACTGCTTCATTCAATTTACTGCCTCCTAAGTCAAACACAGTGAAAATAGAGTCATTTACGAGATGGCAACTGAGAACAACGGAAACTTACTTGTATAAGCTGATGGTCGGTTCAACTGCCAACATCACAAAGGGTGCTACCGTGTAAGAGACAGCCAGCTGAGTGACGGCCCAGGTGCCTGCATCATACACAGCCTTGAGAGCTCTTGAAGAAAGGAAGTAATGTCTGTAGTTGTTCCTGACCTGCAGGCCAACACAGGCAACAGTAGTGAGGAGGGGGTGAAAAACAAATAACAACTTTTACTCTGTGCATGCAGATAGTATGCCACAGGAACATGGGCTACAGAAGATAACCAACATCTGAGTTGTATTTTCGACTACAAATACCATCAGGACTTTTTTTTTTTTTTTTTTTTTTTTTGAGATGGAGTCTCGCTCTGTCGCCCAGGCTGGAGTGCAGTGGCGCAATCTCAGCTCACTGCAAGCTCTGCCTCCTGGGTTCAAGTGATTCTCCTGCCTCAGCCTCCCAAGTAGCTGGGATTACAGGCACCTGCCTCTATGCCCTGCTAATTTTTTGTATTTTTAGTAGAGCTGGGGTTTCGCCATGTTGGCCAGGCTGGTCTCGAATTCCTGACCTTGTGATCTGCCCACCTTGGCCGCCCAAAGTGCTGGGATTACAGGCGTGAGCCACCGCGCCCGGCCCAGGACTCTTTTTTTTTTTTTTAAATAAGACTCTTGCTCTGCCACCCAGGCTGAAGTGCAACGATGCAATCATAGCTCACTGCAGCTTCAAACTCCTGGGCTCAAGTGATCTTCCCACCTCAGCCTCCCAAGTAGCTGAGACTAAAGGCACATGCCACCATGCCCAGCTAAGTTTTAAAAAATTTTTGTAGAGATGTGGGTCTCACTTTGCTGCCTAGGCTGGTCTCAAACTCCTGGGGTCAAGCAATCCTTCTGCCTCGGCCTCCCAAAGTGCTGGGATTACAGGAATGAGCCACTGTGCCTGGCCAATTTTTCTTATTAAAATAATAATAATAATAATAATATGTGTTCACTGTAGAAAAATGGTCAAACAACTAAGCAAACAAAAAAAAAATTTCTTTCTTTTTTAACACCTCCCAAAGGAAAGCATCACTTAAAAACTTGGCACAGAGCCATCCAAGCTTTTTCTATTCATATGTATCCATGTTAATATTCTTAATGACACCAATATAATTTCTAGCTCATTTTTTCATTTAGTAATATATCATGCACTTTTTTCCATGCCAGTAAATATTAATCTCCAGTATAATTTTAAGTTAATTTTGGAAAAGTTAGCTTGTCTGCCCATCCCATTTTGCTATTATAAACAATTATGTGATGTATATCCTTGTAAATAAATCTCTGCTCTGTTTCCTATTTACTTCCTTCAGGTAATGATAACACAAATAATATTACTATTACTACTAATACAAGCAGCTACCATTTGCTGAGTGCTTACTCTGTGCCAAGCCTGTGCTAATGATTTGCATGGCTCATCTCTGGTTGATTCTCTCATCAAGCCTATTATGTTAGCATCATGATTCCCGTTTTACAGATAAATAAACTGAGACTTAGGTAAAGAGACAATTCTTTGAAATGGAAATTGCTAGGTCGAAGGATATACTCCTTTGTAGATCTTGTGGCACATGTGACTAGACCTGCCTCTAGAGAGACCCTCAGTTTCCAGATTCAGGTCAAAGGCAGAGCTGAAAGCAATGGCTAGGGGATAGGCAGGTCAGCCCCAAAGCAGAAGATGCATCAGTGCCCAAGGCTGCCTCTCAGCCCTAAGTTCCTCAGGACAGAGACCGGGGTCCACCCATCAAGCAATGCTGCACATCAGCTATGAGATTTTACTGGGTCATTTCTAGGGCCCGAAGACACTTTATGACTGTTGAGTTCAATCTCCTTCCAGACAAAATAAAAACACTGTTCTATCAACTCTCTCCTCTCTATCCGCTACCTAATTCGTTTGCGAATAGTGTTTCCAGGCCATCCAAAAGAAAAGCTCTACACAGATCTGAGCCTTTATGCCAGTTGAAACCATAGAGTAAAAGACACCTGAGGGAATAATACTCTGGATATGTTAGCAAACAGAATTCTAAGTTTTATTTCTTAATTTGGCCTGACCACTTGTTCTTTAGTTTTCTTTTATAATCTAAATAGTTACATGAACAGGAGAGAAGAAAATGTCTCCCCTGTTTTCTATGTACAAATATGTACAATATGCACTTAATTTCAAAAGTATCCTAGCCAGCATGAACAGTAATCCACTTTGTTCATATATATACATATATATACATATATATACACATATATATACATATATATATACATATATATACATATATATATGTATATATATATATTCCAGCACACCTGTGTCTAACTAAAACAAGAGATCCTCAGGGGAGGGACTCTTGTCTTGTTCACTGTGGTATCCCAGCGCCTAGAACACTGACTAGCACACAGTAGGGCTCCTGAAATCTTCACAGGATAAATGAATTAAAGGGTGAGTGGATAGCTATGTGGGGGCTCCTGAATTCACATCCAAAATATGGCTCAACCAACGTCAATAAAAACTCTTGGCATCAGAAATAAGGAAGACCACAATCACAATCAAAGATTAAAACAAAATTAAATACAAAACTCCTGTATTTGGCAATGAAAGCACTGAATCGCAATTACTTCTATGCATGTTCGTCTCCTTCTTGGAGGAGAGTTTTATTCTTTATTATCCTGCTCTACAACAAGCAAATTGCAGAACAATCTAGAGAAACTACAGGCTCCTGAAAAATCCTAGAGAACCAAATTTACAAAAGTCATAAACACAAACTAAGCTAACTGCGTTGGGCGTGTGAACACATGAGGTTAACCTCCAACAGACTCACTTCCCGTGGCCGCTATTTCATTGACTGCTCAAGAGACTCTGTGAGTTATTTCTAGGCTCGGGGCAATGAAATGAGAAATTAAGCAAAGTATAAGCAAATTGAAGTCCTATGGTGCCTACATTAATTAATAATCATCATCATCTGTAATTAGTAGACTGTTCACAGACTTTAACAATTAAAAATGTTTTCATCTCTTAGGGTACTAAACATTGTCCCTAAAATTCCTTTTGTTTCACGAACTACGAACATACAATGGTTAACCATTTTTGTAATGACTCCAGAGGTTCCTACATATTGAAGTATTTCTCTAATGGGAAGACTCTTGCATATTGTTTGATTTTTCAAAACATCACTCCCACCTTCACATCCCACCCCCAACCCCTACTAGGACCCAACAGATAACAAACATGCAGGCATCAGATTACTAAGGGGAAAGACCCTAGGCCTAAAGCACACTTACCGCTCTAGCTGCTAATGTGACAAGAATTCCAGTTAAGAAGGTAAAATAGTATCCAGGGTAGACACCATGCCACAAAGCAGACAGGATGAAGGTTAGCACCGTGGGGTACCATGGAACCCGCTGATAGCACACACTGTGAAGAGAGGAAGGAACAAGACACAGGTGAAACATACCAGAAACTTCTAAGTACAGCTGCTGTTTCTTGGATAAGACCATGCAGAAAGCATTTGGTTGTTACTGATGAGATGCCTCCCTAACCGTCTTCGGGGACTTGCAGTGCAATCCAAGCAGCCTGGACTACCCTGGTTTCCTTAAGCATTACCAGATAGGCAATTCACAGTTCAGCCTTTTGAGGGGATGTTATACATTTTTAACCTCCATAGACTAAATGATCTGGACCCATCACACTGTATCTGTTACAGGTCTGAGTGATCACTTTCCACCCAACAGGAGTTCCTGCCTTACAGACGCTTACTCCACCAATGGCCTCATCTACTGGGGGTGCTTAAGTAAGTGCCATTGGCATTAACAATTTCGGAATCAGGGTCTTTAGAAATGAATATCCTTATTTAGTAAAAATTAATTTACCTTTCCCACCAGGCTCCTGTGCCATCTAACCTAATCAGCACCATCACCCTGTTCATCCCTTTTGGCAATGACTCCATCACAAAATCAATGTGTCAGTTATGTGACCTCTTCAGGTCTCACAGTGTCCATCAGACTTCAATCCATGAATCTGCCTTAAAGAGTGATACTGTGACAATCTAGCAAATGTCAGCAAATACCCTGAGGGTTTTTGGCATTCTGATTGTTTATTTAAAAAAAGTGACAGGGAATTCCCCCCCAAAACTCAGTCTATGAATTGCCAACGGCACTCTAAGGAAGCCACCACCTGGTTTACTAAATGAGAGGTCAAATAAATAAAAATTAATAAAAATATATAATAAAAAATAAATAAATAATAATAAAAAAATAAAAAATAAAATTGAAATTCAAACAGTGAACACCAACCCAGCACTGTATGGGTGGTCAACAGTAACCGATTTAAACACAAACTAAGCACTATGGTGCTCTCTTCATAGGAAGAAAAAGAATGCAGTTGGAGAGATGAACACAGGACTGAGACCCCATTTGGACACAGGATGACTCAGCACACTGGGAGTACTCAGTGTATAGAAATGGAAGTTTATGCTAAAATCATTTGCAAAATTTATTAATAGCAATAATGTTGAGGCCAAAATTTCAAGATGACTATGTTCAGATCAATTATCAGAAAATACTGCATGAGTTTACTTTGGAGGAATTACTACATACTCTGTCTCTTCCCTTACCCCAGTGTTTTGACCCATGAAAGATGCTGCTTATCAAAACAGTGGAATCTGCTTCAAAGCTTAATATTTGTATACTCTCCCTGTATTCATTATGATAGGCATATCACTAGGTAGAAGAGCTTGCTGCTTCAAGGACAGCATATTATTATTTCTGTAGTAAATAACGTTTTAAATTTTGGAACATGTAGGAAAACAAAAGCATAGGGAAATAGCAACAAAAATATAAATTTTAAAAGCATAAACATCTGGGATACCATAAAGCATTTACTGCTAGGGGTGAACACTGCAATCATCGGTGATTTGATGCAGGCATTAACCTTCCTTGACATCTGAGCAATAGACTCTCCCTTTAGGTAAGAGGCAGCACAGCAGAGAGGTCAAGAATCTAATTCTGGGCTGGGTGCGGTGGCTCCCACCTGTAATCCCAGAATTTTGGGAGGCCAAGGTGGGTAGATCACCTGAGGTCAGGAGTTCGAGATCAGCCTAGCCCACATGGTGAAACCTCGTCTCTACTAAAAATACAAAAAATTAGCTGGGCTTGGTGATGGATGCCTGTAATCCCAGCTACTCGGGAGGCTGAGGCAGGAGAATTGCTTGAACCCGGGAGGCAGAGGTTGCAATGAGCAGAGATTGCACCATTGCACTCTAATTTGAGCGACATAGCGAAACTCCTTCTCAAAAAAAAAAAAAAAAAAATTTAATTCTGAAACCAGACCATTTGAGCTTGTATCTATCCCTTCACTGGGTGACTTTGGGCAAGTGACATAACCTCTCTGGGTCTCACTTTCCTCATCTGTAAAATGGGGGTAATACCCCCAACATATCATGAGATTGATGGAGGATTAAACCAGGGCCTGGTATACAGGAATGGCAGCATTCAGGGATATAAAATAAATATGCCACATTATGGCCTTCTCAAATCACTGTATTTCTACTTTATCATTTACAGGGCACAGATGTTAATACAAAACAAGAGTGTCAGATGACATTGCCACAGGCAGACTCCCACTGTTCATCTACTGACTCCCCTCTGAACATATCCCAGTGCCCTAAGTAATGAGGTCGTTTTTGTTTTTCTTACCACTTTAGCCAAGTAGCTGTCTGAATATTCCAGTTTTCCAAGTACATTTTGAAACTTGTGGCAGTCTGGAAAGAAGAAAATAACACCTATCATTAGCTTTAAAAATACCCGAAGTAATGGAAAGTTCTCCCCAGTTTCCCTGGCAGCAGGTTAGATACTGTATTTCAATAGTGACTGCTCACAGTTGAGAGCAAGTCAGCTGTTCCATCCTACACAGGACAATTTTCTGCTGTTTATAAGATCCACTTTGCAACTAAAACCTGTCTTGCGAAGTCTCAATTTTTTTTCAACATGTATTTTCAAATTACAGGAAAACTGAAGGAAAGTTTTGTGGGTTTCCCTTTTACTCTGGTTAAAATTTTTTAAGCCATCTGAATTTTATAATTAAATATTCTAAAAAGGGATTTGCCCCAGGAAAAGTTTCATCATGGGAATTTGGTGCCGTTATGGGGACAGCTTAAATTTAATCGTCATCTTTTCACTGCGTAGCCCTCTAAAACTAGGTCAGTCTTGTGCAGTTAACTCTATAAATAGCTACTCAGGTTCCAATGTTTCCAATTGTTTCTGGAATAGTAAGAGATTTTATGCATGAAGGCATCACAGTACAGGAAAGGAAACAAATATCACCCAACCGGCAGTGGCGCAAGCAAATCAACCACCGAGGAAGAGACATCCCACAATAACCCATTACCTGGGTTTTCTCATTAGAAAAAAAAAAAGAAAAAGGTCTTATCCAAGTTCTAGTGATAAAAAGCATGATGCAGCCGGGCGTGGTGGCTCATGCCTGCAATCCCAGCACTTTGGGAAGCCGAGGCAGGCCGATCACCTGAGGTCAGGAGTTCAAGACCAGCCTGGCCAACATGGCGAAACCCAGTCTCTACTAAAAATACAAAAGTTAGCCGGGCCTGGTAGCAGGCACCCGTAATCCCAGCTACTCGGGAGGCTGAGGCAGGCGAATTGCTTGAACCCAGGAGGCAGAGGTTGCAGTGAGCTGAGATCGCACCACTGCACTCCAGCCTGGGCAACATGGCAAGACTCCATCTCAAAAAAAAAATAAAAATAAAAATAAAAATAACCGTGATGCAAACATACAAGGATCAGAATTCCTAAAGAAGGCAGAAAGTCTAAGTGCCACTTTTTTCTGAAGTGTTTTCAACCGTAAGAAAATAATATATAGGCCACACATTGGCCTAATGTAATATGTTTGTAAGGGACAGAAGGAAGGAGGAAGGGAGAGAAAAGTGGGAGGAAGGAAGATAGATAGATGTAAAATAGATCTTTTTATTGTGAGTTTTTATTTCAAAACTTCAAGGAGTTTTATTTATCTATTTCTTCTGCTAATAAAATGCTATAAGCCCAGCCTCAGGGTGTCTTAAACCAATCAGACTTCCTTGTTTTTCTTTAGCTCCTTATTCTATATCAAATGTATGATGAAAATGTAAACTTTCTCTTTCTGGTTTTCTTTTATAATAAGCACATAACTTAATGACTTAGTCCTTTACCCTGAAGACATGTCCACTGTGGAAGGATTCTGTTTTTTGGCACATAGCTAGGGGGACTAGTAGGCAGCCGAAGGTCAAGGGGACCACCCTAAAGGACGTTTACCCAACAAAACTCCAAGGCAGCCAGTCCATGAGTTTGGAAGGAGAGAAGAATCTTAGTGGGAAAAAGGGGAAAGTCATAACACACTTGAACTCTCTCTGACGTCATCTATATAAAAAAGAGAAGCTTACGGATCATGTATACTGTTTTTCCAAAACTGAGACAGGTCATTCTGAAAGCTGGACCTTGTCCACTTACAATGTGGTCCATCGTGACCGGGGACTGCTTCTTGCCTCACAAGCAGCGACCAATAGTAAAAACATTATTTGTTCATTCAGAACTGATGCTGGACCTTGCCCATGCTCCTACAGCATCTGCCAAGGCTTTCCACCCACAGGAGACCCCAGATCCTCTAGGACTATACAAAAATGAGTGTTTTGCCCGCAGTGGCCCTCAATTAATATCTGTTGAATCTGATTGACCTGAATAACCAAATAGCATGATGAGTTTACGTTGAATATATGATGTAATTTACTTAGATAACAGTGGCATGCTTCTATTTCTTTCTGCTTGTCTGCCTTTTGAAGTAGTGCTGTCTCAATGCTAAAAAAAAAAGTGAAAATATAATCCTCCCTATAAATTCCACCATGTTTTGTAGTTAAAATGCAGATCACTTTCCCTCTGGAGGCCGTCCACATGCAAAAAGCCTCAGGCAAAAGATGTTGGGGGCTTCCCCCATGCCTCCTTCTGGCCTAGTTTCCACCCAACGTGGGTGGCAGGTGGTCAGTTTCTACTATCTCTGGCTTCTTGCTCTACACATACAACCCCTCCTGCCCAAACTCTCCAGTGGACTCTGTCTGCCCTGTGGCAGGTGGAAAACCAAAACCAACAGCAAACATGAATCACCTGGCTAGGAATGCAACGCTTCTGCATGTTGAGAATCATGCCCCTCCTCCCATTCAGCTGCAAGGGGGAAAGGATCTGAGACTTGGCATTCCTGTCTACTCTGAGAGCTAGCAATGCAAAGAAAATCCAGAATGATGTGGCCCCAAGGAGCCACCTCTGATAATGAGAGCAGACCAAAAATTGTGGTGCAAGAATGAAGACAGAGAGAAAAACCACACTATTCTAGTGGCCTAAAAGTTGTACATTATGACAATTCTTCTTACAAGTGAATGGATTATAAATGCCTCCAAAGGAACCACATAGAACGTTTGCAATATTGAAATCAAAATACAGGAGCTTCCAGTCTACATTCGTCACTGAAATAGGTAGAAAGAGAAGAGAGAGAGATGACACTGGTACTTTCTAGTTGAAAGAGCAGAAATGTAGACAACAAAAAGATTTTCCGGGCTCTTTTTCAGATGTTTTTGTGTCATTCTTCCTTGAACCATTAGAACTGTCAAGAAAGTAGATATCTTAAAAAAAAAAAAGACAGAAAAAAACAATTCTGAGATGCAAAATGTCCAGTAGGCTGCTGAGCCTGGCAATTCCCTGAGAGCAGCTTTTCTTTGGACACATGGATGAAGCATTCTGGGGATACAACACTCAAAGCAAATCATTTGCTTTCTTCACTATGGAAGTTGGACTTAAAAGCATACACTCACCTCAATTTTCCAGATGTTTAGGTTCGAAAGCAGATCCCAACAGAAATTCCCATTCTTATCCACTCCGCTGAACCCAAAGCCAGCTGCGTTATTCACTGCATCAGCTATGGTTTTTAAAGTAACACATTAGGATATGGAACAAAAGTCACATTGCTGCTTTTAAAAGACACTAAATATCTGTCTAGCTTCAAGATGGAGAAATATGCAGTAGTGTCTTTGGAAAAGGAACCCCAAAATGTAAAGGACCTGCTAACATTCTGAATCAGAAAAACATATTCGGCTGTTTGGTAACCTTGATTTTTATGCATTCATTCCCTTGCATTTAGGGAACACCTGCTAAGGTAAGAGGAAAGAAGCTAGATGTCCATAGAATGCAGAAATGAGAATAAACAAGAAACGAAGAACCGAAATGAATAAATAAACAGTAGAATTTAGTGACCAACTTGACAGGAGGGGAGAAAAGAAAGGTGGTAAGAATAGATCTGAGTTCAAATACAGAGACAAGAAGAAACAAGGGACCCAGAAGAGGTCTCAGAGCTGTCACTAAAGATAGCAGGGCATTACCTAAGAGGCAGTGCTAAATCAGGAGGAGAACCGGCTCCGCAAGAGTGATTGGAGCTCTTTGTGGACATGTTAAGCATGACCCGCCGGTAGTGTATCAGTTGGAGCTGCCAAGATGGGGTTAAAAAAAGTTTAGGTCCCAAGACAAAGGACAGAGCTAGAAATGTGACTCTGGGGCCAGCTGCAATGGAGGCCACATGTGGATAAAATCACCCAAGCCAGCCACCCATAAAGTCCCTTTAAAAGCTCCTGTTTCTATCTTTATCTTATGCCACTGAACTATAAGAGAATGTTCTCCTGCCGGGAATATTTCATCTCTATTCAATTCCTTAATGAACTCAACTCACTTTTTTTATTATGATGACCAAGAGGCTAATTGTCTCTTTCTACTTATTTTAAAATCTGTTAGAATATTTTCTAAGAAAAAATTAAAATGAACTAATCAAAATAATTAAGTGATAGCACTGTGAAATCTTAGATCTGGAGATCTTAGAGAAATCTTCCTTTTTCTATAAAAGTCCAACTCTAGATGGCCTTTGAAGAGCTGCTCTAAAGAAAAACAACCTGCCCTACGTCTGTCTCATTTATATTTGGCAGAGATGATGATTTAACACTGCTTATCTTACGCTTGGCTTCACTGTAAGATGATCTGGTTTCTTTTAGAAGAAAGCATGAAAGAGACCAAGTCCTTCTATGTCATTCTCCCGTCGCCAACTGGATGGGAACCCAGTGGAGAAGAAAAAGACAAACAAAGTGAGGGTGTACCTGTAAGAAACTAATGGTTTTAATTGTGTGGGAACTAATTCGTGAGTGACAGAGATCAATGACACTAAGGGCCTTGAGGTCTGTGTTGAGAACTAAAACCAGAGCCAGGCTGACCGTCACTGGGACCAGCATCATAACTACTTCTAAATTCCTTCTTCCATCTCCAGCCTCATTTCTGGCACAGCTGGTTAGACCTAAGAGAAGAGAATAATGATAACTATCTTTTCTGTGTGTGTGTGTGTGCGTGTGTGTGTGTGTGTGTTTTCAGTGCTTATTATCTTTCCAGGACTCTATATAATACTTTACAGGCAGTTCCTCATTTAATCTTCCTAACAGTGTTGAGACAGAAGGTTAAGGATGGGCTCCGGGGGGAAACTGGACAGGTTTCTACCTCCACTCGGCAGCATACTACATACACGGGCCTAGGAGAAGAATCATCTAACGTCTAAAAACCTGCTCCCTTGAGCATAAAATGGATATAATAATGGTATTCATTTTAAAGGGCTGTTGAAAGGATTAAACAAAATTAAATATGTGTGCAGTGGACAGCTCAGTGCTGGCCCAAGTTAACACTCAAGAAAGGTTAGCTATTATTATTATTATTATGCTATTAAGGGGACTGAGGCTAGAGATATTAGGTAACCATTAAGATCATGTAACCGCTGGGATGACGAAACGTGCGGATCACCTGAGGTCAGCAGTTCGAGACCAGCCTGGCCAACATGGTGAAACCCCATCTCTACTAAAAATACAAAAATTAGCCAGGTGTGGTGGCGGGCACTTGCAATCCCAGCTACTCAGGAGGCTGAGGCAGGAGAATCACTTGAACCCAGGACGCGGAGGTTACAATTAGCCAAGATCGCGCCATTGCACACCAGCTGGGCAACAAGAGCAAAACTCCATCTAAAAAAAAATTTAAAAAAACATGTAGTTTGTCAACAATGCCAGAATCTCAATCCTAGAACTTGATTCCACAACCTGAGCAGGTAAGAGCCACGCTGAAAGAGGAAAATGGTGAAAGGTTCCCAACTACTGACTCTCAGAACCACACTGAGCCGATATCGGAATCCCCACTCTCCCTAGTGATCCCACAGTCATTTATCCAAGCCTGGTTTTTGTCTCAGAGCAGTAACAGGCTCTAAGTTCACCAGTCCAAAAATGGTTTTACTTGTACTATGCATGGTTCCAATCTATTATTACAGATAAATTAATTTGTACGCCCATCTGTTGGACTATGTGGTCCTCAGAAAACAGCCTGGACTAAAGTTAAGTCTCACTAACTAGTACTAGTACTAAGTAGCAGGGAGAAAACAGCCAGGACCATACACTAAGTCCAAAAGAAATAGTTTGATTATTTGAATATAAACAGTATCTAGAGCTAGGCTAACACAGTGCAGCTCAGTGGAGATTCATCAAGAGGCCAGCTTTAAGGATTAAATTTATAATCATGTGTAATTAGTACATCAATTATATGTAAATGGTGTTTTAAAGGGAGCTGGAGAAAACAATTATTCAGTTAAGCAGTTTAAATATTCCCTGATACACTATTCATTGCTTCTTTATTCGTAAATAAGACAAAGGTTAATTTCAGACCAGCCCGTGCAATCTAAACTGTAACAAACCTCAAATTGAGGCCATACAAATTAATCAAGTGTTTCTACTGAAGCTACCCAAAAAAGACAAAGAAAAGGGAAGCATGGGGGGGAGTAAAAGAGCTAAGTCCACAGAGAAAGCTCTCCACAGGAAGGGGTACCTCTACACTGTACTGCAGATGTCTGGGGAACTCCCCGAAGGGTAGAAAAGTGCAGGTGCTCTGTGTTCCCATGGCACTTCCCAGTCCAGGTCCTTTCTTGTCTTGGACTTTCCCTATGCAATGGAATGGCCTTTCTTTCCTCCTGAGATCAGGAGCTGATTTAGTCCAGAAGCTAGCCCTTAAGCCCTGGGATACAGAAAATGGGAGCAGGAGGATAGGAAGAGAAAAGAGAAAAGGAAGGTGGGTGAGGCAGCAGAAGATAGTAGGAGGGAATTAGATATATTCTCTCTCTCTCTCTCTGTCCCCTACACACACACACACATACACATTCACTCAGATTAGAGGAAATTAAAACTATTAATTATTTGGCCAGGAACAGTGGCTCATGTCTGTAATCTCAGCACTTTGGGAGGCTGAGGCGGGTGAATCACCTGAGGTCAGGAGTTCAAGACCAGCCTGGCCAACATGGTGAAACTCCGTCTCTACTAAAAATACAAAAATCAGCTGGGTGTGGTGGTAGGCACCTGTAATCCCAGCTACTTGGGAGGCTGAGGCAGGAGAATCACTTGAACCAGGGAGGTGGAGGTTGCAGTGAGCCGAGACCGCACCATTGCACTCCAGCCTGGGTGACAAGAGCGAAACTCCATCTCAAAAAAATATATATATATTTCACATAGAAAAAATAAGGTCAGTGATGTAAGTAGGCTTCCAACCATAGCAGGTCTAATGCCTACCTGCTAAAGAAGTCATCATTTGTAACTGCAGAACAAGAAATAAGATAAAAGAAGACTACTGAACCTTCCCTAGTGACCAGTCTGTATTCATCCGTTTCTCTTTATTCCTCCCACTGGGACACTGCTTGAAGAGTATTGCCTGGTGGCTGTATGTCTGTGCTCCCAACCATGCAACAATCTTGAGGGAGAGTCAACGTCCTACCTTTTGATTCCTCCTAGCACAGAATCTGGTACAAAACTCCTCAAATTAAATTGAAAGTGTACAGAAACAAAATTTCCCTCATTGTAAATTTTACAAAAGCTCTAAGTCAGATCTCTCCAGCCAAATGTTACATAAATACAGCATTGGACTGAACTTATGCAGGAACATTTTGGCCCTTAAAAATAATTTGGACTGGGGGAGGAAGGAATGGGGAGTTATTTTTTACTGGGTACAGAGTTTCTGTTTGGGTGATGAAAAAGATCTAGAGATAGACGGTGGTGATAGTGGCACAGTATTGTGAATGAACTTAATACCACTGAAGTGTACCCTCAAAAATGATTAAAATGGTAAATTTTATATGTATTTTGCCACAATGAAAAAAAAATTATTTTTTTTTTGAGGCAGAGTCTTGCTCCATCATCCAGGCCGGAGTTCAGTGGCGTGATCTCGGCTTACAGCAACCTCCACCTCCCCGATTCAAGTGATTCTAATGCCTCAGCCTTCTGAGTAGCTGAGATTACAGTAGCTGGGATTTTCCTAGTAATTTTTTGTATTTTTAGTAGAGACGGGGTTTTGCCATGTTGGGCAGGCTGGTCTTGAACTCCTGGCCTGAAGTGATTCGCCAGCCTTAGCCTCCCAAAGTGCTAGGATTATAGTCATGAGCCATTACACCCAGCCAAAAAAATTATAATTTTTTTTAAAAAAAAAGTAATTTGGTACCTGCAAACTTTAACTGGAACTTAAAACTTGAAGGATGAACTGAGAGAGAAGAGGAACTCAAGGAATTAAGTGCTATTCCCTCATTCGTGAGATGTGGGCTGAACCCTCAGAAACCAAGTTTAATCTTCTATTTTATTTAATAAGCCAAGTCACTGCTCTCTGACATCAAGCGCAGGTCGCTTGCAGCTAAGACACACAACTCCCATCCCTGAAAGGGTTCCAGTGTGACATAGACAGGGCTTCCGTACTTTATCAACACCCTTTCCCAGTCTCTAAGTATACAGATGGGTTTATAGCTCATGTTAGTAAAGCTTTATGCAACTGCAGTCTAAAATTGTTTGAAAGGAAAGAGATAAAAGCTTAATATAGACCAAGTTATCCCACAGGAAAAAACAAAAGGTGTGATAAAACCAAGTGAAGTTGAACTTTCTACCTAAAAAAAAAAAAAAATCACTTGAAGTCAGCTTCTTTCTAAGACATAAAAACCTAACAACGGTTCCTTAAAGAAGTGTAACCTAAATTAGCATGTGTGTTGGTCAAATTAATTCAAGGTGCATCCTATATTACATAAAACCCAGAAAAACTACAAAAAAGCCAGATCAAGGCTGGGCGTGGTGGCTCACACCTGTAATCCCAGCACTTTGGGAGGCCAGGGCGGGCAGATCACGACGTCAGGAGATCGAGACCATCCTGGCTAACACTGTGAAACCCCATCTCTACTAAAAATACAAAAAAAATTAGCTGGGTGTGGTGGCGGACGCCTGTAGTCCCAGCTACTGGGAGGCTGAGGCAGGAGAATGGCATTAACCCAGGAGGTGGAGCTTGCAGTGAGCCAAGATCGTGCCACTGCGCTCCAGCCTGGGCGACAGAGTGAGACTCCATGTCAAAAAAAAAGAAAGCCAGATCAATCATTCCAGAATTTCCCCTCAACTTTCCACTGCTTTACATGGCCAACTTTGATTGGTAGAAGGAGAAGCTTCCAAGTTTTGACATCTGCTAATAACATTGGGTTTAAACAACAGCCAGGGTGTTTTTCTCCTTATCATGGAGAACTGAGTTTATGGAGGGTGGGAGAGAGGAGTGCTATGTTGGTACGTTAAAACTGACCCTGACTCAACTGCCTCCCATTACGTGTTGAGCTTCTTTGATGAAGTGATCCAAAACGTCGTTCTGGCTAAGCCATTCAAGCAGTAGCATTTTTCCCTCATTCAGTTACAGCTACTCCATCAAACTTACCTAATGTCCATGCAAAGTAATACTTGGGCTTTGAGGCTTGCATGACAACATATAAGTAGCAGAGTCGAGCCGGAAAGCTTGCTTTATGGACAAACCAGTCATCCACAAGGCAGGTGACAGGAAAGGTCTTCGTTAGCGTCAAAAACAAAAGGAGAGACACCAAGGTGATGCCCAACTTGTGTATCACAGCTCCCTGAAAATGGGGAAAAATCAGTGTCACCGTGCAGAAGGCTCAGGTATGAAGAAAACAGCTTTGGAATGGACCTGTTAAGGACAACGTTGCTCCAACAGCTGCTTGGCATTATTCCCCAGAAGGAGTGACAACAGGCATTCTTCCTCATGAGACAAATCTGACAATGGAGATTAGGTGCTATATTTAGATACAGAACATGCCTCTGACACTTGGGGGTTGAATGTATCTAGACTGGAAGAAAACTTCCATCAGCATATTCAACGAACAAAATGTAAGTACTTATATTATCCAAAACACAAGAGAAATGGATAACAGGGTGGCAAGTTTCCATCAAGAAAAACAAAAAACATTTGCACATTTGCCTTCTATTCCTGTGGCCAGCAGAGCCCAGGAAATGGGCTTGAATCACCAGTAGGGAAGACAGAGGCTCAGGTACGAAGGATTCTGAGCAAGTGATTGAATACCTGGGCCAGCCAGGACATGGGCAGGTAATGGGGAGCTCTAGAAAGCCTTCCAGGGTGGTTTAGATATAGTCTACTCTGGGGTTAATTATGTGCTGACTTTTTAAATTCCTCTGGACAGAGTGATTTTGCCTAGCTCCCCTGACATTTCAAGGAATGTCCTTCAACATTCAACAGAACTCTAGTCTCCGACTTCATAAAAAAAAGACTTTTATTGGTAGTATGGGCATAGCAATAGCACCTTCCTCAGAGGGCACCTTGGGGTTTAAGTGAATGAGTATTTGCAAGGTCCTGTGAACAGTGCCTGGATCCCAGTTAAGTGCTTAGCACGCTCAGCCACAATTACAGCTATACCACTGATAGGCACCAGCTCATGGATCCCAGCCCTTTCCCAGCTGTATGTCTTGAACTAAAACGCAACCTCACCACTTCACCTTATCTGTGCACAAAAATGCAAGTGTTTCCTTGGAGAGTGGCAGAAAGACTCTCTGATGACATTACCTTATAAATAAAAGCACGAGAAGCGTGAAAACACTAAGGTGACAGATACTGCCTAGAAATGCTGTCACTTTGGTGTCTCTCACAACCATGGTGACTTCACTCCTAGATCGTTTTGGTAAAGCAGATGAACTTGAGATACTTGACCAACCATAAAGTGCTGAGAACTGAACTATGTCAAAAATATCTAAAAACTCATACCTAATTAATAAATCCCTTAAGTTTTCAAATACTTAACTCATAGTCTTTGCCAAGGCGTTAGCAGTTTCAAAATGTTTAACTTGAATTATCCTCATTTCCTTCCTTTTCCAATTTTCACCACTCCTTTCGTTAATTACAAATGTCCCTTAAATATAGGATATTTGACCTGAATAAATTGAGCATATTTGTAAAGTTCAATGAGTTATTCTAATATTGACTAATTAGAGATTGATAAAATTCAGTTAAGTTTTAAAATATTATTTCAAAAAGTCATCTTAAATTCTCTCAAGGTCAACATAAGCAAGCTTTAGGCATGCCAAGGTAAAACTGGTTTCCCTTGCAATAAGTGAGCTCTACAAGAAAAACACAGTAATTCCAGTTCCGTGGTCCCCCTCCCCCTCACCTTCTATGCCATATCATCTTTTGGCTGTACTTGAATTTCAACTCATAAAGGCAAAACACCCATAGTATTCAAACGTGTTAACTCCACAGTGCTGGACACCTTGTATGCACTAAATATTGACTGATGAACTGACTGCTTTCATTTTCCTAGCCAATGAGCTTCTCAGTAAAATAAACACCCATTGCTGCAAAATAGAACTGCTGCAAATAAGTAACTATACTGGTATTTTAAATAAATGAGAAAAGTTATTGGCCAAGCTTTCTGGTAAACTGTTTGGCTTCTTAATTAGAACCATTATTAGAGAGAGTCAACCCTGGCAGCAAAACCCTATTCTCTAGACACTAAAAACTTACTGTGGGAGAAGGTTCTGGCAAGCTGTGGAAACCTTTTCGCTTCCAGTTCACCTCCAGCAACTTCATGTGTATATGCTTCCCCTCAATGAAGGCTATGTAGTCCTTGAAATTGTTACAAGGACCAGCTATGACACTCATGAAATTGAGAAGGTAACTTAAGTATTCCAAAAAAGAGGGTTTCACTCTGTGAAAATAAAGTAAATAAATTGAAAAGTCTTCAGTCTTTGCTTTTTCTTCAGAATCTGTAAATAAGCAAACACAAATGTTATCTCTGTAGATTCGATACATGACATGACCTTTCCTTGTTTTGTTTCTACAAAGTCAGCCGAGGAGAAATCTTGTGGAAAGGAAAGGTTAAAGAAGCAGGGGGCTCACAGCAGGCACAGAGCTCCATGCTGCCCTCTGCTGGCCAGACACAGCCGTAGGCACTCAGAGCTGGGCGAGGGCAAGTGCAACTCAGGCTGGGAAATGTCCTTATCTCATCAACCTTTCCTGTCTACAGGACAAAACGAAGGTAATAAACATAAAGCAGGGCGGAACCTGACCTAATGTTAGCGGATCGAGATGCTTCCAAATGGGAAAACTCCCTCCCGATTGCCAACATAAATACAAAACAAATGATGGGTGGAACCAGTTTCCACTGAAAGAGGCCACGCAGAAGAACCGCAGTAGCAGCCTGTTGTCTGCTTTGGCAACCAGGCCTGAGTTCCTGAGTAACAGACCAAGGTAGTGGAGGGAAAAAAGTCTGTAGAGAACTGTTCTGTGTGGTGCTTTAATGGCATTTTGGAAGGCCTGTTCTAGCAAGATAGAATAAAGACTCCCTGAAATGTCATTGCTAACCAGTCGCCGGAATTATCCCCTATAGCAGGGATTCCCAACCCCTGGGGCTCAGACTGGTATTGGTCTGTGGCCTGTTAGGAACTGGGCCAACAGCAGCAGGTGAGCGGCATGTGAGCAAACAAAGCTTCATCTGTATTTACAGCCTCTCCCCATCACTTACATTACCGCCTGAGCGCCACCTAATGTCAGATCAGCAGCGGCATTAGATTCTCATAGGAGTGCAAACCCTATGGTGAACCGTGCATGCCAGGGATGTAGGCTGCACACTCCTTATAAGAATCTAATGACTGATGATCTGTCACTGTTCCCCAACACCCCCAGATGGGACCACCTAGTTGCAGGAAAACAAGCTCAGGGCTCCCGCAGATTCTACATTATGGTGAGTTGTATAATTATTTCATTATATATTACGATGTAATAACAATACAAAGTGCACAATAAATGTAAGGCCCTCCTGAAACCATCCCCCCACCACCACCCGCAACCCTGGGTCTGTGGAAAAACTGTCTTCCACTAAACTGGTCCCAAACAGGTTGGAGACTGCTGCCCTACAGCATTTACACCTCCATTGTGCTTAGGAAAGGGCTGATTCATTAGAATCTTTCAATAGTGCTCCACTGCTTCCAAGTCCCAATTCCTTAATGCAGGAATGAAGAAGTCAATCTCCTCTACCACCTGGAACCTTCCTCAGTTATGCCAGTTGTCCCTGCTTCTGTCTAGCAGGAACCCCCCGCCCCTCCACCATGGCTGCACCCGATGTGCTACCCCACATGCCATCTTTACTCTCAGATCAAAGTTATTCCCCTCCCACTTCTTCTCCAACACTCCCCCTTCCTACTTCACATCAACACTGGCAAAGCCACCTGTAGCCCTCCTCCTGTATTTAACTCAGCTATACTCACCTCTCCTGCCCTACTTCCTATCTTTTTTCAGAGTGGCATTTAATCACACTGACATTGATCATTCACTATTCTTTAGGACCCCCAAGACACATGGCCAGTAAGAATACTTCCAGAGTAAACATAACAACCCCAGGGAAGGACAGCCTCGCAGAGGTACAGTTCTATTTACTCTTTGACCTAACGATTCTACTTCTGAGACTCTATCCTACAGTTCTACCCTAACACATTTCAAAATGACCTAGTACAAGGTTATTCATCACTTAATCACTTGTAAAAACCAAAGACTGGTAACAATGCACATGTCCATCAATAGCAGATTCATAAAATAAATGATATTATATCCATAGAACAGAATTAATGTGTAGATATTTTTAAATGAGGAAAATCTCTAGATACTGATATGCAAAGGGCTTGTTAATATATCGTTACACTTCACTTACTTGATAGCAAGTCGATGTTGTTCAGCAGAAAGGTCTTCAGCTCTTCGACCTAATCCTATGAAAAAGAAAAGAATTTAGAAATAAGATGTTTGAAGTGAATTAGATGACAAATTATAAAAGGGTCTTATCAAAGTCATTTGAACCAGGTAATCTTTGTTTGCTTCATAAATCATAAAGAGTTCCTGTTTTTCATTTTTTTTTAATGCCCTGGACCAAAAGAGCTACCCATAAGTACACGTGTGAGAAGCAAAGTCTCTGTAGGTTCACATGGAGAGGGGAAGGACTCAAAGGTTTCTCCTACTTAAACTGTACAGTATGACATGGATCCCAGAGAACCCTCCCCATCTGGTGCATCTGGGAGTTCCTTGCCACTTTGTATATGTCTTCCCTGATACATCAGAGAGAGCATCTTGCCTTTCACAGGCTGCCACAGCTTAAATACCTCCCTGGCTGCACTAGGTGCAGACACTTACTACAAGCTGAGAGCCTGGTTGTGGGACATAATGGAAAAAGAAACAGGAGACTTTCCTCTTCCAGAACAATAAAAAATAAAAAATAAAATGGGGGAAATGTAATCTTAATTGTGGGAAAATTACAAAGAAATTATCAGAGTTTTCTTCTTTTTATCATTCGTCCGAATCAGAAAAACTCCCAACCAAGTCACATCCATGCTTTCTGTGAAATGTACACACTAACTTAGAGTCAAAGAAGCTGAAGTATTATCTTAAAAGCAATATGTCAACTCTAAAACTGTATATTCAGCTAAGGCTGAGTAGGGTCATCAACCATGAAGGCAATTCAAAATCATGCCTAAGAGGAGGCAGAATATTTCTGGAATTTACTCGTTCCTCCCACACACCAGGAAAAAAAAAAAAGGCGAGTAAACATTTTGCTGCATTTAAGGGATGTTCCAGGAAATATGGTAAACTGAGAATGCTTTAAAAAGTAAATTTAGGCAACGAAGCTGCTTAAAAAGAAAAAAGAAGCAGTGTTTTTAAAAACTCATTTTTATAAGATCTCATCAAATAGTAATCGCTGGCAATCCTAGAAATTAAACTGATTTTGGCTATTGATTTCAGTTGCTAATGTCTATAACCACTACCAAGGGGACTTTCCAGCTACAAATAGAGTAACTAACTCACCCTGCTTTGCTCCGGACTCTCTGATTTTGGCACTGAAAGTCACATCTTGTGAAACCTTTTAGTACTGGGCAAACCAGGACAGTTGTTTACCCTAGAAAGACTCCATCCTTGGTATAAAACTACCTGGTTCTCTACAGAATGACTAAATCACCAAGTATGAACTAGGGATACACTGGGTCAAATGAAATTAAATCAGTTCACAAGCTTTAAGGAAAAATAAGGAAACTAGCTGTCAGAGATAAATTTCAACCTCTCAACATTTAAAAAAAAGTCAGTCAAAAAGTGCTTGTTAGAGCAGTACAAATCCACAGAATATACTTTTACTAATTGCACCTGGCCTCTCCAAAGCCCATATTGAAATCTTCCGCCCAGCTGAAATAATCTTCCTCCTTTTCTTGGAACCCAGTTTGAACAATGTAAATCACACTTTCTGGCCATTTTTAGGCAGTGCCTGAGTGAAGAAAATGTTCAGTTTTATACAAACAGAAGATTCTTCCTTTTCCCAGCTTTGTTGTTGTTGTTGTTGTTGTTGTTATGGAGTCTCGCTCTGTCACCCAGGCTGGAGTGCAGTGGCGCGATCTCGGCTCACTGCAACCTCTGCCTCCCGGGTTCAAGCGATTCTCCTGCCTCAGCCTCCTAAGTTGCTGGGATTACAGGCATGTGCCACCACGCCTAGCTAATTTTTGTATTTTTAGTAGAGACGGGGGTTTCATCATGTTGGTCAGGCTGATCTCGAACTACTGACCTCGTGATCTGCCCACCTCGGCCTCCCAAAGTGCTGGGATTACAGGTGTGAGCCACCGTGCCTGGCCCCTTTCCCAGCTTTTTATAGGGAATTATCATTAGATAATTTTCCAAGCCAAAAAAAAAAACAAACAAAAACCAACCTAGCATTTAAAAATGATTAACCAGCCAATACTATTTAATCTTTCATTAGCTTGTGAGCTTCTCAGAGATTAAACCAAAGCTAAAAGGATGTCATTTCTTTTTAACAGATTTGAAAACAAAGGGCAGAGAGTGTCACAAATTAACTTAAATTTAAAACATTGTAAAGATAAACAGAAAACACAGAGTTCTCAGTACAAATACGTCAGCAAATTTAGACTGCCGATTCTGCAGGAAAATGGTGAATCATGGCTGGAAAAGTGAAAGGCTATGATTGCCGAGGCCTGGAAATTTTGAACAAGATAAAGCAAGATCTGCCAGCATTTGTCTAAACTTTGGACTGTGTACATAGTATAAAAAGAAGAGCTCTGCATGTCAGGCTCACTCTGAGAACCAAAAGGAGGGCTGCTGTTCTTACCATCATGAACCTGGAATGCCAAGGTTGTGATCTTCTGAGTGACAATCATCAGAGGCCTGGAAGGAAGACAGAAAATAATCAAGATTGGCAAGAAGGCCATTGATGTGGTCTGGCTGTGCCCCCACCCAAATCTCATCTTGAATTGTAGTTCCCATAATCCCCACATGTCGTGGGAGGGACCAAATGGGAGGTAATTGAATCATGGGGGCAGTTACCTCCATGCTGTTCTCGTGATAGTGAGTGAGTTCTCACAAGACCTGATGGTTTTATAAGGGGCTTCCCCCTCTCCCTTCACTCTGCAGTTCTCCTTGCTGCTGCCATGTGAAGAAAGCCATGTTTGCTTCTCCTTCCGCCATGATTGTAAGTTTCCTGAGGCCTCCTCAGCCATGAGGAACTGTGATTCAATTAAACCTCTTTCCTTTATAAATTACCGAGTCTTGGGTATGTCTTTATTTAGCAGCATGAGAACGGACTAATACAGCCGTTGGAAAGAAACTTTCATTCTATTTTTCTGGATGGTGGTTTTTTCATCTCGAAGTTTATTAAATAAAATAGAAAAATAATGAATTTGAAATAAACCATTTTTATTTCCCTTCGAAATCACTTTACATAGATAGATATAACAACACTGAATAAGAAGATCACATTAGACACTCTTGTGCCATTACTTGGTGTAGCTCCTGGACCAGCACCATCAGCATGCCCAGGAGCTAGTTGGAAATGCAGACTCCATTCCAGACCTAGAAAATGAGAATCTGCATTTTTTTTTCACTCTGTTGCCCAGGGTGGAGTGCAGTGGCATAAACATGGCTCACTGTGGCCTCGACCTCCTGGGCTCAAGCAATCCTCTCACCTCAGCCTCCCAAGTAGTTGGGATTACAGGTATATACCATCGCGCCCGGCTAATTTTTGTATTTTTTGTAGAGACTGGGTCTTACTCTGTTGCCCCAGCTGGTCTCGAACATGAGCTCAAGTGATCCTCCCACATGAGCCTCCGAAAGTGCTGGGATTACAGGTGTGAGCAACCATGCCCACCTAAGAATCTGCATTTTAACAAGATTGCCAGGGAATTCCACTCATTAAAACGTGAGAAGAGCTGGTTTGGGAGATACACAATCCAGTGCCCTGATTCCACCTGGATAGACAGATACACGGGCTCCTTCATCTAAAAATGCTCTACTATGCTTTGTTCTATAAAAGGCATAAAGTAGAAGATACATTTGTAAAATGCAGCTGCCTGTAAATAAACCATTTATTGGCCAACAATAATACCAACTTTAATTTGGAAAAAGCCATCAAATAAAAATTTGCCTGAGAAGTGGCACCAGTGTCAACAAGGCTGCCAAGGTATCTTAATGAGGGGAAGAAGAGTCTTTTTAACAAATGGTATTGGGACAATGAGATGTACACATGAAAGAACAGAAAAATCAATTCAAAATGGATCAAAGACCTAGATCTAAGAGCTAAAACAAGAGAACCCTTAGAAGAAAACGTAAGTATAAATCTTTGTGACTTCAGGTTACGCACTGGTTTCCAAAAGCACAAACAATAAAAGAAAAAGTAGATTAAATGAATATCATTAGAATTTAAATGTTTGTGCTTCGAAGGACACACATCACCCAAGAAAGTGAAAAGATATTTCAAGGAATGCAAGAAAATATTTGCAAACCATATATCTGATACGGGACTTTACTAGTCTATATAAAAACACTCTTACAACTCAATAATACAAACCACTTTTAGGCCACATCCGATGTTGTCAACGACACTCATCCACTTCTCTGTGAGTCTATTTTCTTGTCTCATTCCTCTCATCCTAATTCCCATTTTCCACCTCTTGAAAATAATGAGGATACATTTTCAACTATAAATATATGTAAATAAGATAAACTATTTTAAAGAAAGTATCAACAAATACCCTTTGAAATCTTACCACTATTACCCAAATTTATATCTTATTTGCAATATCTTTCTATCTTACAGCCCAATGGCCAGCGTTCATTATTTGAAACAAGATTGCTAATGTTGTACATGAGGCTGAGAGAGGGAAAGAGAACTCGGCTGTGAAAGAAGAAAAGGAAGGTCATCTGCTCCACCAGATCTGGTGAGGCAAGTGTAGCAAGATGTACTCACAGATGACACCCATTTACACCATGCTCTTTTATATTGAAAACAAAATTGCTCTTGCAGAAGCATGAGGTTTTGGTCCTAGTAATAAGGGCTACATTAAAGCTTTTTTAGACCAGACTGTAGCTCACCCTCCTGACAACAAGACTTCTGACCCATAACATGTAACACATGAAGAGGGCTATTTTTCTGGAAAGAGATTCACTCGAAGCATCACACTCAAGGTAGTTTCCAAACACGGCCTTCAAAGCACAAGAGTTTTCTTTCCAAAGCCTTTTTGTCTCATTTTGCTCTTTCTGAATGACAAAAAAAACCTCTAGGAACCAGCCTTCCTTATACAAAGCCCAGTGTGCCAACCATGCTATTTGCAAACCAAGTAAGTTCCTATGTTCAATTGATAAAGAGATAAGACGTGTCATGGTATTAGCCTATCTTTCTGTCTCTGTAGAAAAAGAACATTTGTTTTCCTCTATCTTGGGTTAGACCTAATGTATTCCATGATTCGGTGGCGCACGTTAAGCAAAACATTTAGTAGCCTGATATTTACATGTGCTGTGGCCGTAGAATGTACCTCTCAGATCTGGTGCTGTGGGAGTGAGCTGGCCCCATTGCTGCGATTTTACCCATGATCACACTGACACCATGCCTCCCTCAGGCTGCTCCCAGCTATGACTGAGTGCAGTAGGGACACTTAGGCAGACCCCTCCCTACAAACTGTGATCCTCATCTGTCCAAGAATTTTATCTCATTCAAGGACTCTACTGAATTTGCCAAAACTGTCTTAGAACTGCACTCCAATCCAAGACCTTTTTTCTTCTCTTCCTTCCCTTTTTCCTTCTCAGGCAAACCTGCATTTCAATCTGTTGGCTTTTCCAGCCTCATCCATTTCCCTCTCCAATTTCCCTAGCAGGCATTTCACCAAACAAATCTCTTACATGCCTGTTTCCAACTTGGCATCTGCTTTTCAGAGAACCCAGACAAATGCAATACATAATACTGAATAGCTAGAGCAAAGTCAATAAATACTAATTATTCAATATAAAATCTGTACCATTGGGTCTATGTAAAAGCCATACTGTCATTCCTCAGAAAAGATGTCCTTTTTATAGAAAAAAAAAAATAGAAGCTATGGGTAAAATGTTGTCCCACATCATCTAGACCATACTTTCAACAATATATTGCTTCCATTTTAAATATCTAAAGAAGTTAATTTAAATATTTAAATTTAACAATCTAAATAAAAAGAAACAATTCACATACTCACATATGACAGTGAGTTTGTAAAACACAATGAACTAGTAACTTATAAAAATGCTGATCTAAAAGCAACTAAAAGGAAAAGGAGTTTAGAATCTTCCTACATACTTACTTTTGTGCAGTGCAAGGAAAAGCACCATACTGTCTTTCTCAAAACAAGTTCTCTCTGAACACTTTTTAATTTGATGAATTTATTTAAACTTATGGACAGATCTGATATGAAAATGTACTTCGCCCAAGTTACTAAGACTTGAGAATCAAATCCTTAGAGTTACTGACTTAAGATAAAACTTAAGTATCATCTATGTCATACTTCAATCAAATCATAAAACAATTCAGAACACATTTATTGGTTTATGATTGGAATTCATGTTCTTTTTTTTTTTTTTTTTTTTTGCAAAAAAATACAAAACTCAGTACAGGAGAACATACTAAAAGCACAGGAAGGACAAAAAAAGGAGGAGATCCATAAATGGCTCCTTGATGCAGCCCCAACAATTTCCTTAAAATTATGAGGCCTCCGAACTTGAGCTTCACTCAGATTTTCACCTCTCCAACCTTGGATTTAAACGCACTTGTCAATCATAGGATCCAATCATAGGATCCACCATCTGACCAACCTGGAGTTGGATAGACTCCAGCATGGATGAAGTAGGGCTATTTTACTATTGTCCTATACATTTTTTTCATTATTAAAAAAAGCCAAAGAAAAATCTTATGTTTCTTCTTGAAACTAAGATCATTAGTCAAGACTAGACAATGAAATATAATAGAATAGGAAAAATTAAGAGAAAACAGGTAGCTGAAGATATGTTTGAAGTAAAAAGAAAGCTAGAACAATGCCAGCACCCCCCATTATTGCCTTCTGATACAGACTCTAGGCAATTCATCAGATGTGGTACCCATTCATTCATTCATTCCCAACATCAGCTCCTAACCAAAAATAATTTATCTTTAAAACATTAAACAAAATCTTAGATTTGAGCAATATTTCAATAAAACCTACCTATTTTACCTTAATCTTTGGACCTAAAGTGGTAGAGTTCTGATGTCCCAGTAAAGGTAGGATGGGACAATGAGATAACCCAGACATCGGTTATTGGTGTCGGAAGAGCCAACCAATCACACGTCTGGCTGGCCAGCATCAAGATGAACTGACATTCAAGCCTCTGATGTTCTCCCAACAGGTAATTTTAGAACCAAAAGGCTCTACTTCGTATCTTTATTACTTCCTTTGCTTATAATAAAAATCTACTTGTGGTACTTGGACAGTAGAAAAGCAGGAAGTCAGGCAAGCAAGAAGTTTGGCAGGGGAAGAGAATACAGATTCAACAAACTTCCACTCAACAGCAACCTAGACCGCTACTGCCATCTCGCACAACTCCAGTGGGTGCCAAGATACAATGTGACTTGTACAACCTGCAGCTCGGACCTGGTAGCGAGGGACAGAGAAAGCTCAAGCAGCATTTCCTCACCTCTCTATTGCTTCTGCCTCTCCTATACCCTCCCCACACTCCCTGAATGACTGCAGAGGAGGAGGAGGATATTACAGCTTCAGTGGAATGCTCCCAATTCTTATCAATTATGTCAGCATGAGAAAATAAGCAACTCCAGAAGTTGCAGCAAAGGAAGTACATAGTTCTACCAGGCTTCCTAGGGATGCAACTAAAGGCAGAGATCACGCCTCTGGACTCATTTCAGAGTTCATTAGTATCTATTCAGAACCATCCAGGGGTGAATTAGAGTAGGAAAGCTTTTACTCTTTTAATTTCTTCAAAAATTTAACTTCTATATTTTGGCACTCAACAACAAAATCACCAATTCTCGATTTGAATATTCTCTATATTCGAATATACTTGGTATAACTTATGTCTGCAGAATTAAATTCCAAGTGACTGTGTTAGTTATTGAAAAGCTGGCAGCAGCATGAAAAAGAAACATGAAATAAACAAATCTTGAAATCTCTTTGCAAATATCCTCTTTTTTTCCCTATTATGGAACCCAATTACTTGAACATATTGGGCTGGTCAGATGGAGTGACCAGGATGTCATAAACCAACAGAGGAAAACACTGTCCACGGAACAATAGGACAAATGATCTCTATCGCTAGCAAGAGGTACAGGCAAGTAATATTTCTATTACACCCAATTAAGGCAACAAGGAACACAAACAGCAGTTGTTCCAATTCTGCTAGCTTCAGTGCACCATAACCTTTTAACACGCATGCAAATATATTTAAATAAAATTCCAGGATTTTCTCTCACTATTATAGTAATATAAAAGAGTAGAATGAGTATTAAAATCACCAATACTGCTTTCGCATTTTCAATATTTCCTTTCACTCTTTTTCTATACATGTCCACATTAAAAAGAAAAATGCAATCTTGGGACATGTATTTGTCTTATGGTTTTTATAGTCTTTGAAAATATCATTTTCAATGGAGGCATAGTAGCACCATAATTTAATCATTCATCTCTTTTAGACCATTTAGGATGTTTCTGGTTTATCACCATTATTGACAACAGCTGAACATCTTTATGAATAAATTTTGATTTCCTTATGGTAATTTAACTCCTAGGAATTTATCCTATCATAGGATATGAACTTTAAAAAAAAAATCTTGTTTGAAATTGATGGTGAAACTGCCTTCCAGAAGAGTTATGCCAGTTTACACTCCCACTAGCAGTACATAAGAGTTCTCATTTCACAGTGTTTACAACAACATGTGGGCAAATCAACCTGCAATCGTGATGGGAGAGCAATTATCTGCCTGAATCTGGCCTACCATGGCAAAAGGAAATAAGAGTTCTTGCTGGGGCCCTCCAAAGAAAACTCGATTTGCACCCTTCTGTGAGCAAAAAGGAAGAATCAGTTTGCTCTCACAAACCTAAAAGGAACTAAGTACCAGCTGTATTACAAGCAATCATTGAGCTTCCCCCAGGAGAACAGGAAATATTCTAGTGCTTTTAACAGCCCACATTCACCACAGAGAAAACATAAAGGACATTCACCACCGCATGTATTGATATGAATTGTATTAGCAGCACCAATAAAAGTGTATCTTGTTTGTTTCCCTTACCATTAATTCCAGTCCAGTCCATGAAAACTTGATTACTCTTGGAATGAAAAATACAATTTCAAGTCCCAGAATAATCTAAAATACAAGTTTATGTGTTCCCCAAAATTAAACACACACACACACACACACACACACGTTGTTTAACACAAACACTAACCTCATCCCATCCCATCCAATTCCTGTCTGTGCTCTTATTCTGAAGGCATAATAAAGTATGCTAAACATTTAGGTTTGCATGCATGCTCAAAAGAGAATGGCTATACATCAGGCTGCTTTAAAACACCAGGTTCAACTTCAAAATACTACTTTATCTCTTGACAAAATCCGAAACAAGATATTTCAACTGCAATAGTAGGGTTAAATCAATTCCATTCTGATGAACTTGTGGTTTGCTCGCATGCCTGTAATGAGAATAAACACTGGTAAAATACCTCTCTAACTGGCAATTTGTGATTTAAAACATTTTGTCAATTTCAGGTTGGTATGTACTCTCCATGGATGTTAACTGACATTACCCAGGAAGAGGGATTTATGGTAGTGAGGCAGCCTGCCTTTACGGTGGTAGGGAAAAATAACACTGCTTAATAATGACAAAAAGAAAAAAAGACAACATACCCTTCGAGAACTAGATAGTAGGGCCACTCAGTAATCACAGAACTGAATCACATGCAATTTTCAGGCGGATTTTTTTTCTGTATTATTTCCCTAACAACAATGTCCTTTCTAGTTTAAATATTCTGTAGTTTTGTGGGTAACATCAGAGATTTCTTACTACGAGGAGATCCAAAAAATGCCAGAAAATAAACATCTCTTGAGGACATTTATCAAGACTATGTGGCTGAAAGTGAGGTTGACAGGAACTGATTTCCATGCTCCTCTTGTGTCAAACCCCCAAATCCACGATGTTCAGAAGCACGTGACTGTTTTCCACAAATGCCCTTTATTTTTTCCCTTTGATAATTTCAGAATTCTGATTACATTCAAAATGATGTAGAAATTATTCAAGAGTTTATGGTTTTAATAAAACAAATGGAGATGTGACAAGAACAGCCAGAGATGCAGACGGTAGAGGCATCCTTATCCTGTATGATCAGGATCAGGGGACGGTTGTTAATTCATCAAAAGGTGGGGAATCATAAAACAACGCACATGAGCTTCCTAGGGCTGCTGTGAGAAATTACAAGCTGGGTGGCTTACAACAACAAAAATGTCTTCTCTCACAGTTCTTGAGGTTAAAAGTCCAAAATCAAGATATCTGCAGGACTGGTTCCTTCTGCAGGCGCTGAGAGAGAATCTGTTCCATTCTCCTTCCTTGCTTCCGGTGACTGACGGCAACCCTTGAGCTCCCGGGCTTGCGTCTGCATTACTCCAATGTCGGCCTCCATCTTGACATGGCCGTCTTCCCTGTATGCATGTGTGTGAGTCTGTCCCTCATGGCTTTCTTACCAGGACACAGTCGTACTGGATCTAGGGCCCACTCTAATCCAGTGTGACCTGATCTGTTTGTTTGGGTTTTTATTTTGTTTGTTTGTTTTGAGACCAAGTCTCACCCTGTCGCCCAGGCTGGAATGCAGTGGTGTGGTCTCCGCTCCCTACAACCTCCACCTCCTGGGTTCAGGCGATTCCCCTGCTTCAGCCTCCCATGTAGCTGTGGGACTACAGGCATGCGCCACCACGCCCTGCTAATTTTTGTATTTTTTGTAGAGACGGGGTTTCACCATGTTGGACAGGCTGGTTTCCATCTCCAAGTCTCCCAAAGTGCTGAGATTACAACTGTGAGCAACGGTGCCCCGCCCAATGTGACCTCATCTTATCTTAACTAATTGCATCTGCAAAGACTATTTCCAAATAAGGACATATTCTGAGGTGCTGGGTGGACATGAATCTTGGGAGGACACTCTTCAACCCAGTACACAAAAATACACTCACATTTTAACCTTTTTTTTTTTTTTTTTTTTTTTTTTGAGACAGGGTCTTGCTCTGTTGCCCAGGTGGAGTACAGTGGCATTATCACAGCTCACTGCAGCCTTGACCTCCTGGGCTCAAGCGATCCTTCCACCTCAGCCTCCTGAATAGCTGGGACTACAGGTACACACCACCACACCCAGCTGAGTTTTAAATTTTTTTGTAAAGATGGGGTCTCACTATGTTGCCCAGGCTGGTCTCAAACTCCTGGACTCAAATGATCCTCCCACCTCAGCCTCCCAAAGTGCTGAGATTACAAGCATGAGTCACCGTGCCCAGCCTTAACTTTCTATACAAACTTAAAATATGTAACTAGACATTCATTCTGCAGTCTTTGCTCGCTTCTGTCTCCTATCACTGTGCCTGGTATACACAGGGTTCCCCAGTCACTGCCTCCTGAATAATGAACTAATGAGCCTTTGACACAGGACCAAAGCCTTTCCTTGGAGTGCAGATCTGCTGAAGGATGGCATCTCCTCTCACATAAGCCCCAGCCACTATCCCCAGGGTCATTCCCTCTAGCACAGGCTGAGAAGGTAAAAGAAAGTAAAGATGCTTGCAAAGCCATCTGAGTGAAGAATCCTTCATGTTTATACTTCCTTCCCCCAACCCCCAATCCTTTCAGCATTCTCACTCACATTTAATTCAATGGCAATTATTTTTAATAGACTAAACTTAACTTGGTGGCTTTCCAAGGGACCCAACCTAGATTTAGAGAAACTATTATCTCTCCTTTCACATTCACATATAATCAGCTTACATGTAAGTTGTGATGGTCAATTTTGTGTGTCAACTTGACTGGGCTCAGGGATGCTCAGATAGCTGGTAGAACATTATTTCTTGGTGTACCTATGAGGGTTTCCAAAAGAGATTAGCATTTGAATCCATGGACTGAATAAGGAAGATCCACCCTCGTCAGTGTGGAAGACGATCATCCAATCCTTAGAGGGCAAGAACAGAAAGGCGAAAGGAAGGACTCATTCTCTTTCTCCTTGAGCTGAGACATCATCTTCTCCTGCCCTTAGGTATCGGAGCTCCTGGTTCTCAGGCCTTTGGACTCTGGGACTTACACCCCTAGTTCTCAGGCCTTCAGCCTCAGACTGAATCATACCACCAGCTTTTCTGGATCTCTAGCTCACAGATGGCAGATGGTGGGACTTCTTGGCCTCCATAATCACATAAGCCAATTCCCATAATAAATCCTCTCACATAAAAATCCTATTGGTTCTGAGTCGCTAGAGAATCCTGATACTGATACATACATACAACTGCAATAAACAAGTTTGGGAATAAACACATATAACACTAGCTAAACGTATGACACAATGGATGAGGGAGGTATCTGTGGCCGCCAGCTACAAACACTCTGTGCACCAGGGACAAGATATGACTGACAGGCAATGGTAGCACCAACCCTTGAGAGCCAGGCAAGAGACCTCCTGCTACCTGAGATCCAAATGCATGACTCTGGGGTACAGGGAGTGGGGGGAGGGAGGGGATGGCAACCAGGGAAGCTTTTTAAGGAAAGTGATCTTTGAGCTGAGTTTTTACAAATGAAGTAAGAGATTTCCAGGTTGACAAAGATAGGAAAGGGCTTTCTATCAGGGAAATGAGCAAAGCACAGGCACAGAGGCAGGAACTAACCCAGCATGTGTGCAGACCACAAACTTTTCTGCATTGTACAGTGGGAGCAGATGGCAGAAGATAAAGGCTTGGCAGGTCCAGATCATCATCAGCTTTGTATTTTAGAACCTCATTCTCATTTTTTCTTTTCTTTTTCTTTTTCTTTTTTTTTTTTTTTTTTTTGACACAGGGTCTTGCTCTGTCACCCAGGCTAGTGTGCAGTGGCATAATCATAGCTCATTGCAGCCCCAGTCTCAGGCTCAAGAGATTCTCCTACCTTTACTTCCTGAGTAGCTGGGACTACAAGCACGCACCATCACACCCAGCTAATTTGTTTTTTGTTTTGTTTTTAATTTTTAGTAGAGATGGGGTCTCATTATGTTGTCCAGGCTGGTCTCAAACTCCTGAGCTCAAGCGATCCTCTTCCTCCTCCTGCCAGCTCGGCATTTCAAAGTGCTGAGATGATAAGTGTGAGCCATTGTGCCTGGCCTAGAACCTCATTCTGATGAGTGTAGAGAGCACAGACTGGAGACGGGGCAGGGCAAAAGGAAGGACAGCCAGTCAGGAAGGCGTTGCAGGCTTGGGGTGGTCCAGGGTGGTGGCGGTGGGCATGAAGGGCAGCGGGCGGATTCTAGTGACAGACAGGCTGTCGTAATGAGAGGACCTGGTGACACAAGGATGCGGGTAATAAAGGAAATAAAGGCTCTCTGGTACCTCCACAGGCACCTGTCTTGCATTTCTGTGCTCTTGCAAAGCCCTCCCTTCTGCCTGGAATATCCTTCCTCCTGCCTAGAATGCACAGTGTCTCTCGAACCTGGCATTTACCTAACATATTGGCCACACAAAAGTTGTTGCAGAAATGAATAGATGCTTCCTGCCTTAAAAACAGAAGAAGATATATACAGGCAATAGGTATTAATGTCATTTCAGCCAGTCAGCGATTTTTGTTTAATATCCCAACCAATACAGATGGAGGGACTGTTTAATAATGAGTCTCCTGGATACCTTAAAGAAAAGAATAGTAAATACTAGAGTATTTAATGCATTCATTTCTTGACCACCTATTAAGTGTCAAGAACTCTTCTAAGTATAGCAGGGCTCTGGGGTGAAACCAAAACAGTGGTTTGTTGATTGAATGCTATGGGGAGTTGCAATCCCCATTTAGAGATTCCTTTTAATACTATACCTGCCTGGCTATTTTGTTATCATTGTTGTTCCTATGTTTTCCATATTTTACTAGCAATGCATGTTGGGCTTTTTGTTTTTTGTTTTTGAGACGGTCTCGCTCTGCCACCCAGGCTGGAGTGCAGTGGCGCGATCTCAGCTCACTACAACCTCCGCCTCCCAGGGTAAAGTGATTCTCATGCCTCAGCCTCCTGAGCAGCTGAGATTACAGGTGCCTGCCATGACACCCAGCTAATTTTTATATTTTTAGTAGAGATAGCGTTTCACCATGTTGGTCAGGCTGGTCTCAAACTCCTGACCTCAAGTGATCCACCCACCTCAGCCTCCCAAAGTGCTGGAATTATAGGCATGAGCCACTACGCCCATCCTGCATATTGTTAAAAAACAAAGTCTTTGAATTTCTTCCTGAAGGATTGAGAAAGCACGCTCCACAATGTGGCGGAGAGGGCACACCACTGGAAGAAAAACAGGTAAAATCCCAGATGCCTGAGGGTAAGAAGAACTTATGCATGAAAAACCAGTCTGAGACCAAACCACAGTCACAAAGATTTAAATGCAACAATCCCTGTGTCCCAAAACAACACTCTTTACCTTCCTGAGCCCTTTCAAGGTGGGACAGTTGAGTTGCACAACTTGCAAAGTTCATGAGCCATGAGCGGTCACTCCCTCATTTCACTGCCTAGTTGCCAACAACTCACTGAAGGAGGTACAGTCCAACCTGACTGGGGAGCTTGGGTCCCTGACCTCAGGCTGCCTGCAGAGAACACAACTAAACTCCCGGGAAGTAACGTGGATAACAGATCACGCATCACCAGGAACAGCTCTGCTGTAATGTTCATTCCTCAAGATTCACAAAAAGTTGTTCCTGAACTAACCTCAACAGGGCATAGAATTCTCAGTTTTCCATCCATAGTCTTTACCATGTGACCAATCAGAATGCGTGGCCCACCACATTAAGGCCATGGTAATAGACAAAATGTTTAGAAATTATCCTTCTAGTTGCTGAAGGTCAAGGAGGCCTGGGGGCCGGGGCAAGGGCAGTCAGGAACACTCAAAGGGGTCAGGGTAGTAGGTACTTATCAGCTAGTATCAAAGAATTTCTATATTATTAACTAGCGAGAGATGAAAACCCTAACACAGGGATAGAAAAGCAAATACTGCATGTTCTCACTTCTAAATGATGAGACTACGTGGAAAGAACCACAGACCTGGAGCCTCTCAGAAGGTGGAGGATTGGAGGAGGGAGAGGATCAGGAAGAATAACCAATGGGTACTAGGCTTAATACCTGGGTGACGAAATAATCTGTACAACAAACTCCCATGACACAGGTTTGCCTATGTAACAAACCTGCACATGTACCCCTAAATTTTTTTAAAAAGTTTAAAAAAAGAGAGATGAAAACCAACCCTGAGTTAAGAACCTCAGAACAGGGGTTGACAAAGTTTTTCTGTAAAGAACCAAATAGTAAATATTCCAGGCTTTGCAGGCCACGTGGCTTTTCACAACTACTCAACTCTGCCACTGTAGTGCAAAAGCACTCATAGACAATACATAAATGGCTAAGTGCCTGGTTGCGTTCCAATATAACTGTACAAAGACAGGTAGCAGGACAGATATGGCGCACAGGCTGTACTTTGTGGTTCCTGTCTTACAGCATAGCAGAGCTAACAGTCCTACCAATCAATCAAGTCTCCAGCCTCAATCCCATTAGCAGTGTCTTACCAACTGATTTAACCAAGCACCAACGATTCTTTTGTGCACCCTTGATGTTTACAGACCCCAAGAGACCAAGTCAAAGTCAGCAGTAAAACCCCTCTCTCTAATGTAAGATACTTACCCAGAAAAATCCGTAGTGAGAATTCCATAGTGGAAGATGTATATTCGGCTGATGTGGCATATTGTAAGATATCCCATTGCTACAAAAAAGGAATATCTGAAAGCAAAAACATAGATGATCAGATTATTATGCATAGCAATAATGCACTCAATTAATGTTCCCCTCTTCCTCTCTTTCATCCTTCACGTGCAGTTGGTCACAATGTCCTATCTGGTCTGACGACATCCCAGGCCACCTTTCCACCCACTACTCTAGCTGAACCCCTCATCTCTTCTCACCTGGACCACTACATTGGCTGTCAGCCTTAGCTGCATAATGGAATGGAGCTTTGCAAACCACAGATCCCTGGGACTTGCTCCCTGCTATTCCTGTTTAATTCCTGCCACACCTGGTAGGTGTAATGGCAGTGCGCAGCCAGGGCTGGGAATCACTACCTGTAAGGTCTTGCACTCAAGATTCTCCTCTTCACAGCCCTCATGTTTGCATAATGATTTTTGTAAAGTACAAATCATCACCATACTGCTGACCACTTCATCTTTAAACACTTTATTCTCTTGGCTTCCATTCTCCTGTTTTCTTCCCACCTCTCTGGTTAATTCCTCCAAGGCTCCTTGCTCAGCTTTCCTTCCTCCACCTACCCCTCAAGTGTTAGTATGTCCAAGCTCAGCTTGGGACCCTGCCCTTCCATGCCTCAGGTTTCAATTACCACTTACTCATGAGCATTCCCTGGCTTCCTTCAGAGATGTGTTCCTGACTGCCTTATAGTATACACTAGCAATACACACACAAGCCACACAAACACACACATCCACATATAAGTACTTGTCAAATGTGTAATTATAAATATAGGTGATAAGCTGTGCAATGAATGATTATGTCTCCCTAAAATTCCTATGTTTAAATGCTAACCCTCAACATTAGGAGGTGGGACCTTTGGGAGGTGACTAGGTTATGAGAGCAGAGCCTTCATAAATGGGATTAGCCCTCTTACAAAAGAGACCCCAGAGAGCACTCACTTTGTGCTATGTGAGGATACAAGAAGACGGCAGTCTGTAACCCAGAAGAGAGTCCTCACCAGAACATGCTGGAACCCTGATTTCAGATCTCCAGCCTCCAGAACTGAGGAATATTAATACATTTCTGTTGTTTATAAGCCACCCACTCTACATACAGTACTTTGTTATAGCAGTCCCAGCTAAGACAATCTGATTAACACCCATCTCCCTGACCAAACTGTAAGCTCCATGAGGGCAAAGATGGTCACCTATGCTTTGTTCACCATATTCACCTACTGTGTGTCAAATGAATAAACAACTATGTGACAGCTACTCTTCTTAAAAGTCTCCAGTGGATCCCACTATCTAGTGAAATTGCAACCCCTGAACACAGCATGCAAGGTGCTTCACACGCTAAGCTCTACCTCGCCTTCCTGGACTCATCTCCAGCCATGCTCCATGTTTACCTTACTCTCAAATGACACTGCACTGCTCATGTTCCACAATGAAACCCTGTATTTTCAGGCAAGATGTCTTTCTGCATGCTCCTTCTTCTGACTGCAATTCCCATCTCCATCCAATAGTCTATCTGGAACCTGCCTAATTTTCAGATAAGGCTCAGCTCCAAAGTCACCTCTTCTATGTTACTTGGCTTGGTCTTACTCCATGCATCCTACCACATCTCCTGTTCCCCATCCCCAGCACAATTCATTGCTCCACTGTCTGTATGTCTCTGGTATTACATGCTAACACACATAATTACAATATTAGAATTATTTGTGTATGTGTCTGTTTCCCCAACTCATTGTGACCTTGAACGTCCCCACCCTTGACCTGACACATGGGAGGGGTTCAGTTACTGTTAGTTGAAATGAACTGAAATGAATACATTACACATTTTAAGTGGTTCCGGAGCCCATCGGATATAGACATAAATTCGGAAGGTATAACTTTTAAATATATGCCATAAAACAGGGAAGAGGTATTTTCTGATGTTAAATTATATTGAAATCACATATTCACATTAAAATAACTCATGAAGACTAGATCAGCCTAAGGAATAGTAAAGTAGGGATAATAAAAATTCATTCGGTAGCAAGGGATAGCCAGATTTTAAATAACATGAAGGAGTTCTGTAAACTCTAAATCACTGTGTAACTTTTATGTGCTCTTTACCATTATTTGCAAACAAAGAAGTTACTATGCAGAAAAGATTTTTTCTCTATCATGGGTTCATCCTAAACCACTTCCAAACCAAGAAGATGGTCAACAATGCAAATGACTAAGAGAAAATAACTCCCTTAGGAGTTGAAGCAGAAGTGGAATGAAGTTAGGCCTTGTCATCTCCAGCAACTGTTCCCTTTCTCCAGCCAGTTCATGAAGCTCAAGGCAGAAACGCAAAGCAGACTCAAAAGATAGATTCTTCCAGAACCCATTCCAATGCAGCCATGCCTGCTGCTTCCCCTTTGTCCTCAACAGGAGTTAGATCTGTACCTTACCCTGGCCCACAGAAGAAAGAAAGCAAGTTCAACTCAATTTAGTAGGACCCCGCCTGCCCAGGATGGCACCAAGTGCTGAGTCCCAATACAACAGGGCAACGCATTCATGCCCTGGCCAAACCTAAAACATCTAAGGAATCAAGAAGTGGTAGTGAGAACATGTATTCTACAGACTGACTGATACGGTTTGGCTGTGTCCCCACCGAAATCTCATCTTAAATTGTAGCTCCCAAATTCCCACGTGTTGTGGGAGGGACCCAGTGGGAGGTAATTGAATCATGGGGGCGAGTCTTTCCTATGCTGTTCTCGTGATAGTGAGTAAGTCCCACAAGATCTGATGGTTTTGTAAAGGGGATTTCCCCTACACAAGTTCTCTCTTGCCTGCTGCCATGTAAGACATGCCTTTTGCCTTCCACCATGATTGTGAGGCCTCTCCAGCCACGTGGAACTGTGAGTCCACTAAACTTCTTTTTGTATATAAATTACCCAGTCTCAGGTATGTCTTTATCAGCAGTGTGAAAACAGACAAATACACAGACCAGAATGAGCTCAAATCCCAGCACTGGCAGAAGTAATCCATGGTGGGAGAAGTTGGTGAAGCAGTTATTCTAGGAAGGAGAGGTGTGGTAGAGATTGGCACATGAGGCTGGGTGTGATGGCTCACGCCTGTTATCCCAGCACTTTGGGAGGCCAAGGCGGGCGGATCACCTGAGGTCAGGGGTTCGAGACCAGCCTGACCAATATGGAGAAACCCTGTCTCTACTAAAAATACAAAATTAGCCAGGGGTGGTGGTGCATGCCTATAATCCCAGCCTCTTGGGAGGCTTAGGCAGGAGAATCACTTGAATCCAGGAGGCAGAGGTTGCAGTGAGCCAAGATTGCGCCATCGCACTCCAGACTGGGCAACGAGAGCAAACTCCGTCTCAAAAAAAAAAAAAAAGAGACTGACACATCAGACATGGTGGTTACATGGGTGTGTTCACTTTGTGGAAATTCATCAAACTGTTTACTTATTTACCTCTCTGAGCTTTTATTGTCTCATTTCAGAAAGAAAAAAAACTATATTCCATAGTGTTGTCCTAGAGTTAATATATTTGAAATAATGAAACATTAAATAAAAAATTAAATGATATATTACATAATAGTTTATGTGTTAACAATGAAATAAAGTATATTAAAAAGAGCTTGGCTTAAGACTTGGCACAAAGGACAGACTCCAGCATTGATAACTGCATCACCAAGTTCTCACGCTAGGCCCTCTGCCCCAGGAGACACAAGCCATGTTCTGCTCCAGTTGGTTCACGTAGGGTAAACTGATGCCTGTGACTTCTGCCCAACACAGTGGCTTGGGAAGGAAACACAGGGGGTATCCCCAAAACCCTCTAAACAAATGCTGAATAACAGTCCAGAAATGGGTTAGTTTTGGCCAGGCATGATGGCTCATGCTTATAATCCCAGCATTTTGGGAAGCCGAGGCAGGCAAATCACGTAAGGTCAGTTCAAGACCATCCTGGCCAACATGGTGAAACCCTGTCTCTACTAAAATTATAAAAATTAGCTGAGTGTGGTGGTAGGTGCCTGTAATCTCAGCTACTTGGGAGGCTGAGGCAGGAGAATCACTTGAACTGGGGAGGAAGAGGTTGCAGACAAGCCAAGACCACGCTATCGCACTATAGCCTGGGCAACAGAGTGAGGTTCCATCTCAAAAAACAAAGGGTTAGTTTCATATGGCAGCAAATAGTAATCTTTCCCTCCTCTTCTCAGCCATGTAGCAGAACTCTTATCACTGATTCAGTGAAGTAAAGAGGAGAGCAATTCATACAGAATCATGACATCATGGTAATGAAGGGAACTTGCGTTCAAACTGCTGCAAAACCAGCATTTTGCAGGAGGGAAATGTGACATATGGAGAAGTTGCATGACCAGTCCAAATTCACACTACTAGGAGGATCTTGATTTCCTGACTCCAGCCTAGAGCTCTTTCCATAAACAGGAAACAACGTTGAGATTTTAAAAAAATTTACATTGAGTTCATCCAAGGGGAACTGTGAAACAATTTCCACTTCGGCAATATTGGCAGCCACAAGAGCAAACCAAGAGGGGCATCAGCCAGGCACGGTGGCTCACACCTGTAATCCCAGCACTTTGGAAGGCTGAGGCAGGCAGATCACTAGGTCAAGAGATTGAGACCATCCTGGCCAACATAGTGAAACCCCGTCTCGACTAAAAATACAAAAATTAGCCAGGTGTAGTGGCACGCGCCTGTAGTCCCAGCTACTCGGAAGGCTGAGGCAGGAAAATCACTTGAACCCGGGAGGTGGAGGTTGCAGTAAGCCGAGATCACATCACTGCACTCCAGCCTGGGCAACAGAGTGAGACTCTGTCTCAAAAAAAAAAAAAAAAAAACCAAACAAAAAAAGGAACATCTTGTGCTGGCCTCTTTCCTTCTTGGTCTGATGGCAGAGCCCCCTGCTACCACAGTAATACTGTGGTGGCACCGTCATACCCTGTCTGTAAACCACATGGCTCTGCCAAGGCCAGAGTATTCCATTCCTAGACACTGGAATTGAACACAGTGAACCTAGGCCTGATATGAAACAAGTGTGCGTGTCAAGTTCCTGACCCTCTGAAAAATGGACCACATCCCATCAGCATCACACAAATGTGGGAAGAGCTGACAAGCTGCAATTTGTAAGGAAGTTGGGAATGTGCTATACAGTTGCACCAACATTATTATTAATAATTTACTATGTAATTGCTTCCAAAACCAAGTTTTGGAAAAGCCAAGCCTTTTCATCCTCTAGTTAAAAAATAAAAGCTTTTATAATCATTTTGTCATCATATGAAACATTTCCAAAACCCATTCTTTCCAAATTAGAAAAATGGATTTCCTATTTCCTTTCTAGAAGAAGTGACACTATCCCCTTCAAGCAGGGCACTGAGAAGAGAGATGATTAGAATTCGAATTTTCAGAGCTCCTTTGGATTCTATGTTGAATGACTATAAAATGTAAAAGCAGAAAAAAATATTTTCCCTGGGAAACCAAAAATTTGTTATAAGTAACTAAAAGATCATACAGTGAAAAGTTAAATTTCAATGTTTTTAAGGAGGAAAACTACTGTGCTAATAGTGATTAATCAAATGGCTTTCTGAAGCTGAAATAAGGCACCTGCTTTTCAGAGAGGCCGTCAGAAGCCATAAAAGGACAAATATCTTTTAAAAGTAATTCAGTCATTCATTCCATAAATATTTATTGAGCTCTTACTTGTGCCAGGTATTGTTCCCGGCTTGGAGGATACAACAGTGAAAGAGAGAGAGAGAAATCTTTGTTTTCATAGAACTTACATTGCAGCATTCCCAAAAGGCAGAGCTAATCCTGAGTTTTCAGAAAGACCATGTGAAACAGAGACCATGCAAAACAGATACCCAGGTATCTCAGTTGATTATCCAAGCATGCTGCCTCCAAGGTAGACTTAAACTACCTCTGTACTTTGAAATCAAAACATCATCGTAAAAATATTTCTTTTTTAACAGTTTTAGTGTACACGTAGAAAGTATACAATTTAACATATATATATATTTGATATATATAGATACCCAGAAAACGATCACCAGATTCAAGAGGGTGGAGACATCCATCACCCCCTAGAACTTTCCTCATCCCTCTTTGTGATTCCTTCCACAGCTCCCTGCACCATCCCAGTTAACTTGTGAGCTTTTGTCACTATAGATTAGTTTGCATTTTCTAGAATAGAATTTGTGTGGCTTCCTTCATTCAGCATATTTGTTTTGAGATTTATCCACGACATTGAGTATACCGATCTTTCATTATTTTCTTTTTCTTTTTCCTTTTTTTTTTTTTTTTTGACAGAGGAGTTTCCCTCTGTCACCCAGGCTGGAGTGTTGTAGCACAATCTTGGCCCACTGCAACCTCTGCCTCCTGGGTTCAAGTGATTCTCCTGCCTCAGCGTCCCTGAGTAGCTGGGACTATAGGTGCGCACCACTACGCCCAGCTAATTTTTTTTGGGTTTTTTTTTTTTGTATTTTTAGTAGAGACGAGGTTTCACCATGCTGCCCAGGCTGGTCTTGAACTCTTGACCTCAGGCAATCTGCCCACCTCTGCCTCCCAAAGTGCTGGGATTACAGGTGTGAGCCACCACGCCCAGCCTTTTCATTATTTTCATTGTGTTGAACATTTGAGTTGCTTCCAGTTTCGGGCTGTCACAAATAGAGCAGCCTAGTCATGACATATTCTCTTTCACCTGAGGCCCAATTTGCATTGATCTTTTTCATAAAGCCTTCTCTGAAGACTCCAGCCTTTAGGGTTCCCCATCCCTCCTGATATTCTAGATAAACTAAGATATACCACTTGTGGAAAATGGGTAAGGTCCATCTTTACACTGGAAATATATTTCAAAGATCACAAAAAAAAGAAAATCTCACCTTGCATTGTTCATTCCCAGTATCTTACCTGTGAATATTGGATACACTAGCAGTGACCATGATTGCATAGCACATTAACACCAGCACAAAAAGATGCACAGAGTACCTTTAAGACATAATAGTAGGGGGAGGAGTAATGAATATATTTCATATTAACACAGCTATTGGTCACCAAAACTGTGAATCCATCACTACCCCTGCCAAAAACACAAATGATCAATGATCAGTAACTCATGTTTATGTGAGAGAAAATAAGCCAAATATTTTTCTTCTATGTAATTAAGATGCTGTATCATAACGACACAGTTTGCCAACTGCAGGGCTAATAATGTCAGGAATCCATAAATGGAACGCTTACACTTTTTTCCCATATGCAATTGAGAGTCCAGAGAGATGAGTTCTTTCTTTAAGACTTTATTTTTTAAACTGGGCTTCCCAAGATACCGAGACTTCTACCTGGTGGCTGATTTAAAATACTCATCCTTTCTCAGATACTTGTTGAAGGAATAGGGGCAGAATTCTAGTATAGTACCCTGAACAAATTCACAAAATTCCTGAAGGTGTACTTCTCAATATGTTGGTTTCCAAAGCTTCTTCCCTAACACCTTTCAGGGTATTTGCCCAGCTTACTCGTAGAGGAAAGTACAATTGACCAGCTTTCTCTGTTAAAGAATGATTCACATTTCCCAAGATCTGCACTAAACGCATTGTTCTACTCTGGTGAAATCCAGGACTTATACCCACGTCTCTAGCAGTAATACAAGAAATACACCAACATCTACGATAGTTAGGAAAGGTTCCTTTTGGGAAAAATTAAACCTTACAGCATCCCATTTACATGATTGGGAGGGATCTGTAGAAGTCTAATTTTAAGAAAAAATGGGCTGGGGATGGTGGCTCATGCCTGTAATCCTAACACTTTGGGAGGCCAAGGCGGATGGATCGCCTGAGCTCAGGCGTTTGCAACCAGCCTGGGCAACACGGTGAAACCCCGTCTCTACTAAAAAAAATACAAAAAAAATTACCTGGGCATGGTGATGTGCACCTGTAATCCCAGCGACTCAAGAGGCTGAGGCAGGAGAATCACTTGAACCCAGGAGGCGGAGGTCGCAGTGAGCCAAGATCGCGCCACTGCACTACAGCCTGGGCGACAGAGCGAGACTCCGTCTCAAAAAAAAAAAATAAAAAATAAATAAATAAATAAATAAATTAATTAATTAATTAATTAATTAAAAAAAAGAAAAAGTGAACTATACTGACTTCCAATGGATGGTCAATTTATTGGCTCTTACAGTAAATGGAGAGTCCTGCAATGTCCTCATTATCCTACTATAAGGTATTTACAATATAAAATTTTACAATACATATTTTATAATGCCATCTATTTCTGGCTTTAGTGCAATTCCAAGGACATTGCCACAAAACATCCAAATGACCAATATTAGAATATATGAGGCTCATACTCACCAGCCGAAACAAAAGATGACAAAATAGATGCCAAAAATGGTGGCAACCGCATGCCGGACATCAGAGCTGGTTGTACCAGGACGTAAGTAGATGCGAAACCAGAAAGCAGCAAACAGAGCAACAAGCTGGCATACCACAAAATTCACCTGTGGCAGGGGAAGAGAAAATAAAAACCTTTGTGTGAATTTCGTCTTGGTTTTTTTGTTTGTTTTGTTTTGTTTTGTTTTGAGACGGAGTCTCGTTCTGTCGCCCAGGCTGGAGTGCAGTGGCGCAAACTCGGCTCACTGCAAGCTCCGCCTCCCAGGTTCACGTCATTCTCCTGCCTCAGCCTCCGAAGTAGCTGGGACTACAGGCGCCCGCCACCACGCCCGGCTAATTTTTTTTGTATTTTTAGTAGAGACAGGGTTTCACCGTGTTAGCAAGGATGGTCTCGATCTCCTGACCTCCTGATCCGCCTGCCTCGGCCTCCCAAAGTGCTGGGATTACAGGCGTGAGCCACCGCGCCCAGCCTTGCTCTTGTTTTTTGCAGATTTCCACATCAAGAGGCTTCTCAGACTTGGATTTGTTCTTTCTCCCCAATAGATTGTTTGGAAGAGGAAATGAATGTAACAGAACAAGAAAACTATACCCTCGTGTGGTATAAGATGTGACAAACCCAACAGTTTTTCTCTAACCTTTAAGACTGGCCAAGGTTGCTTTCCCACCCACAAGCAGGGGGCTTTTCATGGAAACAGCCTAAGCTAACTGAGCTCTGTTTAGTGGGTCTCTTTTCTCACCCCCAGCAGGACCCTAAGACAAAGAAGGTGTTCTTTTAGAGATGCAAAGTTTGACAAAAGAGCTCCCTTATTTGGTACCTGGGAAATCAAATTGTTCTCCAAAGTGATCACCAGTTGTTTTTTGACTCTGCGAGTGACTCACGTTCCCTGATACTGGTACTAAACCCATTGTTCTACTCTAGCAAAATGCAGGACTTACAACAATGTCTCATTTTAAACTGGCATCCAATAAACAAGAGCATTTCTCAAATTCAAGGTGTGACACTGAAGATCTACAAATAGTGACACAGCCCTGCATTTAACGTCCAGTGCCAAGCCTGTCCAGTTATGCAGGGTAGACACCAAATTTCCTTAGAAAAATCTCAGTGGTCTACCTCTTGAGAATATTGGGCCTAAAAGAAAACATTTAAACATTTCCTGAAATCTATAGAAAAGGTCAGCTGATTTTAAAAAACAATAAGCAAACATGTACCTTTGCAATTTATATTTACCCAAATCAAATTCCAAATACATTAAGTGGTTTAACCATTCATTAAAACTAGAAAAGTAACTTAAACTCTTCAAAGTATTCAAAACTGAAACCTCAGTATGAATTCACTTTTAGAAGGCACTTAATTGAAAAGAGACCGAAGATAGAGACACAACTTCAGCATCAGTATTTCATGCTTCAATAAACTGCTGCTGATAACAAAACTCATTACGGCTGAGCTGGGAGGTAGAGCACAGACATCAGCTCCATTTGAGCTCATTTTGTTTGCCCAGTGAAAAACAATACTTTGGACCCTTTGTAACTCGTAGAAAATATTGCTTTCAGAAAATGTTTGTTTTGGTTTTTTTAAAGTTGACCGTTGGCCAGGCGCGGTGGCTCACGCCTGTAATCCCAGCACTTTGGGAAGCCGAGGCGGGCAGGTCACCTGAGGTCAGGAGTTTGAGACCAGACTGGCCAAACATGGTAAAACCCTGTCTCTGCTAAAAATACAAAAATTAGCTGAGCTTGGTGGCGGGTGCCTGTAATCCCAGCTACTTGGGAGGCTGAAGCAGGAGAATCGCTTGAACTCGGGAGGCAGAGGTTGCAGTGAGCTGAGATCGCACCACTGCACTCCAGCCTGGGCAACAGAGCAAGACTTCATCTCAAAATAAAAATAAAATAAAATAAGATAAAAAATAAAATAGAAAAGTTGACCTTATTGAATTTCACCTTTCCAAAAAACCTGTTCTCACCACTGCCCACCTTCACTTTCTATCTTGACAGACAGAGAAGCGACTTGTGAGCCTGTCCTGCGTGATTTGGTCATATCTTTTCATCTAGACTGAATGAATAGCCAATGAACACACACAAACACAAAATGTATATAGAAAAAGAATCACCTTAGCAAGTTTCAAGACTCACATTCCCTAAGACTGGTACTAAACCCATTGTTGTACTCTGGCAAAATGCAGGACTTACATCAATGTCTCATTTTAAACTGGCACCCAATAAACAAGAGCATTCCTCAAATTCAAGGTGTGACACTGAAGATCTATAAATGGTGACACAGCCCTGCATTCAACATCCAATGGCAACTGGAAAGTCCAAAAGTTATAATAAGTGACAGATCACATGTTCTTTCATTCTCACAGCCCAGCCTGCAGCCACAACAGAACTCAGGAAAGTGGCTACAGGGAAATTTCCTGCATTCTTTTTGATTTGGCCAGAATTATTGAGCATGTGCACATGAGGAATGATTTGGAGGATGGATCGTGGTTCTCACGAGTGTAGTCCCCCGACCAACAGCATCCACGTCCCCTTGGAAACTTGTTAGAAATGCACACTCTTGGGGCCCACGCTAGACCTACTGAATTAGACATTTCCTAGGCAGGATCTGGCAATTTTTGTTCTAACCACCCCCAACACCCAGTTGATTTTGATGCACACTCAAGTTTGAGAACCACAGGGATAGAAGAGAAACAAGGTATGTTCCCTCCCTTCAAGGATCTTATCATCTAACTGGGGAAACAACACGATTAACCTAAAAGTAATTGTGAAATAACAGTAAGACACTGTCTCTACCCTCAAATCAAGAAGAGAAGACTTACATGCTCTGGGCTTCGATTCCTTTATTTCTAAAATGTGTGCTTTGGGGGAATTGGTGTCTAATATCTCTTCCAGGTCTAATGGTCTCTGATTCTATATCTAACCTGTGTTTAAAAACAAAAATTAATTGGGAGGCCAATAGGCTGAGTTGGTTCCAGTGCCTTGGGTTCCCACATAAGCAAGCCAAAACCTAATTCAGAGGGAATAGTTATAGCCCAGAAAAACAAGCTTGGCCAATCAGAAACTACCAACTAAGCTCCAACTAGAGGCTTCACCAATCAGAAACTACCTACTAAACTCTAACTAGAGACTTTACCAATCAGGAACCACCAAATAACCTCTAAGTAAGAGCTATTCACTTTAACTCATCAAATATTTTCTTGGGTTTTGCTTGTTTGAACACCTTATAAAAGTTTTCCCCAATCCCTTTTGGTGGAGCCCAAAGTGCTTGCAGTCTGGTGTTGCCTGATTCATGAACCACTGAATGTTCAAATAAATGCTTTAAAATTTTAGGGTCCAGCGCGGTGGCTCACGCCTGTAATCCCAGCACTTTGGGAGGCCGAGGCGGGCAGATCACGAGGTCAGGAGATGGAGACCATCCTGGCTAACACGGTGAAACCCCGTCTCTACTAAAAAAAATACAAAAAATTAGCCGGGCGTGGTGGTGGGCGCCTGTAGTCCCAGCTACTCGGGAGGCTGAGATAGGAGAATGGCGCGAACCTGGGAGGCAGAGCTTGCAGTGAGCTGAGATCACGCCACTGCACTCCAGCCTGGGCGACAGGGCGAGACTCCCTCTCAAAAAAAAAAAAAAAAAATTAATGTGTATAAGTTTATCTTTTTACACCAGAATCCTTTCCTTGACTGTTCATGGTAAATGCCTAAACTCAAGACTTCATCATGGATTAAAAGCTGCCCTGTATGTACAGACTCAACCTGCTCCACCACCCTCTCCCCAGGAGGGAATCCTGGATGGCCAGCGGAGTGCTCCATGGCAAACTGCTCTAAAGCAAAAGTAGAAACACACAACACCACCACGTAGTTCTAGTAGGAGGGTTCTAGCAGATATAGGATTGCTTTTCAGTGACCACACGTGTACATCTTATAAGGTACAGGCTGAACCAGACTGAGATACCACTTCACAGCTGTTAGTATGGCTATTATATATTTTTATAAACCAAACAGAAAATAGTAAGTATTCACAGAGATGTGAAAACATTTGAACCCATGTGCACTCCTAATGGGAATGTGATTTGGCTCTCTGCTTGTCTGTTATTGGTGTATAAGAATGCTTGTGATTTTTGCACATTGATTTTGTATCCTGAAACTTTGCTGAAGTTGCCTATCAGCTTAAGGAGATTTTGGGCTGAGCAATGGCAACAAAAGCCAAAACTGACAAATGGGATCTAATTAAACTAAAGAGCTTCTGCACAGCAAAAGAAACTACCATCGGGGTTAACAGGCAACCTACAGAATGGGAGAAACTTTTTACAATAGAAAAGTATGCCATCATTAAAAACAGGTATTATAGGCTGGGCACAATGACTCATGCCTACAATCCCAGCACTCCGGGAGGCTAAGGTGAGAGGACTGCTTGACACCAGGAGTTTGAGACCAGCCTGAACAACACAGCAAGAACCCCATCCACCCAAAAAAATAAAAAATAAAAAAATTAGCTGGGCATGATAGTGAAAGCCTGTAATCCTAGTTACTCAGGAGGCTGAGGCAGGAGGATTGCTTAAGCCTACAGTTCAAGGTTATGGAGAGCTATGATCATGCCACTGCACTCCAGCCTGCACAACAGAGACCTTGTTTCTTTAATTTAAAAAATGGGCAGTTTATAAAGTACCTGCCATAAAATGAAAAACATTTGAGATAACTAATGAATAAGAGAATATAAAAGTATATGTATAGTTACAACTATGTAAAAAAGGCAGCATATAGAAAATGTTGCAAAAATAACGTGTAAAATGGAATACGACTATTTTATCAGGATGGCAGGAATCTAGGCAAATTTTTTTGTAAATTATTTTCATCATTTGGAAAGGTAAAATTACATGTAGAATTGCCCACACATTCCCTGCACTACCTACGTACACTCACATACACAAACAGTGATACTCTAAGGAACTCATAATGCTTATGACTGGTATCCCCAAAACATCCTCATTTCATACTACTTACTCTATCCTCAGTGTTGCAATTATTAGCACCCACTACAAATAAAGTTTAGGGAGGAGCTGGGCATAAATGGAAGACGTTAAACTGTAAAAAAAAAAACTCATCTTAAAGAAAAAAGACACTTTTTATAGACAGCAAAAGAAACAATGTATAACAGTTAACAGTAATAAAAGTAACAGTCAAGAGTAACAACGTGGGTGGCCAAAGAAAATGAAAACATGAGCCAGCCCGCAGTGGCTCATGCCTGTAATCCCAGAACTTTGGGAGGCCAAGGCGCGCGGATCAGCTGAGGTCAGGAGTTTGAGACCAGCCTGGCCAACATGACGAAACCCTGTGTCTATTAAAAACACAAAAATTAGCCAGGCGTGATGGCATGTACCTGTAGTCCCAGCTACTCGGGAGGCTGAGGCAGGACAATCGCTGGAACCTGGCAGACAGAGGTTACAGTGAGGCAAGATCATATCACTGCACTCCAGCCTGGGTGACAGAGCAAGACTCTGACTCAAAAAAAAAAAGAAAAAAAAAAAAAGGAAGAAAATGAAAATATATACCATGATTACTGGCCTAAAAACAACCACATTAACCAACAGAATAGGACAGAGAGTCCACAAATAAGCCTACTCTTCTATGTCCATTGATTTTTGACAAAGGTATGAAGAACACCCAATGTGAAGAGGATAGTCTTTCAATAAATGGTGTTGGGAAAACTGTATAACCACATACAGAAGAATGAAAATGGACTTTCATCTCATCCCTTATACAAGAATCAACTCAAAATGGATTAAAGGCTGAAATGTAAGACCTGAAACTATAAAACTGCTAGAAGAAAACATAGGCGAAAACTACATGACACAGGACACTGGGCAGTGATCTCTTGGATTTAACCCCAAAAGCACAGGCAACAAAAGCAAAAATAGGTAAACGAAAGCACACCAAACTAAAACGGCTTCTGTGCAATAAAGGAAAAAATTAACAGAGTAAAGAGACAACCCACAGATTGGGAGGAATATTTGCAAATCATAAGGGGCTCATATTCAAAATATAAAAAGAATTCTAACTGCTTAATAACAAGAAAATAAATAATTCTAATTACCAATGGGCAAAGGATCTGAATAGACCTTTCTCAAAAGAAGACATACAAATGGCCAGCAGATACGTGCAGAAATGCTCAACATCTCTAATCATCAGAAACATGCACATTAAAACCACAATGAGACAACACCTCACGTGTGTTAGAATGACAATTATCAAAAAGATGAAAGATAACAAGTGCTTGGAGAGCTTGTGGAGAAAAGGGAACGCCAGCACACTGTCAGGAGAAATGTAAATCAGTACAGCCATTATGGAAAACGGTATGGAAGTTCCTCAAAAAACTACAACTAGAATTTGCCACATGATCCAGCAATCACACTTTTGGGTATATGCCCGAGGAAACTGAAATCAGTATGTTGAAGAAACATCTGCACTCCCATGCTCACTGCAATTCTAATTCAGGGGTCCCCAACCCCCAGGCCATGGGCCAGTACTGGTCCATGGCCTGTTAGGAACCAGGCCACACAGCAGAAGGTGAGTGGCAGGTGACCGAGAGAAGCTTCATCTGTATTTATACCACTCCCCATCGCCTGCATTACCGTCTGAACTCCATCTCCTGTCAGATCAGCAGCAGCATTAGATTCTCATAGGAGTGTACACCCTATGAGAACTATAGCCAAGATATGGAAGCAACCTAAGTGCCATCAAGGGATGAATGGATTTTTAAAATGTAGTATAGATGCACAATGGAATACTACTCAGCCTTTAAAAAGCAGGAAGTTCTGTCATTTGCGACAACATGATACACCTAGAAGACATTGTGTTAAATGACATAAGCCAGGCACAGAGAGACAAATACCGTATGATCTTAAGTGCATGTGGAATCTAAAAAAGTCGAAAAAGCAGAGAGTTTAACAGTGTTTACCAGAGGCTGGGGGTGGAAGGAAGTAGAGGAAGAAAGGGGAGACATTGATCAATGGGTACAAAGTTACTGTTTGAGGTGATAGGTTATGTTAATTAGCCTGATTTGATCCTTCCACAATATACATATGTATCAAAACATCACATTGTACCCTATAAACATATACATTATTTGTCAATTAAAAATAAAATAAAACTTACAAAACATATGTATCATGATGTTCCTTAATAAACCCTTCACATTTAAAAGGAATATATACAAAGTTTACTTTTCTACTGATCCACTCCCTCCAGAGCAGCAAATAAAGTGGCATTTTCATTCATGACATCCAGCAATGTGCTCTCAACAATTAAAGTATTGTGTGGGCCTTTATGCATGAGGGGACAGTAGAGCACAGCTATTTTGATCAGATTCCTATAAACAAGCAAGACTGACATAGCTCAGATTCAGCAAAAGCTCAATTTCCACAGCTCTTGCAAGATTTCAAAGTCGCCGCAAAGAAATAAAACACATGCCCAAGTGTTTGACTTCTTATTTCATCAAACCACAATCAAACTGTGCTACAATTTTCAAACGCAAGTCTTAAATCTACCCTAATGTGCTGCTAGAAAGACATTATTTGGGGATTTCTGTTCCATGGCCTTCATACTCTTCCAACAAAACAGCACACTTTGCCAGGAATTAAAAACACTGCCTTTCTCCTAACCAAGAGATGCAAACAGGCTATTTTTAACAAATAGCAAATATTAACGGTCCAAAAGTATTTCCCCTACTGCAGTGGTTTACCAGTGGCTCACCAATGAGCAACAGGCAACTGTCCAGGCCTGGAATGTCGAGTGTAACAAACTAAAAAGCTTCTGTACAACAAAGGAAAAAATTAACAGAGTGAAGAGACAACCCACAGATTGGGAGAAAATATTTGCAAATCATAAGGGGCTCATATTCAAAATATGCAAAGAACTCCAACTGCTTAATAACAAGAAAATAAACATTCGGCAACACTGCCTTACACGCTCCAAGGCAAAACCAATCAAGTTAAACAATTCCTTATTTAATGGCAGCCATTCTTCCAGCACAAACAGTACTCTTTTGCATTGCCCCCTACAAATAAATGTAGCTGGGAAAGAGTACTAAAAACGCTATTCCTTCCTGTACCACAGAACAAAAAGTGACTGTAGAATACCCTTGATTTACTTTACACTTTCAAAGGGATCCTTTGTTACACTTTCATTCCACACTCCTCAGAATGTCAGCAGGAAGTATTTTTAAATCTCTAAAGAGCCTTCTTTTTCCCAGTTTGTGGATAAGCAAATATTACTTAAGATTGATAATCAATGTACACAATTTATTGCCCAAAAGACCTCTAATTCAGGGGTTCCCAACCCCCCGGGCCACAGACCAGTACTGGTCCATGGCCTGTTAGGAACCAGGCCACACAGCAGAAGGTGAGTGGCAGGTGACTGAGAGAAGCTTCATCTGTATTTACAGTCACTCCTCATCGCTTGCATTACCACATGAACTCCACCTCCTGTCAGATCAGCAGCAGCATTAGATTCTCATAGGAGTGCAAACCCTATGGTGAACCATGCATGCCAGGGATGTAGGCTGCCGCTCCTTATAAGAATCGAATGCCTTACGATCTGTCACTGTCTCCCGTCACTCCCAGATGGGACCATCTAGTTGCAGGAAAACAAGCTCAGGGCTCCCTCTAACTCTACATTATGGTGAGTTGTATAATTATTTCATTATATATTACACTGTAATAAGAATAGAAATAAAGTGCACAATAAATGTAATGAGCTTGAATAATTCTGAAATCATCCCCATCCCCCACCCCCACTCCATGGAAAAATTGTCTTCCACAAAACCAGTCCCTGCTGCCAAAAAGGTTGGGGACTGCTGCTCTCATTGATATTGTGTCTCATCATAACAATAAATGCCGTTTATCCAGTGCCTACCATGTGTTGGGCACAGTGATACACCTTCCATAAATGACTCCACTGAAGCCTTCCCACACCTTAGGAAATAGCTCACTCCCACTTTACACAGGAGGAAAATGAAGAACAAAACGGTTAAGTGCATGGAGCAAGTCACAAAGTCAGGGAGTGGTAGAGCCAGGGTTTCAAACGCAGCCTGAGTTCTCTTGTGGTATATTCCCCTGCTTCACTTTAACTCCCAACATTCTCCCCAGAAATAATAGCACTCAGGGAGAACTTAGTAGTGGCCTGTATTCATTTTCTAGGGCTGCCATGACAAAATACCAAAAACTGGAGGGTGGGTTGGGGGGCAAAACACAACAGAAATTTATTTTTCTCCCAGTTCAGGAGGCTGGTATCTGAGATTGAGGGTGTCGGCAGGGTTGGTTTCTTCTGAGACCTCTGTCCTTGGCTCCAGATGGCCGTCTTCTCCCTGTGTCTTCCCTGTGTGTGTGTCTGTGTCCTAATCTCTTCTTACAAGGATACCGGTCATGTTGGATTAGGACCCACTGTAATGACTTTCTTCACTACTAAGTTATTAATAACTTAATGACTGCTTTGAAAGCCCTGTCTCAAATACAGCCACATTCTGAGGGACTCGGGGTTTAGGACTTCAACATTTAAATTTTGGGGGAACACATTTGGCCCACAACACTGCCCAATAAAAATCCTCTACTCAAACCCACGGAATGAAACACACTTCATTTTCTTTGCACCTACAGCTAGGAAGCAGGTAAGACTCAAAGCAAAGGCTGCGTGGGATGCTGGGAGCCTCGGAGCTTCCCATCTGCCTGGAGGTGCCTCAGCCACTACAGACAGCACCAGAGAGGGTTCTCCCAGCTCCTGTGTGTGTCAGGAGCTTGTTAACCTATAATGGGTACAATGGGCTTACACATGTTGAGAAAGTTCATTATCCTTTGACCTTTGTTTAAAACATACAAGTTTTGAAGCAATAATAATCAGCATTTATTAAACACATATTATGTGCTGGAGTCTCCACAAATGTTGGCTGTTATTCTGCATGCTTCACATCTACTGTCTCATTTAATCTTCTTGACAACTCTCGATGTGCTACTGAGAAAACTCGCACAAAGTCAATGGCCCCAAAACCCTCAGCTGTAGGGCAGCTCCATTAGTCAAACTGAGAGGCTTAGGTTGCCTGCAGTGGCCTCTCAAGATCTCATTCTTGTACAAGGGAAAATTTGAATTAAACTGATAGAGCTGAAAGTCCTTTCCAACAACTGTTCTTTGAGGCATGTGTAAACCCTCTGTCTGTAGTTTGTATAGTCATGAACCAAGCTTCTTTCCATCAGTGCTGGGTACATCCTCCAGTCCCTCTAGAATGGGATAATCCCTCCTTTAATGCTCAGAGAAAGAGTCCTTATACACTTAGAGATTAAATTGTACAGGGAGACTTTTGGCTTACCTTATTTTGCAAATATCATGTCACATGGATTAGTTATGATTTAGAACGAAAGCCCTTTAAAAACTTACTCCAATGGCTAAAAGGTGGAAAACGATTGTGCTGTCTCTTTAGGCTTCGAGGCAAGAAAAAATCCTGAAGTACATAGGTGATATCTACGTATTTCAGCCTGCCTCCTATCCCATAAATCAAATCCTTATAATCCTTGGCCCAGCAGGCAGGGAAGACTGTATAAAACTCAGGACCATTTAGGACTCTTAAAAAACCCTGTCCACAAGCACGCTGTTACTCCTCACCTCTGGAAAGAAAACATTCCCATTAAATTCCACTGTTAACCAGTTAAAAATGTTAATATTATTCATACTTTATTGTTAATAATATTAACATTGGCTAGCATTAATGTGCTGCTGACTACCTCCCAGGAACTGTTTTCATTCCTTCTGCCTGTATAATTCCTTTTATCTTGACAACTTTTGATGTGCTTTGAGGCTTCCATTTTACAGATATGGAAATTCAGTCATGGAGAGGTTAGAAAATTTACCCAAAATCATACACCCAGTCAGTGGCAACACTGGAATTTAATCTCAGGGAGTCTGGTTCTACTCAGGCACAACCTTCTCGCATGATTCAATATCTCACTTTCCAGATGAAGGAACTGGAGCCCCGAGCCAGTACGTGACCTGGCCTGGGTCACACAGCCTCTGAACATCAGAGTTAAGACCAGAACTCAGGTGTCCTGACTCCAGTCCAGCATGCCTTCTGATGATTCCCCAGCAGCCCTGGAGGTGAGGTGGGAGAAAATTGGGGTACAGAGGGTCAGAAGGGGCCCATCTAAAAATAAGAGCCTGAGTAAAGAATTCTGGGCCTCCATAAGGAGTGAGGGGCACACACTGCTGAAGGGATCCCACTGAATAAGGAGGTGGAATGTTAGGGGGTGATTTTACAACCTTGACCGGGGCCCGGGATGTCAAGTTTTATACAGATAGAGATCACTACCAATGGCATGTTTGTATGTGCATGTGTCTGAATAATGTGTGTGCATAATATATATTTTTAATATGTGTATATATTATGTACATAATATATACTTATGTTTACTATATAATGTGTGTGTATAAAATCTATATATAATACAAATATATGTATTTAATATAGAATGTATGTGCATGTACACACACACACACACACACACACACACACAAACACACCCCATATATATGTAACCTGAAATTTTTCCTGTGGCTCAGGTCCACCCAGTTGGGCCTGGAGTCACCTTCTTTCAGTCTGGTTCCATCATGAAAAGTAACCTCAAATAAGAGACTTACAAGGTTAAGTGGGTATGTGGGATACTAATAACATCTACCCTACCAGATTGTGGTGGGCACTAAATGGAACGTGAAAGTACTACAAAAGTACTTTATATACTACTTTAAAAGAACTATAAAGCTTCACAAGTATTAGATAGGCTACAAAGTGTACAGTAGCTAACTAGCAGGACTTCTCAACATAGCAGCTCTCAACACTGGAATCAACCAAAGATCTGTTTTTTTGAAAAATTAAAATTTAAAGTGACTGATTTTAGAATCCTAATCCAGATCAGAATTTGTGGGAGGTTGGGGGATAAGGCATCTTTTAAAAAAATTTTTTTTAAGTTCCAAGGTGATTTTAATATTCAGCCAGGGCTGAGATCCACAGCTTCAACTTCTAATGCCAACCGGGAAGAAAGAGGCAGCTTAGCGAGTGTATGTTAGAGTACAGACAGTCCCTGACTTATTTATGATGGTTCGACTTACGATTTTTCAACTTTAAGATGGTGTGAAAGTGACTTGCATTCAGTAGAAACCGAACTTTGAGTAGCCATATGACCATTTTGTGTTTCACTCTCAGTACAGTATTCAACAAATTACATGAGATACTCAACACTTTATTATAAAATAGGCTTTGTGATAGATTATTGCCTACCTGTAGTGTTCTGAGCATATTTAAGATAGGGTAGGCTAAGCTATGATATTGATAGGTTGGGCATATTAAATGCATTGTTTGATTTTTCTGATATTTTCAACTTAGAGTGGGTTTTTTAGGATGTAACTCCATCGTCAGTTGAGGAGCATCTGTAATTAAAGATTTAAATCAGGCATAAAATAGACAAGAGAAGCTAGGACTATTAGCAATTATCTGATCCAAGCCCCTCATTTTGTGGGTAAGGAAACCGGTACATAGAGGGGAAAGGTTACTGTGGCCAGATTCTCCTGACTCCGTGGTCCAATCTGCTTCCACTTTGTAAATGGATTCAAAACTACATGTCCAACATTAACTACAACATCTGTATTGCTTGATACTTTTTTGAGAGCTAGTCCACTCCATACACCCTGCTTCACGAACCTGCAGAGGGGCTATGAGAAACATTTGGCACACTGTGTACCCAACTCTACGCAGAAGGCTTAAAATGAATAGTGGACTGGGTGCAATGGCTCACACCTGTAATCCTAGCACTTTGGGAGGCTGAGGCGGGTGGATCACTTGAGGTCAGGAGTTCAAGCCCAGCCTTTCCAATATGGTGAAACCCCATCTCTACTAAAAATACAAAAATTAGCCAGGCATGGTGGCACACACCTGTAATCCCAGCTACTCAGGAGGCTAAAGCAGGAGAATCGCTTGCACCCAGGAGGCGGAGGCTGCAGTGAGCCGCGATCGTGCCAGTGCACTCCAGCCTGAGCAACAGAGCAAGACTCTGTTTCAAAAAAAAAAAAAAAGAATAGGGAAACCAGTTTGGTTAGAATAGGTAAAAGTCATCTGAGCTAATTAACCCAACATCCTATGTTCCAAAGATAGAATGAAACATATAAGAACTGCAGGTCCTTCCAGGCATCTAGGAGAACTACATACAAATGAAGTCCATTAAAAGAAGCCATAGAGTTCATTTTTTAGCTAATTTCATTTTATTATAAAATTAATGAATGCTCATTTAAAAAAAATGAACAATACAGAGATGTACATGAGAGAAGTTCACAGATCCCTCATAATCCCAACCTTCTATATCTAGCATGCATCTTCCTCTTTAGCAGATGGAGCATACACTTTAATACTGTTTCCTATATTTACTTTCAAAATCCAAAAATATACCCATATGCATTGATTTCTCCTTTACTTTATCATAACCATGGTATAAAAACTACACTGTAACTTGTTTTTCATTCAACAAAAGATGGACATCTTTCCAAGTCAACTCATACTGAGCTAGCTTGTACTTTTTAAAGCTGTATAATATTCCACACAGTATGGCAGGTGTGGTGAACTTAGATTTTCATAGAGAGAGGTTTATCTTTACTCCATTCCCTAGGAGGGAAAATACGGAAGGAACATTTCCCCTTTTTCTCCGCCCTAACTCCCTCCCACTCTCCTTCCCAGGGAAGGAGGAATGACTTAATTAGCCAGCTGCTAAATTGAGAAGAGACACTGAGCAGGCCCAGCTCAGGCCTTTGGGGACTTCTCTCTTTGGGAGCCAGCATGCCTTTAGACAAAGGTATTCTCTGTTCTGTGCTCCCTGCACAGAGTTGTTGCACATGTTGTCCTGCCTGGAGTGGTCTTGGAGTGTCTGCTCAGCAGCATCAGTAATTGGGTGGCCAAATCAGTGTCATTCAAGGATAAAGTAGGAAATCTGCCAGGCGTGATGCTATAATCCCAGCACTTTGGGAGGCCGAGGCGGGAGGATGGTTTGAGCTCAAGAGTTCAAGACCAGCCTGGGCAAGAGAGTAAGACCTCATCTCCATGAAAAATTTAAAAAATTACCCAAGCATGATGACTTGCACCTGTAGTCCTAGCTACTTGAGAGGCTGAGGTAGGAGGATCACTTAAGCCGAGCAGATCAAGGCTGCAGTGAGCTGTGATAGTGTCACTGCACTCCAGCCTGGGTGACAGAGTGAGACCCTGTCACGAATGAATGAAAGAAAAGAAAAAAAGAAAAGAAAAGGGAAAAGGAAAAAGAAAAGAAAAGAAAAGAAACCCATTGTGGTCAATCAGCTTTATCATTAATGAAGATAATGATTTGATCTCCCCCGTCTGTCTCTTGGATCTTATTTCCAAATTGGTTCCACATCTAGGAGGAAAGCAGAGTGTTGTCTATTAGTTGCCCGAAACTCCAATACTATGGATGTGACATAATTTACTCAACCGTTCTGCAACTTCCAAGTTATTTTCAGTTTTTTTGCTATTACAAATAGCACCATTGTATCTATATCTTCATGTACTGGTAAATATATGTCTATAAGATAAATTCCTAGCTTGATCTAATAGTACCTATTTTTTAAATTTCATAAATACCACCAGATCACATTCTCCAAAAGTTAAAGCAATGTTTTACTTCCCCCAGTAACATATAAGGGTATGCTCTCCTCACCCTTGCCAGCATAGGGGGCTGTTAATCTGTTAAATCTTTTCAGTGAGATTGTGGAGAACTGGTAGTGCATTAATTTTAATTTGCATTTTCCTTGCTGCTGGTTGAATGCCTTTTCATTTATTACTGGCTTTGGCCAATGAGTTGATTACCCACTGAACTAACGTTTCTAAGTGTTTGTTATAAAAAGGGTGGAGTTACCCAGATGAATTGGATGCACAGATTTTAATCAGTGGTAATTGAGAATTGGTATAAAGTTAAAAGAACAAGCTATGAAGTTAGACAGCTTGAGATAAAGTCCCACCCTAATCCCCTAGTTGTACAACCTTAGCCAAATTATTTGGCCTGTCTCCAATTCTTCTTCTATAAAATAGGAACCATGCAACTACTCTCACAGAATTAAGTGAGTTAATACATGTCAAGTGATTAGCACAGTGCCTGTCACCACACGAACTGTACGATGCATGCTAGATATTATTAGTATCTCTTTTGTTCCATCAAACTCTTTACCCAACACAGTGGCAAGGAGAAAAGCTCAAAGTCACTAATTAGAGTTGATGAATTTCCCTGCACATCCTCCAGTAGGAAGCACATAAGATGAAAAGACCTCCCCAGAAACCCTACCTAGCCTACCAGATGCATAATAAGTTCCAACATAGTCAAAGAACGGGTGTGTCCTAAATCTAAAAACTCAATCAGCCCATCTTCTTTCCCAAATGAGATTTGGGCTGTTAATTGTGCTTTAAAGAGGCCACATTCATTACTTATTTTTTAATCTCTTCATTATTTATTTTAAAATTCTTAGACATACACATTTGAAATAGTAAAAATTAATCAAAAAATATAAACCCAAGCAGCATGAATCAACTAAACCCTGATACTATAGTGTCATGTTTCTTATTAAAAAGTAACTCTGAAATAGCCAGGCATAATGGCACGTGCCTGTAGTCCCAGCTACTCAGGAGGCTGAGGCAGGAGAATGGCTTGAGCCTGGGAGATGGAGGTTGCAGTGAGCTGAGATCACCCCACTGCCCTCCAGCCTGGGCCACAGAGTCAGACTCAAGAAAGACAGAGACAGAGACAGAGACAGAGACAGAGAGAGAGAGAGAGGAGAGGAGAGGAGAGGAGAGAAGAGGAGAGGAGAGGAGAGGGAAACAGAGAAAGAGAAAGAGAGAGAGAGAAAGAGAGAGAGGGAGAGAAAGAGAGAAGAGAAGAGAAGAGAAGAGAAGAGAAGAGAAGAGAAGAGAGGAGAGGAGAGGGAAAGAGAGAAAGAGAGAGAGAAGGAGAGAAAGAAGAAGAGAGGAGAGGAGGGGAGGAGAGAGAAGGGAAGGAAAAGGAAGGGAGGGAGGGAGGAAGGAAGGGAGGGAGGGGAGAGGAGGGGAAGGGAAGGGAAGGGAAAAGGGGGGAGGGGAGGGGAGGAAGGAAGAGGAGAGGACAGGAGAGGAGAGGGGAGTGTATTTGGTTGTTTCATATCACTAAGGAGGCAGTAAGTACAAATATCATCGGGGTTTTCCCAATGGGTAAAATAAAGAGGTTAAACAAGGTCATTTAAAGAGAGAGAAGAAAACGATGGAACAGATTCCCAAGTAACATCTTTTCCCAACAACCTATGTTGTCTCCTAAACAACAACAACAAAAACTGTCTTGAACAGTTATTTTCCTGGTGGACTTAGGTAAAAACTTTATCAGTCCAAAGTGATAAAAACGTTATCACCCCATAGCCATATACGCTCTCCTGTATACCAATAATACTACTTGCTATTTAAGATGCTGCCATGAGTAAGATCTCTGGGGACAATGGAAAATGCAGAACCAGGGCTATATTTTCTTATGCAACACCCCAGGGTGTGGCCAATTATCTCAGAGTGGGTTGTGAAGTTCTCAAAAGTCTCAAAACAAAATTAATTTTAATTTGGTTTAATTTGAAAATAAAACACAATGCCATTTAGCTTTTCCAAAACAGAGATCTTATGGGGCAGGCTGGGATACAGCACAATTGTCACAACTCCAAGAGTGCAGGGACCCAAAGTTTGGTGACCATTGTGCAATGTGGGACTGACGAAATAGGAATATCTGTGATTCTGCCTGGTCCCTAGGAACTGAACTATTTTGAGCTTCTATTATGTAATCACCTTCTCCAAAATATGTGTGTATATTAAAAAGGAAACTCTGATGTGGACCAAGAGTCAAAGTAACTACAATTCTCCGTTAAAAAAAAAAAGAAAAGTAAAGAAAAAGAAAAAACCTTATCCCACCCAACAGCAAACTAGACAACAGTTTTCAAAACCGGGAAACAAGTTACCAATTATAGGTTTTTAAAAACTTAATAATAAACACGTTTTCCTGTGGTGCCTATTAATTCTCCTATCCTCCCATCTCTTGATAATTATAGGAGGAAAGAAGGGGGAGGGATTTGTATCTTTAAAATTTAACCCCACAGAATCTCTAAAGTTACACTTCATTTTTAACCTCCCTTTGTGCCATAAATGGCAACATATCCCTAACTCGCCACAACTACTCCAGCCAAGTCATCGACTATCTCCTTTCTTGCAAAGCCAATGAACAACACCCAGTCTTGGCCTGCCATGATCTCTTGGCAGCCTCTGACACTGCACATTACTCTCTGCTCTTCCTTCTTGAGTCCCTGGCACCACATTCCCACAGCTGTCTTCTCTTACCTCTCTGACCAGGCTTATCCCTCTCCTTTGAGGGCAGTTCCCCTGTTATCCCCCCCTGCAATGATGATGCCCTTCTAGGGGCCATCCCAGGCCAGTGTCTCTGCTATGCCATGTTACATGCCAAGGTAACGTTTCTCGCTCCTATGCCTCCAAATACCATGCCTTCCAAATCTTGATCTCCAGCCCAGATGTCTCTCCTGAAGACACACAGTGAACCCTAAGCATATAGCCCAATGCCTACAGAAATCCTCACTTGCATAAACCATAGACACCTAAATTTCTCTGTCCTTAACAGTTCATCATCTTCCTCTTTGACTATTCCTCCTCCAGGTCTCTTAGCTAACGGTGGGGTTGTTCAACAAGCCAGCTGTTCAGGCCAGAAACTAGAGTTGTATCTCCCTCTCTAACACCCCATTAAATAGAATCAATCACCTCATATTATTTCTTTTGCCTCCTAAGTCTATCTTAAATCTATCCATTTCCCTCCATATAGCTACCTGAATTCAGGGCACCATTCATTTCACCCGGACAACATGCCTCTGACTTTGCACAACCCTCCTGCTCCTCCCCCTTAGTCCTTCTGATCTCAGCTTGAAGTCACCTCCTCCAGGAAGCCCTCCCTTCTGCCCAAGTGCAAGATAGGTGATCTGCTGCAGTGCTGTGGGAACACGCTCAGCTTCTGCAGTCACAGCACTTCTCACTCTGTATTGTAATGACCTCTTTACCTGGGCAAAAAACTTCAAGAAGGCGGAAACCATGTCTATCCTTTTTACCAATGCATCCAGAGTGCCTGGCATATATTAGGGTCTCAATATTCTGAATGAATGAATGAATGAATGAATGAATGAATGAATGATATGCTCAGGAGCAAGGGAAATTGGCCAGCATGCTAGGGAAATTTTTAAAATGTAGAAAAGGGAAAGATAGAGCAGAGAACAGGTAATAAAGGCCTTGAAAGACCGTGCTTACTCTTTATTCTGTAGGAAATATAGTTTTGGTAACTTCCTGCTGGCAAGGATTTAAAAAAAGAAATACAGTTTCAGGCCTCTACCAGACATTGAGAAAACCTTTACTGAAAGGCTGATGTGTAAGAATGGAATGTTTTAGAGCTATAGGTGACTTCAGTAAAAGTGTTCCTCTCTAATATATAGGTGTCATTTTAATAATCAAAGTTATTTAGGCTGGGTGCAGCGGCTCATGCCTGTAATTCCAGCACTTTGGGAGGCCAAGGCAGAAGGATTGCTTGAGCCCAGGAGTTCAAGACCGGCCGGGGCAACATAGCAAGATGCCATCTCTACAAAAAACTTAAAAAAAAAAAAAAAAAAAAACTAGCCGGGCATGGTGATGCACACCTGTAGTCCCAGCTACTCAGGAGGCTGAGGCAGGAGGATCACTTGAGCCCGGGAGGTCTAGGCTGCAGTGAGCTATGACTGCACCACTGCACTCCAGCCTGCCAAGACCCTGTCTCAAAAGAATAATAACAATAATAATGATAATAATTTTAAGGTTATTTCATGTACGTCTATTGGAAATGATTAATTCAAACCCAATCTGATTTCCAATCAAATCCTCACTCCCAACTTAATGGAAAACATTATAGCTAACTCCATTTATCCAACCCCAGCAGTATCACTGAAAGCAGAAAATCATTTTACATCCTTATAGAAGAAAAAAGAAGCCAGGCGCAGTGGCTCATGCCTGTAATCCCACTACTTTGGGAGGCCAAGGCGAGATAAATGCTTGAGCCCAGGAGTTGAAGACCAGCCTGGGCAACAAAGAAATAACTTGTCTCTACAAAAATTAAAATAATTAGCCAGATGTGGTGCGCTCACCTGTAGTCCCAGCTACTTGGGAAGCTGAGGCAAGAGGATCACTTGAGCCTAGAAGTTCAAGGCAGCTGTGAGCTATGATCACACCACTGTACTCTAGCCTGGGAGGCAGAGTGAGATTCTGTCTCTAAAAAAACAAAAACAAAAACAAAAACAAACAAGAAGAAGAAGAAAAAGAAAAGGAAAAGAGAGAAGATAGTAAGTATAATGGGACTGATAGAAACAACTGTTAAAAATTGATTCCTAGGGTCCAGGTGCAGTGGCTCATGCTTATAATCCCAGCACTTTGGGAGGCTGAGGCAGGCGGATCACGAGGTCAGCAGATTGAGACCAGCCTGGCCAACATGGCAAAACCCCATCTCTACTACAAATACAAAAATTAGCTGGGCATGGTGGTGCCTATATTCCCAGCTACCCAGGAGGCTGAGGGATGAGACTCTCTTGAATCCAGGAGGTAGAGGTTGCAGTGAGCCATGATCGCACCACCTCACTCCAGCCTGGGCAACAGAGCAAGACTGTCTCAAACAAACAAAGAAACAAACAAACAAAAAATTGTTGATTCCTAGGGATGGCTATAGTTGCTCATACTATCTACACCCTCCAAATCACAGGAGGGCCTACTGCCTTGCTTCCTCAACTCTTGCTCTTAAAATCAAACAGAATGTGATGTCAGCCTTTTTGCCTGCCCAAATTCGTAGTTAGCAAATACCCTGTTTTTGTGTGCTTAAGGTTTTTTTTTCCAAAAAAGACAATTCCAAAGAGGAATACAATGAAAAGGCATGCAAGCAAATAAATATAAAATATGTATATGCAAATATAACACTGATCTACACAGACCATCAATAGCATATTTAATAAATGTTTCAACATGATAGGACGCTCAAAAATACAGGAGGTAAAAAGACAAAAAGCGTGATTTAGCTTCCTTGGATGGTGATATGGGTTGGATCAGTGTCCCCACCAAATCTCATGTTGAATTGTAATCCCCAGTGTTGGAGGTGGGGCCTGGTGGGAGGTGGCTGGAATATGGCCGTGGATTTCTCATGAATGGTTTACTGTCATCCCCTTGGTGCTGTTCTCGTGATAGTGAGTGAGTTCTCACAAGATCTGGTTGTTTGGAAGTGTTTAGCACCTCCACCCTCACTCTCTGTTGCTACTCTGGTCACATGACATGCCTTCTCCCACTTCACCTTCCACCATGATTATAAGTTCCCTGAGGCCTCCCCAGAAGCTGATGCGGCCATGCTTCCTGTACAGCCTGCAGAACCATAAGGCAATTAAGCCTTTTGTTTTACTAAATTACCCACTCTCAGGTATTGCTTTATAGCAGTGTGAGAATGGACTAATACAGATGGATTCTATGAAGAAAATGTGAGTTTTCATCCATATCACACAAAACTGAAACCTGTGGCCTCTGAGTAATAGAAACTGGTGTCTTCTAGATGTCTGCATCCATGAAAGAAAAAAAAAAACTTCTGGAAGTTAATCTAGAACTTAAATCTCAAAATTCCATGAATCATAAAAATTAAAACAGGTTTTTAATAGATACCACATTGAATGGAAATATTTTATCAGAAATGATTAAAGCCTCATTTTGGAAAATACCTGAAAGAGTCAAAATACATTTGGCTGTTCATGAATAGAAAGACATATAAGAGATTTATGAAGAAACAGACCAGAAATCAGACAACTTTTAAAATCTGAGTACTACATGCAGAGCTAGGCAGTGCAAGTATCTTGGAATACCAGGTTTAAATAAGACAGGGCCAGGCATGGTGGCTCACTCCTGTAATCTCAGCACTTTGGGAGGCCGAGGCGGGTGGATCACTTGAGGTCAGGAGTTCGAGACGAGCCTGGCAAACATGATGAAACCCTGTCTCTACTAAAAATACAAAAATCAGCCAGGCATGGTGGCAGGTGCCTGCAATCCCAGCTACTCTGGAGGCTGAGGCAGGAAAATTGCTTGAACCAGGGAGGTAGAAGTTGCAGTGGCCGGGATCACGCCACTGCACTCCAGCCTAGGCAACAGAGTGAGACTCTGTCTCAAATAAAGTACAAAGAAAGGAGAAAGACAAACATGTAGGGGATGGGAAGTAAGTATGAAGAGGAAAGACAAAAAGGATGTGGTAACAGTTGGTTCCTCACGAGACAGTTATAAAGCTCAGATAAGGTCTTAGCACCGACCACACAGTGTAAACAATAAAAACTCTGGACAGAGTCTAATTATTTTTCCAATTGAATGTGAGGGTCTCATGGACAGAAACATAGCGGTTCATTACTTTGGATTCTTGGCACCTAGCACAGTGCCTGGCACATAAGAAGTACAATCCTGCGTCGCTTAACAATGGGAATACGTTCTGAGAAACACGACATTAGGCAATTTCGTCATCATGCAAGCATCATAGAGTGTACTTAAATCAACCTAGATGGTGTAACCTACTGCATACCTAGGCTAGATGATATAGCCTATTATTACTTGCAGGTTACACATCTGTACAGCATCTTACTATACTGAACACTGCAGGCAAGTATTTGTGTATCTAAACATAGAAAAGATACAGTAATAATACAGCAGAAAAAATGTATAATGGTACACCTGTCCAGGGCATTTACCATGAATGGAGCTTGTAGGACTGGAAGTTGCTCTGAGTGAGTCAGTGAGAGGGTGGTGAGCCTAGGACATGAGTGTACACTTTTATACAACTGGCAGCATGGTAGGTTTGTTTACACCAGCATCACTACAAACACGTGAGCAATGTGTGCTGTGACATTACGACAGCTAGGGAATAGGAATTTTTCAGCTCCATTGTAACCTTATGGGACAACTATAGAATACATGGTCCTTCATAGACCAAAACGTTGTTATGTAGTACATGACTGTATATGAAAACAGTTCCATTCACAGGATCCACACTGATTGCAAATTGTATCAGCTAACCAATTTTTGAAGAGGACTTTTCAAAGCAAAAAGTTAGTTATGACTTCTTAAAGTTCTTTGTTATTTTCACATGTGACATTAGGGGTACATGTCAGAAGTGAGGCAGTATTAGTCACAAGAGGCAAATTAATTTACCCTTGATACACCATTTAATAAGACAGTCAAGAAAGAAAGTTTGCAGAAAAGCCACTGTCTGGTAGATACTAAAGGCAGAATGAAGACTTCTGCAAGCAAGCAAAGGAAACAGACACCTCAAAAACCATTCTCTCTCCTAAGTGCTGATCTCCTATAAGATCCCACAAAAGAAAAAAAATTTAATTACTAAAAATAATATAATGAGGAAGGATCAAGAAGAAAAATTGCCTTTAGCATAGACACTGCTTCTTTTTAAGTCAAGTATTTTAAGCTCCGGTTCTTTTTTTCTTAGAGATGGGGTCTCACTCTGTTGCCCAGGTGGGAGTGCAGTGGCGAGATTATAGGTCACTGTAACCCTGTAACCTCAAAATCCTGGGCTCAAGTGATCCTTCCATCTCAGCCTCCCGACTAGCTAGGACTAGAGGCACGAGCCACTGAACCCAATTTGTCCTTTAATTGTTTTATTTATTTATTTATTTATTTTTTTGAAATGGAGTCTCACTCTGTTGCCCAGGCTGGAGTGCAGTAGCACAATCTCGGCTCACTGCAACCTCTGCCTCCTGGGTTCAAGCGATTCTCCTGTCTCAGCCTCCCGAGTAGCTGGAACTACAGGCACACGTCGCCACGCCTGGCTATTTTTTGTTCTTTCTTTCTTTTTTTTTTTTTTGTATTTTAGTAGAGACGCAATTTCACTGTGTTGTCCAGACTGGTCTCAAACTCCTGAGCTCAGGCAATCCACTCGCCTCGGCCTCCCAAAGTGCTAGGATTACAGGCATGAGCCACTGCACCTGGCCTTTTTATTTTTTTGTAGAGACTGGATCTCACTAAGTTTCGTAGGCTGGTCTCTAACTCTTGGGCTCAAGTGATCCTCCCACCTTGGCCTCCCAAAGTGCTAGGATCACGGGCATGAGTCACTGCATCCAGCCAATGCTCAAGTTCTTTAAAAAATATATATACTTTTCTCTTCACAAGAAGCTGAAGAAACAGTATCACCTGCTGACAATGATATATACAATTAAAACAAGGTGGGGCTCAGTGGCTCACGCCTATAATCCCAGCACTTTGAGAGGTCAAAGTAGAAGGATCACTTGAGGCCAGGAGTTCAAGACCAGCCTGGGCAACAAAGTGAGAACCTGTCTCTACAAAAAGTAAAATAATTAGCTGGGCATAGTGATGTGCACCTGTAATTCCACCTACTAAGGAGGCCTAGGCAGGAAGATTGCTTGAGCTCAAGAGTTCAAGGTTACAGTGAGCTGTGATTGCACCACCGCAGTAAATCCTGTGCAACAAAGTGAGACCCTGTCTTTAAAAAAAAAAAAATTACAACCTATATCATACAGGCCAATAGATGGAATGACTGTCTGCAAAGAGCTATTTAGAACTTCACTATGAAAACCTGTGCTTCTGTTTCTGTTTAATACAATACAGTGTCATGGCTATGAGCACAGGATCTGGAGCCTGTATGGATCCAAACCTGAGGTCCACTACCCACCTTCTTCTAGAAAATAGACATATGCCCTACCTCATCAAGTAATTGTGAGTTTTTAATATTTTAATGTGTAAAATATTAATACTGATAACAGTGCTGGCAAAGGACTCTCAAAGTGTCTGTTATGATAATGATGATGATTTTTACTTCAGAAATAGCTAATTTTTAATTTTTTTTGAGACAGTCTCACTCTGTCGCCCAGGCTGGAGTGCACTGGTGCAATCTCAACTCACTGCAACCTCTGCCTCCTGGGTTCAAACAATTCTCATGCCTCAGCCTCCCTAGCAGCTGGGATTACAAGCACGTGCCACCACGCCCAGCTAGTTTTTGTATTTTTAGTAGAGGTGGGGTTTCATCATGTTGGCCAGGCTGGTCTCGGACTCCTGACCTCAGGTGGCCCGCCCACCTTAGCCTCCCAAAGTGCTGGGATTACAGGTGTGAGCCACTACGTCCAGCCTACTATTCATTTTTATTCCATCTCAAAGATTATAAAGAGGTCTAGCTTCATAATCATTCATTATAATTATGGTCAGAACTCCACAATTTACACAGCTATTTCATACATATTAGAAACACTAAACATTTCATAATGGTCTAACCTACCATCAAGAATGTCCTGCCTACAGTCAGTACCCTGAAGAAAACAGCACTAAAGACCTCCCAGGGTGGTGTTTCAACAATTAAACATAGGCCAGAACTTTGTCACCTTTGCCAGTGCTTGGCCTTCGATCTTCAGGAAGGTACATTTTCTCCTGGTTCATTTTCTTAAGCAGCCAACAGATGGGTTTAGACCTATCTCGGGGATGATAACAAATATATCTATTTCAAAACCCACCAAGGTCCGCAGATACGGACAATAAAGTGAAGCACAGCATCTGGGCTTTTTGTTTGTTTTATTTTTATTTTTTGTAGAGACGCAGTCTTACTTTGTTGTCCAGGCCAGTCTTGAACTCCTGGGCTAAAGAGATCCTCCTGCCTCAGTCTCCCAAAATGCTGGGGTTACAGGTGTGGGCCACTGTGCCCAGACAAAGCACAGCATTTTGATTTCTGTAATCTCAGCACTTTGGGAGGCCGAGGTGGGTGGATCACGAGGTCAGGAGATTGAGACCATCATGGCTACCACGGTGAAACCCCGTCTCTACTAAAAAATACAAAAAATTAGCCAGGCATGGTGGTGGGAGCCTGTAGTCCCAGCTACTCGGGAGGCTGAGGCAGGAGAACGGCGTGAACCTGGGAGGCAGAGCTTGCAGTGAGCCGAGATCGTGCCACTGTGCTCCAGCCTGGGCAACAGAGTGAGACTCCGTCTCAAAAAAAAAAAAAAAAAACAAAAAACTTGGTAAATGTTTCCAAGGCATTATCCTAAAATGTTTGCTTTCTCTGACACTTTTCTTTTCTTACTTTTGTCTCTTTCCCCAAAGCTCAGCCTAACTGCCACCACCCCTGCCACCTCACTTCCCTCTTTCCCTTTACTCTGAAGCCAGTTCCCCTAAATTCCTCCTGGTAGAATGGATAACTGGGGAGACTCCCTGGCATTGAGTGTCACTCGCAAGACTCGTGTCCCACAGGTACCTGAAAGGTTCTCAGTGCTCTATTCTAACATTAAAGTGCTCTATACCCATGTGGAAGGAAATGTACTGTGATTTTATGTGTAAACCCCTTAGCCCTATACAGTATACAATTAATTTTTTCAATGGCGTAAACTTAAAAAATCTACTACTTTGGAACCCCACTAAGCCAAGATGCAACTTCGTGTCTCCTACTGTGGTTTTTTTCTATTTCTGTTTTACATTTAAATTGGACCATTCCAAGTATAAGCGGAAGTCACTTTCTGCTGCTACTAGTTAGTCCCCAGGGATATAAGTTCTGTGGGCAAGGGGGTTGGAATTAGGCAGAGGGGCACTCAGGAAAGTTGACAAAGTTGATAAATAAAGTTGATAATAAAAAAAGTTGATAAATAAAAATCAAACATGTTGATAAATAAAAATAAAACATGTTGATTCAATGAATAATCCTCTAAGCTGTCCCACAGAACACCACTTCCCTTTAGAGCACAGGATAAGGTTGCTATGGCTACCAAGTTCAAAGATCTCATCCTTGCAATCCTTATCAAACGCTAATCCCTGGAACACATGTGTTAGAAAAGCATCATAGAATTCTGGGAAATAAATATTTTAAAATTAATAGTTATTGTTATTGTTGTTGTTCTAAATATGACGGTCCTTCCAGGTATACTTCAAGTACACCTGGAGTCAGAGTGAAGACATTCATTCCCTGATTCTGGACCAGCCACCAACGAGCTCTGTGACAAGCACACCATGGGATGCAATCATTGTCTGGTATGAACTGAACATGAGACGATTCATCTAGTCCCTGAGGGGCTAAGCTTTCTAACTAGGAAAATCAGAAGATCGTATTAATGATCCATAAAATTCTAACTCAAAAATTCCTATAAATGTTTTTAATGGGTTTTTTTTTTTCCAACTTTTAAGTTCAGGGATACCTGTGCAGGATGTGCAGGTTTGTTACATAGGCAAACGTGTGCCATGGTGATTTGCTGCACAGACCATCCTATCACCTAGGTATTAAGCCCAGCATTCATTAGTTATTCTTCCTGATGCTCTCCCTCTCCCCACCCCCACACCCCACAAATGTTGGCTGTTATTCTGCATGCTTCAAGTCTACTATCTCATTTAATCTTTGCAACAACCCTCAATGTGCTACTGAGAAAACTCACACAAAGTTAATGGCCCCAAAACCCTCAGCTGTAGGGCAGCTCCATTAGTCAAACTGAGGTGCTTAGGCTGCATGCAGTTGCCTCTCAAGATCTCATTCTTGTACAGGAGAAAATCTGAATTAAGCCCCATTGTGTGCTGTTCCCCCCAACCATGTGTCCATGTGTTCTCATCATTCAGCTCCCACTTATAAGTGAAAACATGCAATATTTGGTTTTCTGTTCCTGCATTAGTTTGCCGAGGATAATGGTTTGTAGCTCCATCCATGTCCCTGCAAAGGACATGATTTCATTCATTTTTATGGCTGCATAGTATTCCATGGTGTATATGTACCACATTTTCTTTATCCAGTCTATCCAGTCAACCTAAATGGGCATTTAGGTTGATTCCATGTGTCTGTTATTGTGAATAGTGCTGCAATGAACATATGCATGCATGTATCTCTAAAATCACTTACATTCCTTTGGGGATAGACCCAGTAATGGGATTGCTGGGTCAAACGGTATTTTTGCTCCTAGGTCTTTGAGGAATCACCACACTATCTTCCACAATGGTTGAACTATTTTACATTCCTACCAACAGTGTAAAAGTGCTCCTTTTTCTCCACAATCTTGCCAGCATCTGTTGTTTTTTAACTTTTTAATAATAGCCATTCTGACTGGTATGAGATGCTATCTCATTGTGGTTTCGATGTGCATTTCTCGAAAGATCAGTGATGTTGAGCTTTTTTTCATATGTTTATTGACCATATAATAGAAGCAGCAAGGCTATCCCACCAAACATCCACTCCTCCTCAAAGTTCAGCTCACCAGAACATACACAGGTGTCTAGTAGGTACTGGGGATTTGCCGGGGGTTGGATTAAAGAAATAAAACAATAGTAATTTCCCCACAAGAACCGGAAAAAGGCAAGCCCTGAATCTTTCCCTCCTTTTGGTGACCACTGCAATTTGCTTCCGCCAGCCTACTGCACCCATGACATGTCTGTCTTCTGCCACAAGGATATGTCATCTCCATTACTAGCCTGGCTCTTCTCTGAAGAGAGGACCCTTATCCAGTAGACCTTCGCTTTGCCCAGAGAGCAGACACTTTCATGGGCTCTTTTCAACAAACCCTGATAGCTCTTGATGTCCTCCTACTTGCTCCGATTTCCCCTTCATTCCTTTTCCCAACCACTTCCACTCACCCTTGCCCTCATTACTTGCCGTTTTCCCCTCCCTCAGCCCTGCTATGTTCCCTTATTGGCTCACCCCTGCCATCTCCTGAGGGCCTACCCAGTGGGGACTCTTGGGCCCCTCGGACAGCTCGCTAACCCCTTTCTTGCTCCAATAAACACCACAGCTCTGTGTCACTCATACCCTACTCTCTGACCCTCATAGAATGAGCTGCTCTAATTTTTGGCACTAAGCTCAAGACTTGTCTACACTTGATGAACCTGACAACAAAATCCCACTTTGAGCTGCCCTTAACCTCATGAGAATTGCTGGACTTTAAATATGAATTTCTGGCTTTTAAATTTGACACCATCTCTCTATTTTACCACTTAGCAAATACCAATTACTTGATACTTTTGATGTTTTACATTCAGAGACATACAATGTATCCATGGGCAAGTGCATTTAATGAAAACTTTCATTTAATAAATGGCATCTCTTACATAAACTTGCAACATGTTTTCCAATTGGAGACCTAGAAAGGCTTCATTAGAACTTAAAATTTAAGAATTAAAGAAAGTGAAATGACCAGGAACCAGTTTGATTTAGCCTAAGCTGAGTTTAATGAGACATATAATTAAAATAGAAATACTAGCAAATGATTACCTTGAGCCAATCAGTTTCAGGCAGTGCTAATAGCAGGTTAAAAATAGAAACAGGATGATTTCATCTTGCCTACTTCTCAGCTGCCAAAGTACTTGCCTGTTGAGGGCATTTCCCATCTTGTGGCTGCAGTGGGGAGAGATGAATTATGAATGACAATCTGGCCACAACTTCGACTGTTATGGTGACTCCCCGCTCCCCAGGTTCCACACTAAGATGAGGAAGCCCAGGCCACCTCTGGATGGCCAGAGCATCTCAGGAAGGATAAAGCCACCACAGGTGGAGGAGGAAACGCCACACCCTGGCCCATTTCACCTGCCCAGGGTGAGACCTTTCCTTTCTTAGATTTCTTTTCTTTCTCCTCCTAGTACCATCTCCCTTCTGCCTTCTTCTTCCCCTCCCTTTTCCACCCCCACTTGATTCTATTTTCTCCTGCTGGCCTTTGCGTCCATCTGTTTTCTTCTTTCTTGAACTCCAATATGGATGGAAAGTAGTCACAGACTCATTCAATTAAATAAAAATTCCCAGAGAGCCTCTCTCTGACTTCAGGGACTGTGCTACACCGTACTGTGCTTACAAAAATGGCAGAAGCTTTGCTATCCACCTTCTAGAGAAAGAAGTAAAACAAGCACAGCAGACCACTTACACATAAGGCGGCCTCGGTGCCCACGCGTGTGAAACACACACCCTGTGGGTGTCCAAAGGGGAGGGTGCACGCCTGCATGGAGACCAGATGATGAGGGAGGGATCGTTCTAAGTGGAGACTGTGTTTCCCAATATACAGCACTATGAGAGGGCAGGGTATATATGTTTATAATTTAGTGCCTCTGAATAATGAGAGATTAGTTTACATCTATAGTAAATTTAAGGAAGGGCTACCAGCACACAGAACTTCTCATAGACAACACTATGGGATACAAGAGCCTGGGCTCTAGAGTCGGAACAATTATGGTTTAAATCCCTGCTCATCTACAAAGATCACAGGGTAACCTATGTAGACGCCTGGGTTACCCTGGATAAATTGCTCAAATTCCTTGGTTATAAAATAGGCGTATAATGCCTATTTCCAGAGTTGTTAGGAGAATCTGAGTAATGCATGGAAAGTATTTGACATTGTCTTAGTCCATTCAGGCTGCTATAACAAAATACCTTAGACTAGGTAATTTGTAAACAACAGACATGTATTGCTCATGGATCCAGAGGCTGGGAAGTCCAAGAGCAAGCAGATTGGTGTCTGGGTGAGGACCCATTCCTCATAAATGGCACCTTCTACGTGTCCTTACATAGCAGAACGGCCAAACAAGCTCCCTCCAGTCTCTTATAAAAACACAAATCCCACACCAAAGGCCCACCTCTTAATATTATTGCATTAGGAATTAGGTTTCAACATATGAATTTTGGAAGGACACAAACATTCAGACCACAGCAACATCTAACATACTGCTAATCTTCCTCCTGAGTCCATACATAATTAAGGACCTCTCATTTCTGGAATATTGGGAAGAGACCTTCCTCTATTCTCTCCCTCAGTCTGCCCAAGGGAAGGGAATGAGTGACTCTGAGAGACCCTTTCTCCCAGGCGAGCAATGCCTTGGGTCTGTTCTCTGGCCTCTTTCCTAAGCTGCCAGCCCACAGACTGCCCCTTGCCCCTTCCTCCTGCCCCCAGTGAGCCAAACCCCTGTGACACCGTGCAGCTGCTCCAACCACGGCAGGGGTAAATCAGAACCATTCAGGTTGCAGGAGCTCCTCCCTTAACTCAGGTCCATATCGACACCTCCATTTTAGCTTTCTCCACATCAAAGTTGATATCTGGAACTCTGGCTGACACCTGTGTGTGTTTTCCGATTGATTGTCAACTCATAGGAGGGGGTGACAATGGAACTCTCAAACCCCAACCATTATTATAACTATGGGAGATGACAGGGAATTTTTCACAGATAGAACAGTTTCAGAAAACACAATGGAAAGGATTGGCAGTACATGCGTAAAAAGGACAAGTAATATAAAGTGCTCTTCAGACAGAGAAGCTCCCCAGCCTGATCTCCTACTCCTCTCCAGAGAGGCCAACCTGTAGCCACAGAGAACTCCCTGTCCTCTGCGTCACCTCCCCTTTATGACTCCCTCACTCAAGGCACCTGGCAGGCTGCCCTGTCCTCCAGGCTGGAAAGTAACTAAAATAAACTGTAACATAATCCATGGTATGATCTACCTGGAAAAAAAAATATGTTTACAGAAAGGAGAAGTCTGCAAGGATTCTACTAAAACAAACCAAAAAATAAGTTTACTAAGACTATGTGAGGATATCCCCAGCCCTCTATAGGTGAGCAGGTGCCACAACCAGCTGAGCCAGGTACAGCCACATGACACACCTGGGTCCAGCTGACCAGCTTGGCTCAACCACCATGACTGTGATGCTCACCCACTAACTCCCTTTGCTTCTGATTATACTTTGAATTTGCCAGGAAAGTCTCCTAGACAGGATATAAAAGCAATGGCTATCCAACATCAGTATTTTCATCCTGTTTATTAGCTGTGTAAGTCAAAGGAAATGGATAAAATGGCATTCCGTCTGGTTGGTATCCATCTCTCTAAGCCCTGCCAAGTGTTAAGTCCACCAACAAAAATCAGATTACTTAGCAAAGCTAAGAACAGTACCCAGAACAGTTGTGACTGCACAAAAGTATTGCTTCTGGCAAAACCCTGCCCAAAAGGCTTGCCAGCCCCAAAATGCCATTGATATCTCTTTGTATTAGTCTGTTTTCACACTGCTGATAAGGATATACCTGGGACTGGGAAGACAAAGAGGCTGAATTGGACTTACAGCTCCACATGGCTGGGGAGGCCTCTGAATCATGGCAGGAGGCGAAAGGCACTTCTTACATGGTGGCAGCAAGAGAAAAATGAGGAAGAAGTAAAAGTGGAAACCCCCAATAAACCCATCAGATCTCGTGAGACTTATTCACTATCATGAGAATAGCATAGGAAAGACTGGCCCCCATGATTCAATTATCTCCCCCTGTGTCCCTCACATAACACGTGGGAATTCTGGGAAACACAATTCAAGTTGAGATTTGGTGGGGACACAGCCAAACCATGTTACTCTTCCGTTTAAATTTAACAGTATTTTAGCAATGCATGGAGTCTTTGGACAGGAACTCAAAGCAAGAGGGGCAGGAAGAGGCAGGGACCTGCATCAGGCCCACCCATGAGGGGAGGGTATGTAGGGAACCACCCAGGTGCCAGCGCTGATGTGGAAGTCCAGCCTGGCTGGCAAAGCTAGTACCAAGGTTGGTAAAACCCCTAGTCCCCATGCAGATGGGGTTGGTGAGGGGGGACAGGTGGAGGACGGGACACTAAGGTAATGTCATGTCACAGCAGGTGGACAGAGAACAGTGGGTGATTATCTAGTGTAGCCCACACTGGCAGACAGGTGGGCAAGGGACGGACAATGACCCTTGGGAGTGGATCCTAGTCACTAAGCCAAGGTTCTGACTACACCTCAGTCCCTTGAAGGATGACAAGCCCCTGTGTGTCTATAAGCCCCAAATTTTGTGGTGAGCAGTTAGCGTGTCTCCCCACAACCATCCTCCGCCAAATGAACCATGGAGGACACAAATCCAGCTGTGTCTGTCCCAGGCTGAGAGCCCTTTAGGTACACCCTCATTCCCTACAGAATGGAACCCTGCCATCATCTTACCATTCTCCCTCTACTCCCTACATCTCTCCCCCTTTTAGGAAAGCTTCCCTCATCCTTACCCTCCTGCTCCCAACCCCTGAGCACATACACATGCTGGGCTAAATGTCTACCTCGAACCACCTCTGTACCACCTCTATACTACCTATATGTACCTAACATTATAACTGCAGTGTGTGTGTGTGTGTGTGTGTGTGTGTGTGTATTTTAGCTAAATTTGAGTTCTCTGAAGATAAGGACAAGTTTTATTCATCTGTGTAAGGGCAGGCATAGTGGCTCACATCCATAATCAGCACTTTGGGAGGCTGAGGTGAGAGGATCGCTTGAGGCAAGGAGTTCAAGATCAGCCTGGGTAGCATAGTGAGACCCCATCTCTACAAAAAAAAATTTAATTAGCTGGGCACAGTGACACATGCCTCAAGTATCAGCTACTCAGGAGGGTGAGGTGGGAGGATTGCTTGAGCCCAGGGGTTTGAGGCTACAGTGAGCTATGATCACACCACTGCACTCCAACCTGGGTGACAGTGACAGAGCAAGACCCTGACAATCAATCAATCAATCAATAGCAAATGTGATGGGTAATTTCATATGCCAACTTGGCTAGGCCAAAGTACCCAGATATTTGGTCAAACATTATTCTAGATGTTTCTGTGGAGGTATTTTCAGATTAAATTAATATTTAAATCAGTAGAATTTCAGTAAGGCAGGTTACCATGCATAATATTGGGGGGCCTCATCCAATCAATTGAAGGCCTTAATAGAAAAAGTTTGACCTCCCTGGAAGAAAAGGGAATTCTGACAGCAGACTGCCTTTGAACTTGAACTTCAAATCTTTCCTGGATCTCCAGATTTTAGACTTGTCAAGCCTCCATAATCTTTCGCTCTCTCCACACTTACATACAAATACACACATACACACCTGGTTGGTTTTGTTTTGTGTGGAGAACGCTGGCTAATATCTTAAGCCTAGCACCCATGACAGTGTCCAACATATGGCAACAAAAATTTATTTTATTCTCTAGGGTCCAAGCACTTTCCATATTTTTTCATCCCACCTCTTAACCAACCTATAAGACAAGTATTATTACCTCCACTTAACAGATGAAAAGACTAAAACACAGGGGAAGGTTTGGTAACTTGCTCAAGGCTTCATAGGTAGTTAATATCAATTCTACCTGCTGTCTCCCATCAATAAATGATTTGGGGCTCATGCCTCTAATCCCGATGCTTTGGGAGGCTGAGGTGGGAGGATCACTTGAGGCTAGGAGTTCAAGACCAGCCTAAGCAACAGAGCAAGACCTTGCCTCTAAAAAAAATACAAAATATTAGCCCAGCATGGTGGTGTACACCTGTAGTCCTGGCTACTCGGGAGGTTGAGGCTGGATGATCGCTTGAGCCTAGGAGCTTGAGGCTGCAGTAAGCTATGATAGTGCCACTGTACTCCAGCATGGGTCACAGTGAGACTGTATCAATCAATCAATCAGTCAGTCAATGATTTGGGAGGAAAACAATGGGAGTAAGAGGGCTGAATTTTGCTGAAAGCCAAAGTCTTGCTTATATGCAACATGTAGGAACAAAGAAAGCAGCACAAGGAGGCAGTGTCTTCACCTGCTTATGTGCGCCATCTCCAACAATGCTTCTGGCATATCTATTGACTGGGTCCTCTCTCTCCACTCTACAGCCCCAGCACTTAAAAACCCATGTGCCCTGGGTGTTGTCACCTTTCCTGGAGCCCAGGGTGAGGGAATCAAAACCAGAAAGAGAAATGAGAGTGTGTGAGATCTTATGTAGAATGGAGAAGAAACTGTTGCCTTGTACCACGTTGACTAGCAAGCTCTTCCCTGGGGCTAGTAGGTCTCTGAATCTGGAGGGTCCCCAACAAGGCCAGCCTGAAATGTCGCCACTTTGGGGCAGAGTCCTGGGGGAGGCTTTCAAGAAGTAGCACATATGTGAATATTTGATCAAAGGTACGTCTGTGGCAATGCAAAGAGCTAAAAACTGTATCTGGGTCTGGGACTTAAGACAACTACGTGAGAGAGACAACGTGTACTTCTGAAAGTAAATAAACTAACCAGAAATTCAGAGGAAAAGCCACAGAGACTTGGGTCAGGCTCAGTGATCAATTTCTAGTTAATTTAACAGGTTCTACACTCTGACATGGAGAAAGCAAAGCATAAGCTGTGGGCATCTGAGCCTTTCAGCTTTAAGCAAAACCTACAGCCTATAAACACGGTTAATGAAACAAATTTACCAAGTTAGGTGGAAATGTTTATTGCAAAGTTAAACTTATTGGGATAAAAATAACCTTTTATGTTTATTCCTCTAAAACATCTTTGACTACCATGACTTGCTCGTTCCGATATTAAAGTCCTCCCAAAGACATGAGACAGGATTCCTAAACTGCCTGGAATGTTTAAACGCCGACCAACAACTCCACTGGCACTAAATGAATTCAGATGTCTAGGCTTCTTACTGTGCCACATTTACTGATTCTGAAGGATGAGTAAAGTAGCAAGCATGCCATCTTGGAAAGAGCAGGGACTTTGGTGCCAATCAGTTTTGCCTTGGGCAAGGAATCTAATCTCGAGTCTAGGTCTCATCTGTAAAGTGAGGGAGGGAAAAGGATTATTATTAGGATAATTCTTAAAATTCCATAACAAGATACATACAACACATCCTGCACAAGCATCGAAATGGCCCCTCCACATGCAACTAATGCATACGGTGGGTGTTCATGGGGAGTGTGCCCCAGGGCAAGTCTCTGCTGTGGTTTCAGAGAGTTCACCTTCTCCTTCCCACTTTCCCACTGAAAATAGTTTCAAATTCTAGTTTTACAAATTTAAAATCATCTACAAAACCAGAAAAGATTCAGCTATCTCAATTTTCAACAAAGAAGAGAAGGAGGAAAAGAGAGTCACATCACTAAGTGGTAGACCCTGGATTCATGAATATGAAAGAATAAGTCAAAAAAAGAATAATGCCTATGGTCAGGTAAAGAAGGGAAGGAGACTGGTGGTACACACCTGTAATATCAGCACTTTGGGAGGCCAAGGCAGGAGGATCACTTGAGGCCAGGAGTTTGAGACCAGCCTGGGCAACAGGGTGAAACCCCATCTCTACAAAGAATACAAAAATTAGCTGAGTGTGGTGGCAAATGCCTGCAATCCCAGCTACATGGGAGGCTGAGGCGGGAGGATTGCTTGACCCCAGGAGGTCAAGGCTGCAGTGAGCCAAGATTGCACCACTGCACTAAGTGACAGAGCAAGACCTTGTCTCAAAAAAAAAGAGAGAGAAGAACTGTAAGAGAGCACAGGTTTTCTACCTACGTTTAAAAATAAAGTTACAGCACTATATGGATCATGTGTAAGAGGCAACCCTACGAACTACAAGGGCATCTAACGAGAAGGATTAGAGGGTATTCAGAGATGCCTCAGTCTTTGTAGAGACAAGAAACTGTAGGCTAAGAATGCTAAATAACACAATGCATACACACACATAAAAGCTGGCTTGTCCTTAGAAATAGCAAGTTGCCTAATCATCATGGGAGACATGAAATTCCCATGTGAGCAAAAATTTAGAACGAGTCCCTAAAGGAGTAAATGCTCAGACAAACCATACCATACATAGCATACTTACACCCTAGAAAATCCTGCTTCCTCCTGAAGACCCTCAGCACATTCCAGGTAGTTCTGTTACAGTCTCACCAATGCACCACAATGTAGTAATTTCTCATTCTGAGGTATTACCTGGCATTCTTTGTCTCACGACCAAGAGAATTAAGGAGTGTGGACACAAAGGGTGAGGTTGGAGGGAAAGTTTAATAAGCAAAAGAAGAAAGCTCTCTGCCGCAGAGAGAGGGCCCAGAAGAGGGTTGCCATTTTTACAGTTGAATGCAAAGCCTTTTATAAGAAACTGATGAGGGCTGGGTGTCTCATTTGCATAAGGTGTGAATTTCTGGTAGCTCCATGCCCTCCTCCTAATGCACATGCAGGCCCCTAGCTTGAGTTACTCCATATTGCTTTGTTCCCCTTACTGCATATGTATCAGGGGATGGAACTTTCCATTGTGGGTATGTCTGGGCCAGTCACTTGTGTAGTCTTTCTTATCTGTGTGGCTGTGGGCATGTCTTAGGCAAGCCCCCTGTGCAAGTTCCTTTATCTGTGCCTGCAGGTTGTTCTTTTGTTTGAAAGAACTCAACCAAGGACCCATCCTAAATGCATGCCTGACCAGTTTCTTCCTTTCCCACCTCTCAGTTCCTGAGGGGTAGATTCCTTCTTTATATTCCCTCAGAGTCTTGGAATTCTTAGAAAATTCCAACTAAGAAAGATCACACACAGAGCCCAGGAACCCATGTGTTTAAGAGCTGCCCAGAAGATCCTGATGGTGATCACCTTTTCAGAATCAGTGCTGTAAACCATGGACATTTTGCACCCCCTAAGAATGCCTTAGGTCCTTAGGACATTTTGAGACTCATCTACCATTTGATCATTTCCATCTACCTGGCTCCTTCTGAAGGATAAATTGGGATAAATTAATTTTCATATTTTCACTTACTCTTCAGTTGAATAAAAAACATTTTGAAATACACATAGATTGTGGAATGGCTCAGTCAAGCTAAGTACCATATGTATTACCTCACACACATCATTTATTTGTGGTGAGAACACTTAAAATCTACTTTCTAAGTAATTTTTTTTAAGAGACAGGGTCTCACTATGTTGCCCAGGCTGGAGTGCAGTGGTTATTCACAGGTGCGATCATAGCACACTACAGCCTTGAACTCCTGGGCCCAAGTGATCATCCTGCTTCAGCTTCCCAAATAGCTGGGATTACAGACATGCACCACTATACTCAGGTAGCAATTTTCAAGAATACAACACATTATTATTTTACCTATCATCACCATGTTGTACAATAGATCACTTGAACTTATTCTTTCTAACTAAAATTTATACCCTTTGAGCAACATATCCCTACCCACCTTCCCAACCCTAGCTCCTGGTAACCATCACTCTACTCTCTGCTTCTATGAGATCAACTTTTTAAGACTCCACTTCCAAGTGAGATCACATGGCATTTGTCTACCTGTGTCTGGCTTATTTCACTTAGCATAATGTCCCCCAGGTTCATCCATGTTGTACTAAAGGGCAGGATTTTCTTCTTTGTAAGGCTAAGTAGTATTCCACTATTTATGTATTACATTTCCTTCATTTATCTGTTGATGGACACTAAGGTTGATTCTATATCCTGGCTATTGTGAAAGCTCTAAGTTTTTTTTTTTTAATTTTTTCTTTTTTACCTTTTTCGAGAGAGTCTCACTCTGTCACCCAGGCTGCAGTGCAGTGATGCGATCTCGGCTCACTGCAACCTCCGCCTCCTGGGTTCAAGCAATTCTCCTGCCTCAGCCTCCCAAGTTGCTGGGACTACAGGCACCCGCCACCATGCCTGGCTAATTTTTGTATTTTTAGTAGAGATGGAGTTCCACTATGTTGGCCAGGCTGGTCTTGATCTCCTGACCTCATGATTCACCCACCTTGGCCTCCCAAAGTTCTGGGATTACAGGCATGAGCCACTGTACCTGGCCGCTCTAAGTTTTTAAATATGAAAATACTATGCTTGTTTAAAAAATATAAATGTAAATATCAAAAAGTAAAAGTCTTCTTCACCCTCCCCAGTAAGCCAGGTGATTGAGAGAGTCACGGCCAACATAACCTCTGTCTTTATTTTAATGACTGCCATTTCAGAACTACATAGATAGGAAGATAAAGTATTTTTACGTTTTAAATTTAATGGGACATGAGGTCATAATACACACTGCTCTACCACTTGTTCTTTTCACTCAGTATGATTAATACTTTTCAATGTGGCCTCATTTTCTATAATACTTGCATATAATTCCATAGCTTGAGTATACCATAATTAAATCTATTCCTCTACTGCTTCACATTTAGGAATCTTTCTATCTTTAAGTGCCCACTGAGAAAGGCCACTGCTTAAACCACTTACTTATTTGTCAATTAATACTAAAACAAGAATCGTAGACGATTCTGGATAAAAAGCAGAACTTCGGGCAGATAGGTAGGGATATCAGGCAGCCAGGAAGTAGTTTCTGTCAATGGCAATCATCACCAGACAGCCTCTGCCTGACCACCACCAGGGACAGGGGACTCATCAACTCCAGCAGTGATCAGAATTGATCTACACAAATCTCATTAATAAGGAACTCTACTTTATGATGAGTTGAAACCTACCTTCCTAAAGTTTCCATCCATTAGGCTTAATTCTGCTAAGGACACAGAATAATTATTCTCCTCAAACAGCCAATAATTGCTATCATATCTGCTGTGGTTTGAATATGTCCCTCAAAAGTTCATGTGTTGGAAACTTAATCCCCAATGCACCAGTGTATGAGGGCAGAATGGATTAATGTCATTACTGTAAAATCCAGGTTAGTTATCTCGAAAACAGGTTGCTATAAAGCAAGTCTGGCCCCTGGTGCCTCTCTGTCTCACACACTCACTTCCACCTTCTAATTTCCACCCTGGGATGACCCCTTGCCAAAATGCTGGCACCATGCTCTTGAACTTCCCAGCCTCTAGAACTGTGAACCCAATAAACATCTATTGTTTACAATTTACCCGGGCCATAGCATTGTGCTATAGCAGCAGAAAAAGACTAAGACAATATTATATTGAAGGCTTTCTCTAGTTTAACATCCCCCGCTTCCTCCAACAATGTCTCCTCATAAGAAATAGGTTCAAGGCCACACTTTCATGCTCACTTTCCTTCGGCTACACCTCAGTTTGCCAGTGTCCCTCCTAAAAGTTAACACCCAGCTTTAAGCCACTGAACACTTGGGAAAGTTATGACTTGACCAGCACAGAGTGGACCACTATGGCCACCTGCCTGCCACAGTATCACCTACTGCAGACGGAACAGCAAAATAAGTCCCCTGGGTCATTTCACCACATTGGACAAGCCCAACAGGGCAATTGCAGAGATGAGATGACCCATGTATTTAGCTCGATATAATAATATAGGAAGCAGTCAATTTTAAAAGGCATATTTATAGCTTTTATAGCTATATTATTATAGTACTAATAAAGCTATATTATTATAGTACTAATAAAGTACTATAACTGGAAGTTAAAGGTAGAAATACTCCCATATGATAGAACAAATAAGGGTACCTATGGCCCATACCTTTTCAGGAGTTATGCATATTTTCCTTTACATTGGAAGAGACAGAAAGAAGTTATGTCTTTTACATGTCCAACCAGTTGGAAAATAAGTAAACATTGTGGCTCAGCATCTGTTTTAGAAGACTACTAATTCTTTTTTTTAATTCCCACAGATGAAGCCACTCAAGTGACTAAGAATACACCCAAACTAACAACCTTCCATTCCACTGATAAGAACTAACGTTTACCTGATAAAAAGTCATTCCTTTGCAAGGTTCTTTCACACTTCCTGGGTACACTAAACTTATTTGCATTTCAGATTAGATTTCCACCCTCCCATTTCACAACAGTCAAAAATTTTTTTCTTTCCATCTGTCATCTATTTCTCACTTATTGCCTCCTTCTGCCTCATCTTTTCTGCCCTAAAGTAACTGAAGTTACTTTATCATCCCCTTGTTATCCTCCAAGTTGAGTCTCTTCTTTCTCTTCCAGCTACTAACTAAAAACCAAATTTTCCTTCCAAACACCACCCACACCCTCCTCACTGCCCAGGCATCCTATCTATTCATTAAGAGAGTCCCAAGAACACATTTAAGACCAAGACATTTCAGTGGAGTCTGACAATTGTCCAACTTAGACCATCAGAAATAAAGTCCTACAAGACAGAAAATGTGTATTTCTGACATTCAGTGCTGTAACAATGAAACCTTTTCTCTACTGGCTTCAAAAATGTGATGGGGCTGGCAATGGGAAATAACAGGAAACAACGCCTATCTGTTGCCTAAAGAGCGCACTAAAACCTTTCCCACGCTTCCCCAACCTCATCTGATATTCATAACAACCCCTTCATGTAGGTATGATTAGCTCATTTTGCAGATAAGGAATCAGGCTCCAAAAGTTTAAATATTTTGCCCAAGGTCACACGCTTAATAAATACTGGCTCCAGGCCTAGATCCCAGCTCTTCCTAGTCCTATGCCAGTGTTTTCCCCATTACCATAGCAAGGTGAGCTCACAGGACACACCTCAGGAGGAAACCCAAACATCAATTACACAACCTGGATCTGAAGCTTTGTCTACTTTTATTCAGCTGGTATGCTATAATTTCTTTTTTTTTTTTTTTTTTTTTTTTTTTTGAGACGGAGTCTCGCTCTGTCGCCCAGGCTGGAGTGCAGTGGCGAGATCTCGGCTCACTGCAAGCTCCGTCTCCCGGGTTCACGCCATTCTCCTGCCTCAGCCTCCAGAGTAGCTGGGACTACAGGTGCCCGCCACCGCGCCCGGCTAATTTTTTTGTATTTTTAGTAGAGACGGGGTTTCACCGTGTTAGCCAGGATGGTCTCGATCTCCTGACCTCCTGATCCGCCCGCCTAGGCCTCCCAGAGTGCTGGGATTACAGGCGTGAGCCACCGCGCCCGGCCTATAATTTCTTATAAGCAGATTTTTGCATGGATTCTTCTGGCTTAAACAAGATATGCTTAGTATGATTCTGTAATAAGGAGAGACTGAATCCGGTACCTGAGAGGCAGAATAGTATTTCCAAGGTCGGAACTTAATGAGAGACTACCTTGGTGAGCAATGGTAAATGCATGAAGATTTTCATTTGGGTATGGCTTTGATGTTTGATGTTATGGGCAGAGAAAAATACTTCTCTTATTAGAAAACCATTCATGAAAATTACCTGTGAGGAGCCTAAAGAGTCAAGAGGAACCAAAAATCCTTTTTTTTTTTTTTTTTTTTAAAGATGGAGTCTCGCTCTGTCACCAGGCTGGAGTGCAGTGGCACAATCTCTGCTCACTGCAACCTCTGCCTCCCGAGTTCAAGAGATTCTCCTCCCTCAGCCTCCCAAGTAGCTGGGACTATAGGCACCCGCCACCACACCCAGCTAATTTTTGTATTTTTAGTAAAGATGGGGTTTCACCATGTTGGCCAGGATGGTCTCGATCTCTTGACCTCATGATCTGCCCACCTCAGCCTCCCAAAGTGCTGTGATTACAGGTGTGAGCCACTGCGCCCAGCCAATCCTTTGTATCTTTACTGAAAATGAATTAGAATACATGCAAAGATTTGAATAAAGCTAAATTTAAAAAATAAATAAATCTAATCACAAACATATAACAGTGTAACTGCATATGACCTTTCCATTCTTCTATGAAATTCTCTAAATGGACGGCCTCAATGTCTATTTCTGACAATATTATAAGCTCAATGTTTACATAAATTGCACAACCAGTGATCCAAAAAAAAAAGCACGCATTTTTAAATAAACTGCATTTTTAGAATAGTTTTAAATTTACAGAAAAATTATTAGAATAACACAGAGTTCCCATATATTCTGCAACCAGTTTCCTCTATTATTAACATCTTCCATTAGTATAGTATATTTGTCACAGTTAATGCACCGATGGTGATATATTAACTTTATTCAGATTTCCTTAGTTTTTACCTAATTCCAGGATTCCATCCAGGTCACCATATTGCATTTACATGTCACATCTCCTTAGGCTTCTTTGGCTGTGGCAGTTTCTCAGAATTTTCTTGTTTTTGATTACCTTGGCAGTTATGAAGAGTACTGGTCAGGTATTTTGTAGAAACCCTCGATCGAGATTTCTCTGATGTTTTTCTCAGAGACAGGGGTTAAGGGTTATGGGTTTTTGCAAGGAAGACCACAGATGTAAAGTGCCATTTTCACCACATCATATTAAGGGTAACACACTATCCACAGAGCTACCACTGTTGATGCTGACTTTGATCACTCAGCTGAGGTAGTGTCTAACAGGTTTCTCCACTGGAAAGTTATTCTCCCCACTCCCCTTTCCATACTGTACTCTGGAGGGAAGTCACTATGCACAGCTCACATTTAAGGAGTGGAGAATTATGTTCCACCTTCTTAAGGGTGAGTGTCTACATAATTATGTGCAATTCTTCCACAGGGAGATTTGTCTATTTTCTCTATTTATTTGCCTATTCAATCATTTATTTATATCGGTATGAACTCACAGATGTTTATTTTATACTTTGAGTAATAACCCAAAATTTCTATAACCTATAGATTATAGATCTATAATCTAGACTTTTTTTTTTTTAGACAGGATCTAGCTCTGGCACCAACACTGGAGTGCAGTGGCTCAATCATGGCTTCACTGGAACCTCTGCCTCCCAGGCTCAAGGAATCCTCCCACCATGGCCTCCTGAATAGCTGGGACCATAGGCATATGCCACCATGCCCGGCTAATTTTTACATTTTTTGTAGAGATGGGGTTTTGCCATGATGCCCAGGCTAGTCTCAAACTCCTGGGCACAAGTGATCTGCCTGTCTCAGCCTCCGAAAGTGCTAGGATTACAGGCATGAGCCACCGTGCCAGCCTAGACTTCTCTATCTAATCTATACTTCCATAATCGAATGCTTTTTTACTTTGTTGCTCAGACTGTTCCAGCTTTGGCCACTGACAGCAGTTTCAGTTGGCTCCTATGTCCATTTGACATACTCTTATGACTTTTGGTTTTTCAGTTGGAATTCTTCCATACACTCTACCATATAAAATGTTCTAGGTTCACCTTGTATATATTCTGGCCCAATCCTAGAATCAAGCATTTCTCCAAAAAGCCTGGATTTTACTGGAAAATGGTCTTAGAAACCAAGATCCAGGCTTAAGTGTACTCGTTGCTAATGGAGTGTCACTTCTTGTAGACCTCTCAGCTGACAGGAAAATAAATTGCCTGTGTGTGTGTGTGTGTGTGTGTGTGTGTGCATGTGCACTAATCCTTGAATATACACAGATCTATAAATATGTTTATATGTAACCATCTGTATCTATATTAAACTAAACATGAGTTCATACTGATACACTGATGATTTTCATGCACAACCAAACTGTCAGAAAATAAGAAGATTCCTCAGATGCCAGAAATGCAAGAAAAAGCAAAAATCAGAGAGACAAGCACGCCTGGAGCTGGCATTTTTCCCTGGGGTATATACCCATCCAGGTGACCTAGAGTTTGGGCAAAGGAGACAAAGCAGGCTGAGAAGGGAGAGGTGGAAGGAAGAAAGGAAGGTTGTGCATAAAGCTAAGATTTATCCCAAAGCCAGGACCCCTCCTAAATTCTGAAGGGAGACACCTCACAGGGATGAGGCCCTCCCCACAGAGGGAAACAGCAGATGTGTTCTTATTTGGGCCTTGGCTCTGGACAGAGGGACAAAAAGTACAAAGACTCCCGTGAGAATGAGAGTTCGGGGGCCTAAACTCACATGCCCTGTGTGGCCAATAAAAATCCAAAGCAGCAAATGCAATTTAAGTGAGCCTGGATTGGGAATACCTCAGCTGCAGAAGCCCAAATTCTATCAAAAGGATTCCACTTTAAATCTGGTCTCAAAATATTCCCACAGATAATGCACAACAGAACATAAGCACCCAATCAAAAATCACCAAAGACCCTTGGAAATGTAAGAAGCTAGTCACAAAGACCACATACTGTATGATTCTGTTTATATTAAATGTCCAGGAGAGGCAAACTGAGTGAGAGAAAGTAGATCAGTAGTTGCCAGGATTGAGGAAGAAGGGGGGATAGGGAGGCAGAATCTGGGAGGAAAGGAGGACTACTAATGATCCAAGGTTCTTTAGATGGGATGAAAATGTTCTAAAATTCAATACCATTGTCATAATCTTGTGAATATATTAAAAAACAGTGAACTGCACCAGGTGCAGTGGCTCACACCTGTAATCCCAGCAATTTGGGAGGCCAAGGCAGGTGGATCACCTGAGGTCAGGAGTTCGAGACCAGCCTGGCCAACATGGTGATACCCCATCTCAACTAAAAACACAAAAATTAGCTGGGCATGATGGTGCATGTCTGTAATCCCAGCTACTTGGGAGGCTGAGGCAGGAGAATCACTTGAACCCAGGAGGTGGAGGTTGCAGTGAGCCGAGAGAGCACCATTTGCACTCCAGCCTGGGCAACAAGAGCGAAACTCCATCTCAAAAAAAAAAACAAACAAACAAAAAAAAAACTGAACTGTACACTTTAAACAGGGGAATTACAAGGTAAGGTATGAGATCCCAGAATAGAAAGAAGACATTGATGGAAAAATTGGTGAAATTCAAATTCTGAAGTTTAATGGTTATATACCAATGTTGGTTTTGTAGTTTTGACAAATATACCATAGTTATGTAAGATGATAACACTGGGGTAACCAGGGTGAGATGTATATGAAACCTCTCCATACTATCTTTACAAATTTTTTTTTTTAAATAGATGGGAGTCTCACTATGTTGCTTAGGCTGGTCTCAAACTCCTGAGCTCAAGGGATCCTCCTGCCTCAGCCTCCCATGTAGCTGGGCTTAGAAACACGTGCCTCCAGTGAAAGGAAAATAAATTTCAGGACCCCAGAATCACTAAGCCAAAGGGAAGTCAGGCTGGGAACTGCATCACGTAAACCTGCCTCCCATTTTATTCCTAAATAAGATAGCTACAAAGATAAAATAGCTACATACCACCTCACAATCTGCCCACCAGGAAATTCCTTGTGGACAAAGGACAGGCAGAACTCAAAGCCATCCCTCTGCCCACGTGACACAAATGCATACCGGATGGCTTCCTCTGCCCTATGGTTTCACTAAGCCAGACTAAGCAAAAGTGACTGTTCCTCTATGCTCCCCTCACATGTAAATTGTGTATTCAGTGAAAGGCTAATCAGAAACTCAAAAGAATGCAACATTTGTCTCTTATCTACCTATGACCTGGAAGCCCCCTCCCCTGCTTTGAGTTGTCCCACCTTTTAGGATAGAACCAATGTACATCTTACACATATTGATTGATGTCTCATGTCTCCCTAAAATGTATAAAACCAAGCTGTGCCCTGACCACTTTGGGTACATGTCGTCAGGACCCCCTGAGGCTGTGTCACAGGTGTATCCTTAACCTGGCAAAATAAACTTTCTAAATTGATTGAGAGCTGTCTCAGATATTTTGGGTTCACATTCCACACCTGGCTATCTCTACAACTTTTCTTTAAATCTAAAAATATTACAAAATTAAAAGTTTATTTTTAAAAAAGCAGCTGGCTGGTCACAGTGGCTCACACCTGTAATCCAGCACTTTGGGAGTCTGAGGCGGGTGAAACACTTGAGGTCAGGAGTTTGAGACCAGCCTGGTCAACATGGTGAAACCCCATTTCTACTAAAAATACAAAAAAATTAGCCAGGCATGGTGGCAGGTGCTTGTAATCCCAGCTACTTGGGAGGTTGAGGCAGGAGAATCACTTGAACCCGGGAGGCAGAGGTTGCAGTGAGCCAAGATCGTGCCACTGCACTCCATCCTGGGCAACAGGGCAAGACTGTGTCTCAAAAAAAAAAAAAAAGAAAGAAAGAAAAAAGAAAAGAAAAAATCACCTAAGAACGTGTTCCATCTAATACGAAGCAAATGGCAATCTTCTAAAATCCTGCAAGTCATTTCTTGAAATGCCCGTGAGACCCTTGGTACTTTCCGTTGAGGTAAAGAAGGTTCATTGCAAAATAACATAACAAAGGTGCTCTCTAAAGACCATCAAGTACAAGACCCTCTTCAGGAAATGAGATGCATTAGTGGCCCACCCTATCTATCATTGCCTAACTAGCATTTTCTAGTCTTCACTGATGGTCACTCTACCATCTTGTGACTTTTCTTAGTCAATTCATTGACATTTAAGTTCATTTCCTTTTGTTTAGCAATTTTCAGCCTAGTTGTTCTTGTGACCATTTTTCTTGCTCTTTTCTAACTTCTCCAGTTCTTCTAGAAACTTTGCAGCAGGGAACCAAATCTAGACACATATTACTCTAATAAACATTTGAAGGTTGCCAAGTATACAAGAGGTTTTTCAGCTCTCATAAAAAGTCGTAAGCAGTCAATTTCTAAATTGTTTTATAGCCCACTAGCTTCCTCAGGATTTTCTCTGCAATTTCAACCAGCTAAGATAAACAGCCATAATTCATCATTCATTGTTAATGTTAAATCAAGTTTAGCCTAAAGTTGCCTCCTTACGTATTTTAAGTTCGACCTAAATGTTCTTCTGTACATCGTAAACTTTAACAAGTGGAGGTGTAAACAGACCGTACCTACATACTAGTGTCAATCACCGAGTTTTGGCCAATCAAATGTAGCCAAATGTTCGAATCCTCTTCAAAGAAGGCAAAGGCCAACCTGTAACCAGTCCAGCTGTTTCTGTACCTTACTTCCATTTCCTGTACTTCACTTTCTTTTTTCTGTCCATAAATCTTCCACCATATGGCTGTGCTGGAGTCTCACAGCCTACTCCGGCTTGGGAGGCTGCTTGATTCGGGAATCATTTATTGCTCAGTTAAACTTCTTTAAATTTAATTTGGCTAAAGTTTTTAGTTTATCATTAAGATGAAACAGAGCTTCACCCTCTATCTTGATGAAATGATTGTTTTAATATACAGCCTCACTTTGCCCTTCTTTTAAACTAACAAAACTGGTAATGAGATTAATATATTTCTAAAGACACTCTAAATACATCTGTAGAAAGAAAAAAACCTGCGTACATCAACTTAAGTTTTGCACCATAGTAAAACTAAGTATGAAACTGGGTAAACTTTAACTCAACAAGACTGAAAGTACCAAAAACAAACAAACAAACAAAAAACTTAGTCTTTTACTTCCTTTTTGTAAACTCCCAGTCTGCATACATGAATAAGAAAGAAGAAAATCCTCTTTTTGTCCTTCCTTCCACAATTTATATAAACTGGCTTTCTGAATTTAATTCTGTATAAATGTTCATTTGCCTCCTTTTTGTTAAATAATGTGCAGGGCCAGGTGCGGTGGCTCACGCCCATAATCCCAGCACTTTGGGAGGCTGAAATAGGCAGATCACAAGGTCAGGAGTTTGAGACCAGCCTGGCCAACATGGTGAAACCCTGTCTCTACTAAAAATACAAAAATTAGCCAGGTGTGGTGGCGGGCACCTATAATCCCAGCTACTTGGGAGGCTGAGGCAGGAGAATCGCTTGAAACCAGAGGGCGGAGGTTGCAGTGAGCCAAGATCGTGCCACTGCACTCCAGCCTGGGCAACAGGGTAAGACTCTGTCTCAAAAAAAAATAAAATAATGGAATAATGTGCAGATAAGTTAACATTTATTGTATGGGGACAATGGGCAATTATCTTTTACTAGAATGCAGAAAGGAGGCTATAAACACCTCAACATCCCTAATGGACAAAAAATAGAAGCTCTTTGCAAGATCTTTCTGCCAGAGTATAGTTCACATGTTCCTAAGGCATCCTGGCCTTACTCTAGGTGAGATGAAAGAAGACAGAAGATTCCAGAGCCCCAAAGGTCAACTCAGTTCACCCAACATGCGCTGAATTGCACACATTTCATTTGGAGAAATAAGAAAGCAAATTATACAGGTACGATCTTTTTAGCTAAGTCTACTGAAATTGGAAGAAAAAATAGTCTTGGTTTGTCATCTTTACCTTCAAAATGTATTATTTTACAAGCTAAAACCAACCCTTCTGCACTAAGGTTGAAGGTCTTGAAATTCCAGAGCCAAATTGGTCTTAAAGAGTACTGTTTCCAGGAGATGGGGATATCAAGAATTCTGGATAGTCTACTGCCACCAGGCCAGTAGGAGGCAGAGCCATTTTTATCCCTAAGGCACAAGAGATGAGGGAATAGTTAATGTCCCTTACGTCCATGTCCCAAGTTACTTCTCTCCATTTAAGGGGACACTAGAAACAAACCCCAAGTCTTCGGCCTCCCCCAGCTCATTGCTCTTCCCCTCATGGGTCCCACTGTAAGTAGCACTCCGGAGTGTCCATATTCCTGGGGAATGTGAGCAGAGCAGACAGTGTCACCATGGAAGGACCCCTCTCCAACCCTCTCACTCCCCCAATACCATAACTTTCAGCATTTGCTAAAGGAGAAAGTGTAGGGTGACCGGTCCCCCACCAGGTTATTTAAGGGTGTATGTCCGCTGCTTGAACCTTGAAGGGTGGGCAGTCAGCCAAGGTCATGGTGCTCAGCCAAGGAGCAGGTGTTCCTGAGAACCTAAACATCCCGGAGAGTATCTGCGAACATATCTACAAAAAAATACACAGTTGCATCACTCAAACACAGGAGGCAAAGAGCCAGAAAGTCATCTCAAAAGCAGTTTAGACACAAGAGGTGATGAGGATCTCTAGAGCTGTCCTGCTGCCACCCAGGAGTGTCCCATATGTAAGTCCTAATAAATTCACCTACTCGCCAAGTTGGACTTATCTGAGTTATTCTTTGGTCTCTCAGCTCCTTCCCAGTTTGTGGAGGAGTTATAACTCCAGATTTTTCTCATAACACAAAGCCATGGCTGGAAGAACAGAAACAAAGCCTTCAGAAAAGGCAGAAAGGAAGTTCAAAAGTCACCAGAGCTCTGTATATACAGACATGAATCAATCCCTAAGAGACACTGTTAAGTTGAAAGGAAGAAAGGAAGAAAAGAAGGGAGGGAGGGAGGGAACCATACGCTATCACTTATGTCAGAAAATAAGACAAAAAGATTCTGGGCATATGTAGACACAGACTATCTCTGAAATCATGCAACTAAACCATGGAAATCTGGCCAGCTGGAAACAAGGGAAGCAGGGGTGAGAGAGATGGACCTTTCCTTATATTCCATTTTCTGCTTATGACTTCGATAGTAAGTGCCTGTACTATCTAATCAGATAAGTGATTTTTTTTTTTTTTTGAGATGGAGTCTCATACTGTCGTCCAGGCTGGAGTGCAGTGGCGTGATCTCAGCTCAGTGCAACCTCCGCCTCCTGGGTTCAAGCAATTCTCCTGCCTCAGCCTCCCGAGTAGCTGGGACTACAGGCATGCATCACCACACCCGGCTAATTTTTGTATTTTTAGTAGAGATGGGGGTTTCACCATGTTGGCCAAGCTGGTCTCAAACTCCTGACCTCAAGTGATCCACCCACCGTGGCCTCTCCAAGTGCTAGGATTACAGAGCTGAGCCACCCTGCCCGGCTGGAAAAGTGATTTTTGTTAACTGTATCTATATAAAATAAAAGCTTTAAAAAAATCAATAAAAAATAAAAATTTAAAAGAATGTAATAGATAAATAAAATAAAAACAGAGAGCAAAAAATAATACTGGGGCAGGGGGTGGGGGAGTCTTAGGAACAAAGAAGTCTCAATCTAGTGACACTCACAGTTAAACCACTTCATGTAATTTCATGAAATGACTTTTGAGTTTAGCAACTTCCTGTAAGCCTTAGCAACCTTTTGCTGTGTACCTTTGCTGACTCATCTGTTTCAAGTCAGCCACAGAATGATGAATGAAACAAACTTAAAAAATAAATAAACAAATGAATAACAGAATATTTTAAATTTTTAATTCCTTGTTTGAAATAAGAGTTTAGGACAACTTGAACACAAACTTTTCAAATGTACCCTTGCTCTTCTCCAAATTACATTAGAACCTGAGTTCCCTGGTTTTCGTTTTGTTTTGTAAATAAACCTGAGAATGGAATATTTATAATAAAATGATAGTTTGCTGGAAATCCCCAGCAATATCAGCCCAGAAACCTTCATTCAACTTTAAACTGTTCAAGGTGATTGTGGACTTTCAAAACCATCTCTCAAATTAGTCAGTTTTACTAAACCATAAAAGAAGATTAACCACTGGTAACTTTAAAAAATTAAAAACAGAGCTCCACTAATACAAGGAAGTTGGTAAATGATTTATCAAGGGCTTTTTTTTTTTTTGGATAACTAAAAATCACATTGCAAATAGGTTAATGAATTAATCTTTTTGCAGATAGTTACATTTCTTAAGCCCAAAGAAATAGTTATCTTTTAATAAAGCACATTTTTAACCAGTACAAACTATTTGGAGCTACTTTTCCCACTGACGACTCTCTATCCTTGTGTTTGCCTGGCAAAACTACTAGAAATTGACATTAATGAGACTGCAATAAGTTATCCCTTTATCTTGTTTACTAAAAGAGCTGACTTAAAATAGAAAGCCTTTGAAAAGCACACAGCCACTGTTACTAAGTGACATAAACTGAATTCTTTATACAAGTCACTGGTACAAAAGATATTTCCAGATTTTATCTCTTTAGATATAATCTTTTCATGAAATTTTCCTTTATAAATGTAATTCCTGGCTGGGTGTGGTGGCTTCCGCCTGTAATCCCAGCACTTTGGGAGGCCAAGGCAGGAGGATCACTTAAGCCCAGGAGTTCAAGACCAGCCTGGGCAACACAGTGAGACCCTGTCTCAATAAAAAATAAAAATAAAATAATAAATGTAATTCCAAGGCCAAGCTACAGAATACTTGAGAGTATTTGACTATATGGCATCTTTCGTATGTATGACTTGATTTTAGACTGCTAAAGGAAATTTCTACATGTTCACAGAAATCTGAAACAACTGGGCCAAAAAAAAAAAGATACTAATAGCTGCATTTATAACTGGAGGTGATGAGTATATCAACTGCACACAATGAAAATGGGAATAGAGTATGTCATCTTTAAATAACTCAAGATAAACATTTCACTACCAGCAAGTGAGCCATGAATTAACTTTCAAATTAGAAATTGGTCCCATTTAATCTGATATTCAGGTTCCAAATAATAAACAGGCCTAATTCAGTTGGTAAAAAGAACTGGCTCCCAATTTTATCTTAATTAAGTCATTCATTCCAATCCAAAAATGTAAATAAAATTCCATTTCAATTCAACAAACATGTATTTAGTTCCTACTTTGTGCTAACCATACAAAGATGACGAAGATTCATCTTCAGTGGTGGTAAATAAAATTAGTAAGGAGCAATTATTTTGGACCGAGCTCCTGCACCAGGCCCCAACAGACCAGACCAAACCAGAATGGAGTCACTGATGCCAGGAGCTATATAAACAAACAACTTTACAATGGGCCCGTTTAAAAAAAAAAAAAAAATAGGAGATTCACAGCAACCAACAGAAAAGGGGCCCAGTCTACCTGAGCCAGCATAAGGAAGTCCCATCTTTTTTAACCTTATAAGGAAAGTAACTTTGCTTGTTATTCTTTGCTTCTGCTTTCTTCAGCCTTTTCTACCTGTAAAGTCCACCTCTTCAGCTCAGCTCAGCCTTGCTGTTTTACAGATGGGAAGCTGCCTGATTCATGAATCACTAATAAAAGACAATTCCATCTTTAAATTCAATTTGTTAACATTTTCTTCTTTGATAATGATCACTACCCATAAAGAATGAGACTCTCTTCTCTTCCTCCTAGAATATTCTGACTGTCTCACCTGGCCCCTCTCCCCTCTAATTTCCCTCCTGCTTCTAAAGTAGCTGCTCCCAGGAAGTTCTCCCCTAGCACTGTCTCAGGAGAGGCCCAGAGATGCCGAGGCCCCGTGTCCTCTGGCAGTGGTGTGTGCATTGGGCACGTGATATTTCAAGGCTTACAGGCAAACAGCAGTTTACCAAGTATCTACATGTTTGTCTCACAGAAGGCACAGATAACTCACTAATCTCTGTATCTCCATTTAGCCCACTAGCATACAGCGCTCAGTAAGTAACTATGGAAAGATGCCTCTCAGAGTCAGGCAGGACAGAGAGACCAATAAATATCTAAGAAGTAAAGTAAAAGGCAGAGCAATGTGATATGGATAGGACGCTATGGAGAAACAGAGAGAAAGAAGGGGTCCATTTGGCCCTGGTGGGGAGGGAGGGCTGGGTTACAGAGGGAAGACGAGGAGAGGATTTTAGGGCCCAGCCTGAAAACAGGAATTGAGGACCAGGATGAGGAATAAACCTCCAAGGAGAAGGAAGTGTGTGTGTGCAGAGGCTGGAGGGTATGAAAGACACACTGTGTTTGAGGGATAGGAAGTAAAGAGTTCACTGTGCTGAAAGCACAGCACACAGGGAAAATGGTGCTGGAATGCAGTGCAGCAACCAGGAGCACGGCCTCCAGTGACAGACCTGAGTTCGAGTCCTGCCTCTGCCCCTTCCCAGCTACAAGCAAGTAACATAAGCCCTGGGGGCTGCTTCCTAACTTGAAATTTGGGGAACAGGCTGGGTGTGGTAGCTCACAACTATAATCCCCGCATTTTGGGAGGCTGAGGTGAGAGGATCGTTTCAGGCCAGGAGTTTAAGACCAGCCTGAGCAACATGGCAAGACCACATCTCTATAAAAAATACAAAAAAATTAGCCAGGTGGGGTGGTATGCACCTTTAGTCCCAGCTACTTGGGAAGCTGAGGCAGGAGGATTGCTTGAGCTCAAGAGTTTGAGACTGCAGGGTGCCATGATCAAGCCAGTGTACTCTACCCTAGGCAACAGAGTGAGATCCCATCTCAGAAAGAAAAGAGAGAAAAGGAAGGAGGAAAGAAGAAAAGAAAGAAGAAATTTAGGGAAAGAAGGAAGAAATTTGGGGAATAACTTTTAGTGCTGTATTAACTGAGAGAATGTATGCAGAGCAGTGCTGAGAGCGTAAGCATTCAATGTATGGAGTTGTCAGTGTCCTTAAGCCAGACAGGTAAACTGAGGCCAAGCTGTGAAGAATCACCTCTTGTTCCACAACAGGAAGGCTAAAGCTCCAGGACACACTAGGCCTTTGCTTCAAATGCCAGGGAATATATGGCCATACCTGTGATCTCTCTGTCCTCCCTTCAATTATCGTCAAATCTAGCCACTAGACTGTGACACCAGTCAGCAGTCTCTGGTAGGCCAGCCCATCTTCTGGACTTATCCAGAATCCCCCAGCATGGAGACCGCCCATCTTCACACAGGCTCTGAGGGACAGTCCCCAACTCCACCAGGCCTGTCCTCTGCAACTCTGTGGACCTGGGGGTTTATACCTCACCATCGTACCCCCAACACATCTACATTCAATGCCCTCAGACTGCTTCCAAAAGGCCCCCCCACCCACCTGCTAACAGCAAGCTCTTCAGAACCACAGAGGAACTTTCCACCACATGAACGTGCAGCTCCAGGAGGGACTGCAAAGCTCAGAGTCAGTCACTGGACACCACCTCATCAGGGCTCTGAGACCCTAGGGGGGCCACCCTACCTGCCCAGACCCCTCCAACTCCTCCCCAACCCTCACTCGCGGCTCGCAAGCTCCACTTCTCAACTTGCATCCACGTGCTGCCCCTAACTTCCTTCTCCCCCTCCTGTGTGACTCATCTTCCCACTGCCTTCCTCCCTCCACTGCTGACCTTCTTCACAAAGCCCACCCTCTGTTCTCATTTTACCATCACGACAGCAAAGCCAAGGTCAGAAGCAGCAGGTCAGAGCTTTTCCAGACCTCCCACTGCTGCTTTGCACTGTTTTCTTTTTCTTTTTTTTTGAGATGGAGTCTCGCTCTGTCACCCAGGCTGGAGTACAGTGGCACAATCTTGGCTTACTGCAACTTCCCCATCCTGGGTTCAAGTGATTCTCTTGCCTCAGCCTCCCGAGTAGCTAGGACTGCAGGCTTGTGCCACCACACCTGGCTAATTTTTGTATTTTTAGTAAAGATGGGGTTTCGCCATGTTGGCCAGGCTGGTCTCAAACTCCTGACCTCAGGTGATCTGGCCGCCTCGGCCTCCCAAAGTGCTGGGATTACAGGCGTGAGCCACCAAGCCCAGCCACTTTGTACTATTTTCCTTCCACTATCCTCATAGGAAAGCTTTCCTCCCTCCAGACTCCCCCACACTCCTAATATTACATGAGAGGATGCATGCAGAGGCATGGGCTGAGTGCATGACAGACAGCAGGCCGGGTCACACCCCCTCTGCTCCCTCTTCCTGCTTTCAGAATCTGCCCACCTCTGGTGACTCCTCCATATTCCTGGACACCTTAGGGACCTCATAGTCTTCTCCACCGCAACTCCCCAAATTCACCTGGGTACCGTCAATGTCAAGAAGGACAATCCATCAAATACAAATACCCCAGTTCCCCTGCTTGCTACACTCAACAGACTTTCACCCCCACCCTCAGGCGCACACCCCGATTTTCATCATCACCCAGAAAGACTTCACTAGAAATCCTTCACTCACATATCCCAGCCCTCCAGCTCTCTCACTTCCTCTGCACCTGCCCTCCACGACCCACCATCGCAAGAAGTTTTCCTCTTCACTCTTACCACCACCAACTACTTGTCAGCATCTTTCAATATCTGAGCTTCTTAACTTCCCAACAACCTTCTCTGAAAATTTCTGTTTCACTTTTGTTTCTGAAAGGAGCTGCTGAAAGAAAAAAAGCACATATTTGTGCATATTCATCCGTCTAAAAATGTATACTTGACAGTAGGTTGATTATACTCAGCAGCTCATTCAATTGACCTTGTCAGTGCTTTCTCAATTTCCCTTAAATACTTCTCTAACCCTGCACTCATCCGCAAAACCCTTGCTTCCTCCTCCATCCCTACTTCCTTCAGTGAGGACCTTCCGTATGCCTTCACAAAATGAAAATCTTTTCACAACTTAAACCCTGCGATGTCCTCCCTTGACTATAGTAATGGCTCTCAAACTTTAGTTGGCATAAGAATCACTCGGGAAGTACCCTCACACCCTGATATTCAAATTCAGCAGGACGGGGCAGGATCCCAGAAACACCCATGGCAGAAGATTCTGATGACAATCCATGCACCATATTTCAGGAGATACGATTATCATGCCAAATCCAGCCCACTGCCTGTTTCTGTGTGGCCTACATGCTACAAATGCATTTTACATTTTAAAGGGTTAAAAAAAATCTAAGGAAGAACATTTCAAGACAGGTGAAAATTCCATGAAATTTAGATGTCAGGATCCATAAATAAAGTTGTATGGGAACTCAAGCCTTGACTACAAAGAGACTTCAAATTAGTTTGGAATTAAGCTTACAAACCCAGCAAGATAACTAACAATATAAGGTAACATTTACCAAGCATCAAATGTAAACAGTAAATTCTACATGAGTCCAGCATGTCCTGTGGGCATCCCTTCTCTGTTCCACGACGGCACCATCTACAAACCTGTGCAGTGCCTACGCAGGTCTGTGAGCATACACAGCCTATATACTTACATGGGCCTTTTGTTTCCTCTAGAGTATATAAGCCCTTGCAGGATGGGGACCTTGATTTTTTTCATCTTTGTATTTCTACCATATGGCCAGGTACCTGGCACTAATAGCATTAAATAAATATTTAATTGATTTAACAATGACTGGAATGTGAGCTGAGCTTTTAATGAAGGACAAGACTTAGATAAGAAGAGAACTGAAGGTTGGGCTTTGCAAGCATGGCCAAGGGAAGCAACCAGGACTGACAGATCCAGGTAGGTAAAGAAACTTTGTAGTCGGCCGGGCGTGGTGGCTCATGCCTGTAATCCCAGCACTTTGGGAGGCCGAGGCAGGCGGATCACAAGGTCAGGAGTTCGAGACCAGCCTGACCAAGATGGTGAAACCCCGCCTCTACTAAAAATACAAAAATTAGCCGGGTATGGTGGCGCGCTCCAGTAATCACAGCTACTCTGGAGACTGAGGCAGGAGAATCACGTGAACCTGGGAGGCGGAGGTTGCACTGAGCCGAGATCGTGCCACTGCACTCCAGCCTGGGTGACAGAGCTAGACTCTGTCTCAAAAAAAAAAAGAAACTTTGTAGTCATGGGCCCAGGTGAAATAATCAAACTCACTCCTGGTATCACCATTAGTCTGGAATGCCACGTCTTTAAAGCTGGTCTTCATTTATCCAGACTTGTAAATGGTGACACAAGCTTACATTAATAATCCTAAACCTTCGCTGTTTTAATCTCAAAATTATTTCCTGGATTCTTATCTCCTGGTCTATTTTCCCCTTGCCCCTTTTTCTGCTGATGCCAAATTAGGGGGAAAAAAAAATACCTCAGAGAGTCCTAGTGTAACACTGAATTCATACTTCATGCACACACACACAGTTTGGGGGCACCATCAGGTGAAATACCCCAAAAATGCTTTGCTGGTGGGCAGAATTTCCAACCACCAAATTGGAAGTTCCTTAAAGCCTGGAAACACTTTCCATTTCAGCTTTCACAGCTCCTAGGACATAATGACGTAACTGTGCACTACACAAATTACTAACATCAACATTATCATATCTGTTTTGGCAACTGAGTCAGTCTTGCAAACCTTTAGTTTAAAGGCACATTAAGTTACACTCCACAACCAAAACAAAGTGAGGAGGACAGGAGCAGATGATTCCTTGATTCCCCCAAAACAGGAAAGAAAAGTGCTTGCCCACTTTATCCTAAGTGAAGGTTTTTATTGGCATAATCCTACCACCTACCATAACTCCATATTTGCTCACTGGACAAGGGCCCATTATTTAGAAATAAAGTTTTCAACAACCTTATCTTTGAAGCATCTATAGAGGCCCCTAAGTCATCATCCCATTTCCTGTATTCTGCATCTGAATTATTATGCGCTATTTGTCTCTAATTAAGGGAGATAATTTTATATTTCACATCTTTAGGAGGATGTCAGACTAATCAAAATCCCTAAAACAAAAACCATAGACTTTTCCTGAGTATAGTCCTAACCACACACAGGCTTTCCTATTTAAGGATGCCACGAAGTTAACAGAACAGATAAATGGAAGAATCAGATGAAAAAGAATGAATAAAGAGTTCTTCACATACGAAGCAGAATGCTTACCAGGTATTTCCATTTTTGCTGATAATAAACTACTTGACACAGGATCCAGAGGCTAAAGACATTCACAGGAGTGCAATTAATCAGGAATTAGGATGTTAAGACATTAGGAAATGATTCAGTGTCCTTAAGAGGCATACAAAAAACTATTTGAGTAACTTGAGATATATATTTTATAATTTTGAGCATATCCCAGGCCAATCAAAAGTCACTCTCTAATGGGACAGGAGCAAACACGTATCAAGGCCTGCACTCTTATCCTCAGGTTACTCCCTAGATCTGCCTCCACCTTTATCCTCCCTATCCTGTGCCACAGGAGGAGCCCCTGCAGGCTGAGGCCTTGGGGGCCACTGTGAAGAGATGGAAGGGCTACAAGGTAGGAAGAAGGGCTGAGGTTCTCTCTCTGATTCTTCATGACCTCCAGGCAGGTCCAGCTCTCACAAATGGCAATGAAGTAACTCCACTTTCCCCTCCAGCTGCCCCCTACTTCTGATCTCAGCATCTCAACATCCTTTGTTGATTCCCTTAAACTTGCCCATACCCCTCTAAGTAATTCATTAAAGTCTGTTCATTTCAGCCAATGGGGTTGGTTCCCGTTTCCTGCAAGGACCCTGATACAAGAACCTTCCTAATGTCGGGCATTTCACATCATATAAAATTTCTCAACCTCAAAAGGTAGGTCTTATTGTCATCTCCCATTTTACATGAGGATGCTGAGTCTCCAAGAGGGTAGAGTACCAGCTGGCAGTCACAAAGGGAAGTTTGCTGGCAGAACTGGAATTGCACCCAGGTCAGTCTGACATCTAAGCCTTTAAAAAGCCTTAAAAATGTGAAAGGGAAAAAACACACAAAGCTTCCAAACTCGCAAGCCACAACGTAGCCTCAAACGACCTTATTTATGGTTTGGGGATTTTCCTTGGGCCTAAAATAAGCTACCTGGGGCACTGCCTTTTAAGTGCTTCTTCCACCAAGGGTCATCCACACTCACTCCTGCTGGAGGGTGGTCAGACTGACCTAAGAGCTAAGAGATCTCAGGTGCTCCTGGCCATGGCAAACATTTCTCCTTCGGTTTATCCCAGAAGTCTCTCCCTCCCTCCCTCCCTCCCTCCCTCCCAGTTTTAAACATTCCTAAGGCTCTTTTGTTCCTTTTTATGAATTAAAACCAGAATTACCTTTATAGGAAAGTAGGGGATGCAATTGAAAGACATTAAAAACATTATTCTAGCACCTCCCAGCCATAACTTGCCATGGTCCTTTAGCCATACAAAAAGCCTTCCTGGAGTCTTTCTAGCTGTGTAGAAGAGCTTAGAAGAGAAAATGCAATTAAAATACCTTCTGATAGGGAGTGGAGAGGTAAGTACAAAACAAACTCCCCTTAAGGAAATTCAGCTATGAGTTTTATTTAATTTCAGAACTAAAGAATTTGCTATTATGTCCGCCTCTGCCTGGGTCCCTGGGTCTATCTCATCCTCACCAGAAACTAAAGAGTAATTTACAAAAGCACAAATGCTTTGGCACCGAAACCCTTCCCAAGTTTCTGACTTTCTGTATTCTGCAACTGATGAGAACGCAATGGTCACATCAGGTGGAGTTCTCAGTCAGGTCCTCAGAGTGAGCCAGGTATGAGGGTGGCTCAGTAAACAGGACCCGAATAAGGCAAATGTCCAGGTCTCACTTTCTCATTGCTGAAGGGGTGTGCGCAAAGGGCAGCAGGTGTGCTCTTGTTAAAAGGAAAGGAAAAGGAGCACTGGTGAGAGGAAGGGGAAGAAAACCAGGCAAAAAAGCATGAAACAAAACAGGAGCGCAGTGGGTCCTCCCCCAGCATGCCCTGCCCAATTCTATTTAAATCAACATTTACTGATTGGGTCACTACTAAGTATCCCGCAGATCTAGCCTGCAGCACCTGAAGAGACAAGGAAATGAGTAAGACGGGCTTCATCTTCAGGAAGGTTTCTTGCCAGGAATCACTGTTGTTGCCATTTTTAATTTTAATGGTTGTAGATAATTCCTGGACAGTTCAAATAACTTCACTGGGGCCCCTCTCCTCCCCCTAACCTGTCCTACTCAGAAGCTCCAGCCCCAGGCATATGAGCCAACCGAACCCTGGGAAAACCAAAGTGTCCTTGTGTGTCCCGCATCACACACGGTACAAAATAACTGTCACCCCTGAACAAGCCTCGCCTCAGAAGTCTAAAACCCAGGTCCTGCATTCAAAATCTATAGACTACCGTCTACAGATTCATCGCGCTTGTTTTTTAAGTAGGGTCATCTAAATTAAAAACAATAACGACTTGAGGACACTGATGAAAGAAACACTGGTTTCATGTATCAGACTACTTCAGAACTTGATTACAGGAAACGAGGCAATCCCAAACTTAAAGAAAAAAAAGTTCAGTAGAACTTGCCGCGCAGGCTGTACCAATATTTTTTCACACTTACAAGGAGAAAAACACTAACACCAACTCAAGAAGGGAAAACACACACACACACACACACACACACACACACACAAAAACCAACTGTCTAGTGTGTGGCTGTAAAATACGCCATGGAGGCGGAGGGACGGTGGCTAACACTTTCGCCCGCCCCGTGCACGCGATCGCTGGGGAGCTGGGGTCGCTGCGCTCCCGGCCTGCAGTTACCTGGTCCAGCGGGATGCCCAGGAGCTCGCTGAGCGGGTGCAGGTAGGTGGAGCCCGTGGTGCGGTAGGAAAGGCTGGACGGCTGCGGCTCTGCTGCCATCCTGCATCTTCGGGAGGTGGCTGCCCCTGTCCCAGCCCGCAACACCCCCTGCTCGGCGTCCTCCCGCCCGGGTGCTCTTGGGTGGTTGCCCCGAGAGGCGCACGGCCGCCTGGTTCGCGGGGGAGCGAACGGGAGGCCGGGGAATGCGAACCGGCGCAAACTCTCGAGGCGCAAACTCTCGAGGCGCAAACTTGGCTTTGGCGCTGGCGCTGCAGCCACGGGCGCCGTAGGAGGGCCGGGCCCAAGGCGCCCCGCTTCCCGCTCCCTTCCTCTCCGCGCCCATTGGCCCGGCCGCTCGGGACGGCCCCGAGAGGAGGGAAGGAGGGAGGAAAAGTGGGGACTCCGAGCCCGGCCCCCAAGCGCCGCCCGGCCCGCCCAGCCTGGCCTGCACCGAGGCCGACCGGGAGAGGGAAAGCGACGCCAGCGGGCGCCGCCGCCTGGCCCTGCAGCTGGAGGCGGGACGCGCCTTTCCTCCTCCCGGGCTGACCGTCCTAGCCCCCCGCCAGACAAAACGACCTCACCCAGCGGGCGCCTTCCACTAGAGAGCACCACCCACCCCGCCCCACCCTGTTTTGGTTTCGCCGCCGCAGTCGAAGCGGCTGAGTGGCTGCGTTTCCCTTTCAAGCCGTAGAGGGTTCCTCTGCCGGTGGCTGGAAGCTGGAGCGCCGCAGCCACCAGACTCCCTACTTCCTTTACCCTCCTCTGCGCTAGGCATAGTTTCCTACACCCTGATCTGACATGTTCGGTGTCACACAAGCAAATACAGGGGACTGCTAGCTTCGGGTCACTTCCGTCTCTGTGGAGTGAGAGTTATTTCACCTCTGTAAGAAACGGTGTTTACTGTCATACTATGTGCATTCTGATAAGTCATTTGCATGCCACGGGTCCTCAAAAAGGGTGCCTTGCTCCTTAACTTGTCTGCCCCCGAACACCCACACATCAATGTTACTTGGAAAACTTTTCCAAGTTATTGCTAGGTTCTGAGAAACATAAAAATCTTGAAGATCCTTTTCAGGAATCGCTAGCTGATGAAAAAGGGTTTCAGGAAGGTAATATTCTGGGCTGCTGGGTAGAAAACCAAAGAAAGTGAGCTCACGTGGCCCCCAGCCTCCGCTGGGTAAACCGGCATTCGATCAGACAGGCAATGACTTTCGGGGCCGACTTTATCAATGTGGCCTCCAGCTTCAAATTAAACCGAAGGCCTGTCAGGCACTGGCAACAACTTACTCTCCAAGACTCAGGCCTCACTCTTGCCTTCTTCAGGAGTTTTATCACCATCAAACTGCACTGAGCATTAAATTGCCAGGCCAGAGTTTCTCAACCTATGTCCCCTGTGGAGGAGGAAAAAAAAAAGTCTGTACCACCACTCCCACAAGCTAACCGAATGGAGATGTCACCACCAGATGATAATCTCTACCACTCACAAGCAAACCCACACTACAGACAGACAGACACATGCACACACGCACACAGGCATATACTTGAGGATCACTAGGCTAGATAGGTTCATTTAATATCATAGAGTCCTGGAAAATGACCAGCATTGGAGCAACATTCATCTTATCTGGAGCTAGATGACAGCTGAAGTGAGGTATATGAGAGCAGACGGAGCTTTGTTTAAAAGGAAAAAAAAATCAACACTCAGATATGAGTTGCTGGAAAACAGAAGTAGGTCAGTTTGGGAAGTATTTCTGGAGCAAGTGCCTCAGACCCTTTATAATTTTCACAAAGCTATGCCTTTTAGACTTCAAAGAATAGTCCTCACATAGGCCATATATATATATGTGTGTGTGTGTGCGTGTGTATATATATTTATTATAAATATATTAATTTATATAATCATATATAAATATATTTATATATGTAAAGTTTTATATGTACATATATTAGCCTTACACAGGTTTATATATACATATATTACACAGTTTTTATATATATATATAACACAGGTTTGATATATACATATGTATATATGTATATGTAAAATATATACATGTATTAGCCTTACACAGGTTTTTTTCTCCCTAACAAAACACAGTTCATAACCTAGTCTAAATTTTTCTTTTAAAAATGGCCGGGTGCGGTGGCTTATGCCTGTAATCCCAGCATTTTGGGAGGCCGAGGCGGGCAGATCACCTGAGGTCAGGAGTTCGAGACCAGCCTGGCCAACATGGTGAAACCCCATCTCTACCAAAAAACAAAAATTAGCCAGGTGTGGTGGCAGGCACCTGTAATCCCAGCTACTTGGGAAGCTGAGGCAGGAGAATCGCCTGAACCCAGGGGACGGAGGTTTCAGTGAGCAGAGATCACGCCACTGGACTCCAGTCTGGCTAACAGAGCAAGACTCCATCAAAAAAAAAAATAAAAATAAAAATGTAGTAACTATGGTTAGAGCTTATAAACAAAATGTCACAGAACTTAATAGTTCTTTTCTCTTGATACTGTAGTACAATTAATGCAAAAAAAAATACTACTGTTGGATAACTCAGAACCAAGAGAGTAGCTCTGTTACACTACAGATGAATGAAACACACTTTGAAGAAGTTGTTTATATGAGTCCAAGATGTATAACAGCGGCACCATGGACACATTGCTCTTTTCCTTCATCAGTATCTCTATTTCCATCCTCTGTCAACTGTAGGTTCACAATAATTATTATCATATGTTAGAAATCACTTTACAAAAGCTGTTTCATTTACCAGTGCTAATAATCCTGTGGTAGTTATAAGAATCTATTTTATAGATGTGAAACCTGGGGTTAAGGGAGCTTAAGTGACTTGGTTGTATTTAGGGAGGTTAAGTAAAATGTGTCTGTCTGATTCCAGAGCCTGGGCTCTTTATTCATTATGCATTGCCTCCTCTAAAACATAGTATTTTTCTCTTTATCAAGAGGCCAGCCCACACACCTGATACAACCTTGTCATTTTTGTAGACGAGACATTACATTTACCATTCAAAATGAGGTGGTAGGGGTGATGCCACAGACACGCTGTCTCTCCTGTTTTCTATTTGCAGTAGAGTGAGGCTTGATATCAAGGTCAGTTTTATGAATCTTCCCTATGGAACCATGCTCAGAATGTGACATTATCCAGGAGATCCACTGCACATCCTGAAGACAGGTCAAAAAATTAAAGCCAGGCACAAAAAAACCTGAAAAAGATTCTAGCATATTGGGAAGGGCTGCATGTTACCATGGACTAATAAAAACTCTACAAACTGCTGTAGAGTCACTAGGCTTTGGCAGAGTGCCTAAGGAGTTCCTAAAGAAGTGAAGTATTCTGATTTTAAGTAGATAAACTCCATGCCATTCTATCATGGATATTCAGAGGCACTTTCCATTCTTCCTACTTCACATACCAAATCAAATCAAACAACATAACTGATAATCAAAGAACAAAACTGAATTAAATACATCCTCAAAGTTTACAAAGGTATAATCCCTCAAGGAGATAAAACTCTAATGATACCTTCAGTCTATATTCAACCAAAAACAATCACCAATAAAACTAAATTTAAGCCATCTGAAATGATATAACCCATGTAAAAAAAGAATTACCATTTTAATAATACTACATATTAATGTAATGATACTATATATTCACAGAGCACACTCACTTATCCCCTTTGATCCTCCCAACAACTCTATGAAGTTGGAAGGGCAGGTGTTATTATCATTTGTATTATCATGTCATCTCAATTTTTATTCAAATGAATACTGTTTCTAATAAATTGCAGCTAGCTTATCCATCTAGTAAACAGCAAGTGTAGGGTTCAAACTTGGGTATTCTACTGTTCTTTTTAACTATACAGAAATCTTTTTATTATACTTTTTATTATACTAGGAGTATAATACTATTTTCCTTCAGGAAAATAGCAGAAATTGTTGCCTGCATAGGACATTAAATTCCAGGCTTAACATTTGAGAGCTGATCTGAAGAATGGTCAAAATTGACCCATGATAGGTATCACCATTGTTTTCTGAGCAGTTTCTTTAAGCATCATCCACAAAGCTTCAGGTAATTTATGTTTTTCAATCAATGATGTATTCCTTCATGTTTTAGCTCAACTGATGTGTGTTTGCTTGGAACATATATTGCAACCTGCCTACCCAACATATTTTCCAAGCTTGGGATCACAGTTAAACATTGTACATGTTCAGAAAATGAAGAAACTAATATAACTGAACATCTGCCAGATTTAGCTATGACTGCTATGTTATAGCATTTTTTGCTTAAGAATACTGTATTAGACCAGGAATTAACAGGTGCAGTGGCTCATGCCTGCAATTCTGACACTTTGGGAGGCCAAAGTAGGAAGATGTCCTGAGGCCAGGAGGCCAAGAACTCAGCCTTTAGAGCAAAACAACCGGGTATGAAAAACCAGTACTGCCTTTTACTAGTTTGGGGACTTTGAGCAAATCAATGAACTTCATGAAGGCCCAGCTTCCTCCTCTGTAAAATAGGAATAAGAATAATGATCCCTTGCAGCAGGTCTAAGAACTGGAGGAGAGATTTTGTTCAAAAAACATAAAAGAACTGAAGCTTACCCTTTCTGCACTAATGTTTCATTTTTGCCTTAGTTTTAGGCAAGGGAGATCTTTCTAAAATGCATTGCACGTGACCCTGAATACTAAAACAGAGTTAGTGATCTTAGCTTAATCATTACTGATGACTCAGGCATTATTGTGAACAAGAACCCATCCTGCAATACAGCAATGTCTTGAAGTCCACTGACACATCAAGAGTTTGTCCTTGCAGCCGGGCGTGGTAGCTCACGCCTGTAATCCTGGCACTTTGGGAGGCTGAGGTGGGCAGATCACCTGAGGTCAGGAGTTCGAGACCAGCCTGGCCAACATGGGGAAACCGTGTCTCTACTAAAAATACAAAAATTAGCCAGGCATGGTGGCACATGCCTGTAATCCCAGCTACTAGGGAGGCTGAGGCCAGAGAATCACTTGAACCCGGGAGGCGGAGGTTGTGGTGAGCCGAGATCGTGCCATTGCACTCCAGCCTGGACAAAAGTGAAACTGTCTCAAAAAAAGAAAAAAAAAAAAAAAGAGTTTGTCCTTGCTCTAAACTATGCCCAGAGAGGTACACTTTCTCAACTACTGTGTCTACTTTCTAGTTTTTCCATTTCCCCTTCTGCTCTTGTATTTCACTTGTCCCTGCCTTGCCTGCTACTTTGGTTCCCCTGTGAACTGGGGAGCTCTACGAATTGCCGTAGAGTCACTCGGCTTTGGCAGAGTGCCTAAGGAGCTCCTAAAAAAGTAAAGTATTTTTATTTTAAGCAGATAAACTCCAAGCCATTCTATCCTCCACGCCATTGTTTCAGAGGCACTTTCCATACCTCCTACTTCTTTGACTGTGTTCCAAATAGTTACTATTGCCAAAGTGTCCTATGAATAGCAAAGTGTGATTGAAGATAATGTTTGAGTACATAAAGACAGACAAAAACCTGTGCTACCCAGATTCCATGGTTGGCTGCAGTAAGAAAAAAGAGCAAGCTGGGGCTTTGCCTAATGCCCTGGAGCCGCTGGGTATTGGGAGGTGCTTGGCCCCACCCTCCCTGTCCTCTACCCTAACTCCACCTTGGGTGTTGTTGCTGAGGCCACTGTCACCTTAGGCTTCAGGGAGCTGCATAGTGTTAACCCCTCGACCCAAGACTTTATATTTGCCTTGGAGACCAATTGGAATCTCCCTCAACTCTTGTATTTTTCCCTTACTTTTCACTCTGTTCTGCGGCCCACTTCCCAGGGCCAATGATAGTACCAAGCACAACAATGTTTTGGAATGAATGGGTGGATAGTTTCCTGGCAATCAATGCAGCCAGCTGAACTCATGACTGTCTCTTCTCTTCTCACTTAAGTCCTCATGACCCAGCTTGTTGTTCTGAGTCTGTGTGGGCTTCCGTCAGCACATTAGACTGGCCAGCCCTAAATGCTGAGTGTACAGTGAAATGTTATTTATAGCACTAAAATAGGTATTTGCCCCTATTCATTAGGCTCTCTTCTTATACTCCTAATGTATCATTGCTGCAACTTTCATTTCATTTTTAAACACTTTTCCATCATTATTGATTGATCTCCTTGAGTATCCTGTAAAGTAAGTTTTGATGTTCACAGAGATCACAAAAAAATCTACTAATAAGCACTCATGTCAGTTTCAAAGAAGGGGCCATCAAACTTAGCTGACCACAGGATTTGTTTTGTGTACATCCTTTAGAAGAAACCTTCCCCAGATTACTGTTCGGGAAACAGTGCTTTTGCTTATGAAAATGGACTCAACGTTCAGCAAATATTTATTAAAGAACTATTATTTATAAACACTGTTCTAGGTGTTTGGGATACACATCAATTAACAAACAAAATCATTCCCATCACAGAGCCTACACTCTGCCAGGGAAAGACATCAATGAAAAACATTTAAAATAATATTATGATGTTAGATGATAATAAGTGCATAGAAAAACAGAAAAGCACAGCAGAGTAAATACTGCAGCCCATATGTTGCATTATTTAATAGGGTGGTCAAGATTGGCCTCATTGAGAAGGCCACATTTAATCAAAGACTGGAAGGAGGTGAAGGAGTTAACCAAATAGATTTCTAGGTAAAGCACATTCCAGAAAGAGGAACCATCTAGAGCAAAGGCCCTAAAACAGGAGCAGGCCTGGCAAAATGGAAAAACATTTGTCTGGCCAGTAAGGCTGGAGCAGAGTGACTGAGGAGAGAGAGAAAGGAAATGAACCCAAGAGGTATGGGGAGGCAGCCCACGGGAGATTGGGGCCATTGCAAATGGCTTGAGCTGTTCCTCTGATTGCTATGGGAGTTATTGCTGGGATATGAGCTGAGGATTATATATTATATCTGGTTTATATATATATATTTTAAATCACTCTGGCCACATGTTGAGAACAGACAGTGAGGAACACAAAGAGTGAAGCAAGGGAACCAATTAAGAGGCTATTTCAGGACTCCAGACAAGAAACTGGAGTGGGAGGAGTGGGGATGGTAACAGGGAAGAAGATGAGAAGTGATGAGCTTCTGGCTACAAATCTTGGATGATAATGTGTCTTGGTTCGTTTGGGCTGCTGTAACAAAATACCTTAGACTAGGCCGGTGAGGTGGCTCACGCCTGTAATCCCAGCACTTTGGGAGGCCGAGCCAGGTGGATCACTTGAGGTCAGGAGTTCGAGACCAGCCTGGCCAACATGGTGAAACCCCGTCTCTACTAAAAATACAAAATTAGCTGGGCATGGTGGTAGGTGCCTATAATCCCAGCTAATTTGGAGGCTGAGGCAGGAGAATCACTTGAGCCTGGGAGGCAGAGGTTGCAGTAAGCCAAGATCGTGCCACCGCACTCCAGCCTAGGCAACAGAATGAGACTCCATCTCAAAAGAGAAAAAAAATATATCTTAGACTAGGTAATTTATAAGCAGAAATTTATTGTTCACAGTTCCGGGGGCTGGAAAGTTCAAGATCAAGGTGCCAGTAGATTCAGTATCTAGTGAGGCATTGCTCTCAGCCTCAAAGAAGGCACCTTCTACCTGTGTCCCCACTTGTCAGGAGTGAACAAGTTCCCTTGGGGCTTTTTTATTTTTTAATTTTTATTATTACTATTTTTTTTTTGAAACAGGGTCTTGATCTTTCACCCAGTCTGGAGTGCAGTGGCACGAGCTCAGCTCACTGAAGCCTCCGCTTCGCCTCCTGGGTTCAAGTGATTCTCCTGCCTCAGCCTCCTGAGTAGCTGGGATTACAGGCACCTGCCACCACACCCGGCTAATTTTTGTACTTTTTTTTTTTTTTTTTTGAGATGGAGTTTCCCTCTTGTTGCCCAGGCTGGAGTACAATGGCAAGATCTCAGCTCACTGCAACCTCTGCCTTCCAGGTTCAAGTGATTCTCCTGCCTCAGCCTCCCGAGTAGCTGGGATTACAGGCATGTGCCACCACGCCCAGCTAATTTTGTATTTTTAGTAGAGACAGGGCTTCTCCATGTTGGTCAGGCTGGTCTTGAACTCCTGACCTCAGGTGATCTGCCCGCCTTGGCCTCCCAAAGTGTTGAGATTACAGGCGTGAGCCACCGTGCCCAGCCTCTGGCCGCTTTTATAAGGGCACTAATCTCATTCATGAGGCTGGAGCCTTTATGACCTAATCACCTCCCAAAAGCCCCATCTCTTAATACTACGGCATTGCAGATTATGTTTCAACATAACAATTTTGGGGGCATGCATTCAGACCAAAGCATAATGCCTATGTCCTACCACATTGGAGTTATTGCCAAAAATAGAACTAACCCTACCCACTTTGGACTCGTTTTATTGCTTTTTCTTTTTTTTCAACCTCTGCATGTAGCATTCAAACCTTTATTGCTTAGAGTCTTTTATTGCAAGAGAAGGCAGAGGGGAGCCAACTTAATCACTTACATGCTTTTGAGCATTATACTTTAAAAGTTATTTCCGTTAATATTAAACACAGTAAAGGAGAATTATCTCACTTTATACCTACCAATAATTCAAGACATTTTTCAGCATATTCATTTGCTAGCATCTTTGGTTAGCATATTTATTTATTAAGTTGAAGTTGACAGAGGCATATTTTGCATATTGCTTGTGCAGACACATATGTATCCTAGATCCCACCAAAGCCACTCTGTCTTGTGGAATTCAGATAAATTAACCCAAGCCAAAGATTGTATATTGTATGCAAAGTCCTATGCCAGCTGCAAGATTTTACCAATGCCTGGGCATTTCTCTCATCTAGACCCCTGTTCCTGGTCCTTCTGGGTCCTCACCTGCTTCTCTCTTTCCCTCCATCCACATTTAGCATCTGTGTGTGACCATATATTGAAGACGTAAAAGGACCAGGGAATCCATGTTGCAGACATTCAAAAGCCTTAACATTCCATAATGGATGTCACTATTTCTAAAAGATGCTTCGGCATCCCTTCTACTAGCAAATTTTGCACTTTCTCCTTTCTCTATAGGTGCAGCCCCAGCTAGGTTCCTTGGTTACTCCCTCCCGCCCTATTCTCCTCCCGACTCCCCTCTGCTTTCCTCTATACCTAAATTCTTTCATGTTTAATTTAAAACTACTAACCTATCTCTTTGCCTACCAAGCTGCTTAAAATCCAGCCCCTAAAGGAGCTTATTGTTTCCCTCCATAAACAAGACCATTCTGAAAGAAATTCTCCTACTAGTTGTGAACATTTTACATTTTCCTCCAATTCTCACACTGATAGAGCTCAGATCATATCCAACAAAGCATCTTGGCATTTGAGAAAATGACAGAGGCAGAAGGTCACTCTCACTTTCCCTTCACCTTTCTTTGCTGAAGCAGGTCATAAAACCTTCATTCAAGAGGTGCCCTCCCTGAAGCTGGGAGAAGACACAGGGACACAGAGAGGAATCTGAACGCACGTGCCTTGCTAAGCTCCCCCAGTTTATTTCCATTAGATCAGACGCCCTTTGACCAATCACACTTCCACAGGAGTATCCACTTCATCAAGCCTAAGCATAAAAACACACAGGTTTCCCTGTGTCTTTGGGTCTTTATTTCTTAAGGCTCCTGTGTCATGTGTAACTTACATTAAATAAATGCAGATGCTTTTCTCCTGTTGATCTGCCTTTTGTTATAAATGCCTCAGCCATGAACCTAGTAATGAGTGAGGAAAAGAAATCCTTCCTCCCCTACAATGCCTATAAACCGAAACTTCCTGGGCTACAGCGTTCAAATAACACTGCCCCATGAACTTTGTCGATTTTTTTAAACCTTATTTAGTGAGAGATATGTCATATGTATGTGTAATCATATATATAATTTAAACAAAAATAGACTATTAGTTTAATAGATGTAGTAGATTTTTTAAAACTTTAGTGAGAGATATATCATATGTATAATATATATAATTTAAACAAAAATAGTCTATTAATATCATAATATATATAATTTTTGTTTGTTTGTTTTTTTAGATGGAGTCTCACTCTGTTGCCCAGGGTGGAGTGTAGTGGCGTGATCTGGGCTCACTGAAACCTCCACCTCCTGGGTCAAGCAATTCTCCTGTCTCAGCCTCCTGAGTAGCTGGGATTACAGGTGCCTGCCACCATGCCCAGCTAGTTTTTGTATTTTTAGTAGAGACGGGGTTTCACCATATTGGTCAGGCTGGTCTCAAACTCCTGACCTCAGGTGATCCACCCGCCTTGCCTCCCAAAGTTCTGTAATTACAAGGCATGAGCCACTGTGCCCAACCAATTTTATATATATATAAATACATATAATATATATACACATATATAATTATATATAAAATTATATATATATAAAATAATTTAAAATAGCCTAATAGTCTATTAGCCTGGTGTGGTGGCACACACCTGTCGTCCCAGCTACTTGCAAAGCTGAGGCTGGAGGGATGCTTGAGCCCAAGAGCCCAGGAGTTTGAGGCTGCAGTGAGCCAAGATCATGCCATTGCACTCCAGCCTGGGCAACAGACCAAGACCCTGTCTTAAAAAAAAAAAAAAAAAAAAGTCTAATAAAACAGACACCCATTTTAAGAAGTAAAACATCAGAAATTCCATCCACAGTGTTCTTCAAGCCAAGCAAGCACCCCACCCCACCCGCCCCTACTGCCCCACGTACTCAAGGACTTTCTGAGGGCACATAGGCATCAACCATTAAAATGGTTGGTGTTAGGAATCTACTAGGAATTATTAGATACCTCAATTCCATATATACTTTTTCCTGCAACCGATTTGCCTGACGACTCCTGAGTTCACAATAGCTCTCCTTGCACTTGACCAAGGCATTCATTGTAAATCTCACAATAGAACAGGGGCCCTGGGTGAGAACCAGCTCAGCTCCAGATGATCCCTGTCTCCTGAGGGATTAAGTAAGGCCCCATAAACCTACAGGACATTCTGTGTCTCCCATTTTATACATACTCCTGTAAAGGGTCAAGCATGGTTTTTAGAATTGAGTATTTGGGGCCCTGTTAAGATGTTCTCAATTCAGACATATGATGGTGATAAGGACAAAGGCATGGGGGATGACCATGAAAACTTTCACCTCTTCCTTCCCCAGCCCATTTTCAAGAATGAGGAAGTGTCCTGGGAGAGAAAACAGAAAGAGAGGGGGTAAGAAATACTCAGCACTAAGTACTTGGGCTTTTATTTTCTGTATAAGTAGAAGAACTTCTTTTCAGCTATGCTCAGTACTTTCTTAGGATGTGTCATTTACCGGAAATAAAAACATCTTGATCAGCTGAAACAGAAAGGGTGATTTTGGTTTTTTTCAATGTAACTGGAATATTTTTGGGAACTGCCAAAATTTTCATGATAACTTTGGATAAAAATCCAAAGATAAAACTTGTATGGAATTTCTTTCAGCTTTGGTATGTGTTATTCAAGGTAGTAATTAAAACCTATTTTAGCAATTAAGAAATGTTTTGTAATTAAAGTGATTTTTCATTTTATTTCATCCTATAAAATGCTTACCATTTTCTATCTCTATGAATAAAAAAATTTTTAAATAAAGTAACCCCTAGTCCCTGCAGTTCTTACCAGTGTAAACTTTTATCTTTGTTAAAACCATTTTCTTACCATTTTCTACCTCCTATGAATAAAAAATTTTTAAATAAGGTAATCCCTAGTCCCTGCCGTTCTCACCAGTATAAACATTTATCTTTGTTAAAACCATAGAAAAAGCAAAATCATTATTCTTCTCATCAAGAGATGTATTTCCATTAAATTTTACTTTTTATGTTTAATGATTATCAATATTTATAATGTTTTTATGGATTTTTGATAAAATGTGTACTGATAATAATCATAAAGATAACTCAAAGAATTTTTATCCTAGAGCTTTCTAACTTCAGGAAATGAGATAAATGTTAAGAATTACAATTATGAGCATATTTTGTTTTGAATAAATACGATGGTGTTAACAGAAGACATTCAACCATAAAATGTATTATATTAGGATAAAAGTCTATGGAGGAATAGACTAGAAATAGGACTCAAGTAGAAAAGAAGAAGAATTACTTTTGTAATGCTAAAGAGCTTATTCATGAATGTTTTCCATTGTTGGATGGTATTAGTATCAACTTATAGTTTTAGATTCCATAGGATACTCTTAAAAGAGATACAAGGTTTATTTTAAAATTTATTTATGTATTTATTTTTAGAGACAGGGTCTTTCTCTGTCACCCAGGCTGGAATTGCAGGGGCCCAATCATAGCTAACTGCAGGCTCGAATTCCCAGGCTCAAGCAACCCTCCCACCTCAGACTCCTGAGTAGCTAGGACCACAGGTGCGTGCCACCACAACTGGCTACTTTTTTAATTTTTTTGTAGAGATGGGGATCTCACTATATTACCCAAACTGGGCTCAAACTCCTGGGCTCAGACAATCCTCTTACCTCGGTGTTGGGATTTACAGGCATGAGCCACTGCGCCCGGCCTATTTTATTTTTGAATGTCAATATTTGCAACATGCTAGAATTTACATTCTTTGCAACTATTGCAATTTATGATGAAAAATTTTAGATGTTGACTTTAAAATGTAGGAGCAAATTCATAGTTTTTCAAAATTCTTTAAGGGAGAAGTGAACAAAATGTTCGAAAGCCAGTGCCTTTATGAAACCTTAGATGCCCCTTCTCACTGTGTCACCATCTTCCTAAAGCAAAAATGATTCGAATTTTGTGTTATTTACTTTCTTCTTTTTGTAGCTTTATCTCATACGTACATATCTCTAGGCATATGTTGTTGGGTTTATCTGTTTTGACTTTTGTGTGACTCCTCTGTTACTTGTCGGTTTCTTTTTTCTTTTTACTCAATATTACATTTGTGAGAGTCATCCATACAAGATATGTTAAAATAGCTTAATCATTTTCACTGCTGTATAATATTCTTTTGAATAAACTATACCACAATTCATTTAACAATTATTTGGTCAATTGACATTTGAGTGGTTTCCAGATTTCTAGTTTTATTTTTTATTTTTCATTATTATTATTTTTAGAGTCAGAGTCTCACTCTGTCACCCAGGCTGGAATCATGGCTCACTGCAGCCTCAAACTCCTAGGCTCAAGCGATCCTCCCACCTCAGCCTCCTGAGTAGCTAGGACTATAGGTGCACACCACCACACCCAGCTGAGATTTTTAGTTTTAATGCTGTCATGAATATTCTTGACTCCTGGTAACCAAGTACAACAATTTTTCTATAGTATATACTTAGGAGTGAATATTTCTGGGTCATGGCCTGAATGCACATTCAACATTACAAAATAAGGCCAAATTGTTTTCCAAAGTGATTGTACCAGTTTAACCTACCTCTAGCAGTGTGTCAGACTACAGATGTCCCAGATTCTCACTAACACTTGGTATTGTCAGTCTTTTTGATTATTGCCAAACAGGAGAGAGTGAGGTGCTTTTATTATTTTTTATTTGTATTAATGAAGGCAAACATCTCTTCATTTGTTTCTTGACCATTCATTTCTCTTCTTCTCTGAAATATGTATTCATGCCTACGTTATTGCATAATTTTTATGTTTTGTCTATTTCCTTATTTTTTCAGGTCTAGTGCAGTGTAATTGACAAACAAAAACTGTATATATTCAAGATGTGCAACCTGATAATTTTTAGGACATATTGGTTTATCTGACAGTTAATTTAATGTGTCAACTTGATTAGGCTAAGGGATGCCCGGTTAGCTGACAAAATATTAATTTCTGAGTGTGTCTGTAAGTGTGTTTCTGGAATAGATTAGCAGTTGAATTGGTAGGTTGAGCGAAGATCTCCCTCACCATTGTAAGTGGGCATCCTCTAAACTGTTAAGGGCCCAAATAGAACAAAAGGGAAAAGGAAGGGCAAATTTGTTCTCTTTCATTGAGCTGGGACATCCTCTTTCCTCTGCCCTCAGACATAAGCACTCCTGGTTCTTGGGCTTTGGGACTTGGACTGGGATCTATACAATTGGGTCTCTGGTTCTCGGGCTTTTGAGGTTGGACTGGAACAACATCACTGGCTTTTCTGAGCTCCCAGCTTGCAATGGCAGACTGTGGGACTTTCCAGCCTCCATAAACATGTGAGCCATACCTTCACAATATCTGTCTGTCTGTCTGTCTGTCTGTCTATCTATCTATCTATCTATCCACCTATCTATCCATCCATCCTGTTGGTTCTGTTTCTCTGGAGAACCCTGACTGGTATAGTTGCCTAATATGTTTTTTGTTTTGTTTTCTTTTGAGACAGGGTCTCACTTTGGTACCCAGGCTGGAGTGCAGTGGCATGATCACAGCTCACTGCAGCCTCAACTTCCTGAGCTAGAGCAAATCTCCCACCTTAGCCTCCTGAGTAACCGGTACTACAGGCACACACCCCCACACTCAGCTAATTTCTTTTTCTTTTTTTTTTTTGTAGAGTCAGGGTCTCGTTGTGTAGCCCAGGCTGGTCTCAAATTCCTGGGCTCAAGCACTCCACCTGCCTCAGCCTCCCAGAGTGCTAGGATTGCTGGTGTGAGCTACCACACCCAGCCCTAACATATTTTAAAGTTTGGTTTTATATTTAAGTCATTGGCTAATCTGGAATTAATTCTTGGGTATAATATGAGGTAGAGATCACATTTAATTTTTTTCCACATAGATAATCATTTTTCCCAGAGCCTTTTTATTTTTGCTCCCCTTTTTCCCCCATGATCTACAATTCCGGTTTTGTCCTATATCAAGTTTATATTTATGCATTGATCTGTTTCTAAGCTCACTATTTTATTCTACTGTTTGTCTACCCTGAGCTTATATCCCAATGTCATAATGACTACATATGTGTTTTAAATCTTGGTATCTGGTGGGACAAGTTCTCTGACATAGTTCTTCAGGAGCATATTGACTGACCTGGGATGTTCCTCTTCCACGTGTATTTTACAACCAGTTTGTTGATTTCATGAAAAACTCCATTGGGATTTGGTTGGAATTTTACTGAATCTATTTCTCAATCTGTGGAGAATCAAAATCTTTATGATAGTTCTTTTGCTCTTTTGCTCCATAAGTATGATATTTCTCTCCACTTATTCAACTCTTTTTTAAGATTTTGAATAAAGTTTTATAATTTTCTGCATAAATCTTATAATTTTTATTAGATGTATTTCAGAACTTTACATTTTCTGTCACAATTATAAATGTTCTCCTTTTTTTAACATTACTTGTTCTGTTTGTTGCAATTTACTTTTTTTTTTTTTTTTTTTTTTTTTTTGAGATAGGATCTAACTGTGTAGCCCAGGCTGGAGTGACGTGGTGCAATCATATCACACTGCAACCTCAACCTTCTGGGCTCAGGCAATCTTCCTATCTCAGCCTCCTGAGTAGCTAGAACTACAAAGGCCACACCACCAGGCCTGGCTAATTTTTAAAAAAAATTTTGTAGAGATAGGGTCACGCTTTGTTGCCCAAGTTGTTCTTGAACTCCTGGCCTCAAGTGACCCTCCTACCTTGGCCTCCCACAGTGCTGGGATTACAGGTGTGAGCCACCACACTCAGCCTAGACTGATAAATTTCTTCTTCTTATTCTGTTAAACTGGCTAGGCCCTCTAATACTTTTATAAAGAATTTGATAAGATATAGTCCTTCTTCTTGGAGTGCTTCACTGGGGGAAATAAACACATCAATATCGTACAGTGTGACAGGATATAGTAACAGTTTGTATAAGGTGTATGGAAACTAAGGCAATATTTAATTCCTCCTTAGAAAACAGGGATCAGGTCCTGCTATGTGTTTATCATTGTAGCTTAAAAGTACAAATTCGCCGGGCGCAGGGCTCACGCCTGTAATCCCAGCACTTTGGGAGGCCGAGGCAGGCAGATCACGAGGTCAGGAGACCAAGACCATCCTGGCTAACATGGTGAAACCCCGTCTCTACTAAAAATACAAAAATTAGCCGGGCGTGGTGGCATGGCAGGCGCCTGTGGTCCCAGCTGCTTGGGAGGCTGAGGCGGGAGAACAGCGTGAACTCGGCAGGCGGAGCTTGCCGTGAGCTGAGATCTGCCATTGCAGTCCAGCCTGGGCGACAGAACGAGACTCCGTCTCAAAAAAAAAAAAAAAAAAAAAAAGTGCAAATTAACATTTTACAAATTGAAGTCAGTTATATAAGCATTCACAATATTATTTATTTATTTATTTTGAAACAGAGTTTCGCTCTTATTGCCCAGGCTGGAGTGCAATGGCGTGATCTCAGCTCACCGCAACCTCTGCCTCCCCTGTTCAAGCGATTCTCCTGCCTCAGCCTCCCGAGTAGCTAGGATTACAGGCATGCACCACCACGCCCGGCTAATTTTGTATTTTTAGTAGATATGGGGTTTCTCCATGTTGGTCAGGCTGGTCTCGAACTCCCAATCTCAGGTGATCCGCCCACCTCAGTCTCCCAAAGTGCTGGGATTACAGGCATGACCCACCGTGCTCGGCCACATTCACGATATCTTACAACAGAGGTAGAAAATTGCTTTTGAAATAGGAAGACAGATATAAAACCAAGAATCATTTTATTTATTGAACATAAACCTATAACGCTCTTACCCAACATTGTCCCAGGCCATACAGATACAATGTTGTGCAGACACCGTCCCTGCTGTTGGTTATTAACTGAGTGGGGGAGAGGGGGCACTCTATTTAAAGACTGAAAAGTCTTCCTGTCAACTGGTTTTTCCAAGAAAATAACAAACATATGGGACTCATGTGTAACCCATGACAGATACTATGGAAATACCATATTGGTTGAAACTTTTGCTCGTTATTGATTTAAAATCTGCCTTTCTGACGGAGGTTTGCAGTAAGCCAAGATTGCACCAATGCACTCCAGCCTGGGTGACAGAGTGAGACTCTGTCTCAAAAAATAAAATAAAAATAAAATAAAATAAAATCTGCCTTTCTGAAACTCTTAACGACTATTCCTAATTCTGCCAAAGAAAAGAAAATGATAAAATAAAATATATTTTCTTCCATTTGACAGTAATTAAAGTATGTGGAAGACATTTTTTCTCTCTTCTAAGCCTTCGTTTTTCTTGGCTGAACCTCTATTTTTTCAAGAATAGGGTGATGTTAAATCCTGTGCTCTCCTAGCCACCCTCCTCCTGAGAGCCCATGTTTATCCCTGTCTCTCATGAAAACCATCCTTCAAAACTGAAAATTATCTCCCAAGTGATATATAACCAGTGCAGAGTAGATGGAAACTATCATCAGCTATTTGTGGAAGTTAAAAATATCCCTTTCGGACAGAAGTGAATTTCCATCGGTTCATTTGGTTCCTCAGTGTAGAACTCAGACCTATCTTTATGTATTTCAGGAAATCAGATTTCAATTTCATACAAGTAAGAACTTCTACTGCGAGCCTTTTTCACACAAATAACTGTTAGACCATGTCTCCCAATCCTATACTTACCAATTAGTACTTACCCTTTGTAGTCATGTTTTCATTGTTTCTTTCAGTTGCAAATGACAGGAATCCCAATTCAAATATTCTTAGAAAATTAAAAAAAAAAAAAAAACAGGAAGGAGATTTACTGGCTTTTACATAATCCAGTCAGATAACTGGAAGTCCAAGGGCATTTACCCTTCAGACGCCTCTCAGTGCAGGCCCTCAATGTTTTGAGGATTGGCCTTTTGACATCTTCCGGGTTTCCTTTCCTCTATGAAGGCTCTGTGCTCAAGCAGTGCTCCCCTTAAGGTGGCAAGGTGGCTGCCTGGAATTTGGGGTTAGCACCCTATCCTCTCACCAACCAGAGTGATTCTGTCTTCCCAACAGAAATCCCAGGATGGGGTCTCATTGGCTCTGGGCGGGTCTCGTGACATCTCTGAACCAAGCAAGGGATGCACCTCTCTAATTGGCCAGGCCTGTACCATGTGCCCATCCATGGATCTAGAAACTGAATTAGCTCAACCCAATCTCAACCCAATCCTTTTAGACCGAAAGTGGGGGAAGGGTAGTTTCCTAAAGAAGGGAGAATGGTTATTAGGCTTTCAATAAAAACAGATGTCTATTTCAGCTCTACATTTTGGTTATATGAACCCCTGTTAAATATTTTTCTAATTCCCATTAGAAATGGGAATCCCATTTTCCTAATTCTAATGTCAGTGTCTTCAATAGCTTGCTCTACGGTTTTGGTTAAATCATTTAACCCCTCTGAGTTAATTTACTCACTAAAATGAAGGAGAGAAGAAAGTGAAATAATCCTAAAGCTCTTTTCACTCTCAATTCCCTCATTTTGTGATATATGTGTTAAGTGAGTGGAGGGAAACAAGATTTAAATGTATTCTCAATTGAAAACAATGATCATATTAAAATTCCTGTGGCTACAGGGTTTTTCAAGTGTGCTAGCTCCCTGGGAATCCCTAAATTAAATTCTAGAAATTGTCGTTGAGTGCCTACAATCAATTAATTGGCAAGCACTCTTATAAATGGAAAAAGGCTCTTGGGAAGTATTCAAGAGAGGAATTCTGATTTCATAATTGCAAATGATCACCAAAAAAGAAAAGAAGATGGGAATCTAAAGAAATAGCTTTAATTGCAGGCTCTATTAAACTCTGAGTTTTCAAAAGATAAGAAAGATAGGAGGAAAAAAAAAAGCAGAAGGGAAAAATGATATTGACCTATAAGAAATACCAGGAAATCCACAATCCAGAATAATCTGAGGCGTGCCTTGTGAGATACGGCACGGTGTGTGAGAAAGACAAACAGAGGTTTGGATTTAGAAGAACTGCATGTACAGGTTGTCTCTGCACTTACTGTTTGCTGGTTGCAGAAACCTGAGCAACTTACTGGCCCATCTGAGCCTGTTCCTCCTCTGTAAAATGGATATAAAATTAAGGATCACATAAAATTAAACCCCTGACACTAAAAAGTCACTCAATGGACTCTCCTTCTTTCTTCAATAGGCCTGACCTTGTAAACATTTGTTTCCATGACTTGTCTAAAATCATAGAGACATTCCCTTGATACCATAAATGATATGAAACTAAAGGGATAGGAATTATATTAGATAACAGTTGAAGTCCAGAAAGATCTTCTATTACCAAGAGTCCTTCAGCCTTAGTGTTTTGAAAGTCCTGTTTTGGAGATAAGGAGATCAAGTAACTTGCATGAATTTATATAAAGCAAATAAGTGGCAGCATGGATCTTTGGTATCCCTTAAACAATTGGAACCTCGGTTGCCACAACTATAAAATTCAAATAATTATATTTACCTATTTTATACATTATTCTGAAAAGCAAATTAAATCTCTTTGCAGAAAACTTAAAATATAAAGCACTGTATAAAACTGCTCATTCAGGGATGCCATGTGCAGATGTGCATTGCACAAAGGGCTGCATAGAAGGGGACACCGTTCACTTTATAGACATAGATTTGTACGTGTAGTGCAACAGCTTGCTGATTGGTGGCAACAAAATGCCTCATGATACAAAATTGATAATTAACAATTTCCAACGGAAGAAAATGTCTTGAAAAGAAAGAGCCCTTTTTTTTCCTAATTTGCACAAAAGTACCTTAAAAGCTAGCAATGTTCCCATGGTTAGTTATTACAATTAAGTCCAAAACACAGAATAAATGTTATACATAAAAACTATAGAGAAGAGGCTTGGCATGGTGGCTCATGCTTGTAATCCCAACACTTTGGGAGGCTGACATGAGAGCATCACTTGAGGCCAGGATTTTGAGAACAGCCTGGGTAACATAGCAAGACCCCATCTCTAATAGACATATACGTGTGTGTGTGTGTGTGTATACTCTAATATATATAATCTCTAATATATATATTATATATATATATATAATATATATATATATAATATATATATATATATTATATATATATATATATAATATATATATATATATAAATTTATGTATATGGCACACACCTGTAGTCCTGACTACTTGGGAGGCTGAGGTGGGAGGATCACTTGAGCCCAGGAGTTTGAGGCTGCAGTGGGATATGACTGCACCACTGCACTCCAGCCTGGACAACAGAGCAAAACCTTGTCTCTAAAAAAATTTGTTAAATAAATAAATAAATTAAAAACCATAGAGAAGAGTGTTTGTAAAAATCATAACTCTGAAAACAAAATGGGCAGTGAGTTTCCTGTCCCTTGAGGTATTCAAGTAAACGCTGACTCACCCTTAATAAGGGTATTCTACTACAAATGTCTAGATCAAGTGAAAAGATGGAATTAATAATCTCTACAGGAAAGAGAGTTAACGCTTATTAAGCAACAACTATGTGCATAGGTGCTAGAACCTTCACATACTGTTATCTCATTGAATTCTGATAAGAGTCCTTCAGCCTTCATGTTTTGAAACTCCTGTTTTAGAGATGAGGTGATCAAGTAACTGGCACGAATTCATACAAAGCAAATAAGTGGCAGCATGGAACTGTCAGACTCTGTTGGTTTCCTACAACTGCTATAATAAATTACCACAAACCTAGTGGCTTAAAAACAACACAAATGGCTCGGACGCGGTGGCTCACACCTGTAATCCCAGCACTTTGGGAGGCCAGGGTGGGTGGCTCACTTGAGGTCAGGTGTTCAAGACCAGCCTGGACAATATGGTGAAACCCCATCTCTACTAAAAATACAAAAATTAGCTGGGCATGGTGGCACGCGCCTGTAATCCCAGCTACTCGGGAGGCTGAGGCAGGAGAGTCGCTTGAACCTGGGAGCCAGAGGTTGCAGTGAGCCAAGATCATGCCAGTGTACTCCAGCCTGGGCGACAAAGTGAGTCTTGGTCAAAAAACAAACAAACAAACAAAAAAACCACGAATGTATTATTGAAAGGTGACAGCGTGCTGTCAGCCCTCGCACCCTCGCTCGCTCTCGGCACCTCCTTGGCCTTGGCGCCCACTCTGGCTGCGCTTGAGGAGCCCTTCAGCCCGCCGCTGCACTGTAGGAGCCCCTTTCTGGGCTGGCCAAGGCCAGAGCCGGCTCCCTCAGCTTGCAAGGACGTGTGGAGAGAGAGGTGCGGGTGGGAACCGAGGCTGCGCGCGGCACTTGAGGGCCAACGCGAGTTCCAGGTGGGCGTGGGCTCGGCGGGCCACGCACTCGGAGCGGCCTCAGCCCGCAAGCCCCGGGCAGTGAGGGGCTTAGCACCTAGACCAGCAGCTGCTGTGCTCGATTTCTCGCCGGGCCTTAGCTGCCTCCCCGCAGGGCAGGGCTCAGGACCTGCAGCCTGCCATGCCTGAGTCTCCCCGCCCCCGCCGTGGGCTCTTCTGCGGCCTGAGCCTCCCTGACGAGTGCCACCCCCTGCTCCACAGCGCCCGGTCCCGTCGACTGCCCAAGGGCTGAGGAGTGCGGGTGCACGGCGGGGAACTGGCAGGCAGCTCCACCTGCACCCCAGTGCTAAATCCACTGGGTGAGGCCAGCTGGGCTCCTGAGTCGAGTGGGGACTTGGAGAACCTTTGTGTCTAGCTAAGGGGTTGTGAGTGCACCAATCAGCACTCTGTGTAGCTCAAGGTTTGTGAACACACCAGTCAGCACCCTGCCTAGCTAGCTCAGGGTTTGTGGATGCACCAATCGGCACTCTGTATCCAGCTAATCTGGTGGGGACTTGGAGAATCTTTATGTCTAGCTAAGGGATTGTGAATACACCAATCGGCACTCTGTATCTAGCTCAAGGTTTGTAAACACACCAATCAGCACCCTGTGTCTAGCTCAGGGTTTGTGGATGCACCAATCGGCACTCTGTATCTAGCTAATCTGGTGGGGACTTGAGGAATCTTTATGTCTAGCTAAGGCATTGTGAATGCACCAATCGGCACTCTGTATCTAGCTCAAGGTTTGTAAATGCACCAATCAGCACTCTATGTCTAGCTCAGGGTTTGTAAATACACCAGCGGACACTCTATATCTAGCTAATCTAGTGGGGACGTGGAGAACTTTTGTGTCTAGCTCAGGGATTGTAAATGCATCAATCAGCACACTGTCAAAATGGACCAATCAGCTCTCTGTAAAACAGAACAATCGGCTCTCTGTAAAATGGACCCATCAGCAGGATGTGGGTGGGGCCAGATAAGCGAATAAATGCAGGCTGCAGAGCAACTTCAGTCCCCAGGCTAGCAAAGCCGCAAACCCATCGGGAGGAATGAGCAAATCCAGATGTGCTGGCTTAAAAGTTACAACAGCACAAACGTTTGCAGTTTCACTCCTGAGCTCAGTGAGACCAGGAACCCACCCGAAGGGAGAAACTGAATTTCCGAAGAAAATCTGGACTCACTGCCTTTAGAAACTGTAACAGCATGAGGGTCTGTCACTTCATTCTTGAAGTCAGTGAGACCAAGAACCCATCAATTCTGCCTCACACAATTTTGAGGTTCAGAAGTCCAAAATGGGTTTCGCTGGCTTAAAATTGAGGTGTCAGCTGGGCTACATTCTTTTCTGGAGGGTCTAGAGGAGGATCTATTTTCTTACCTTTTCAACTTCTACAAGCTGCCCGCAATCAAGGACTCTCAGCCCCCTTCCATCTTCAAAGCCAGCAGTGGTTGGCTGAGTCTTTCTCATATTCAACGCTTTGACATTGACTCTTCTGCCTCTCTTTCAGAGCCCCTCATGCTTATATTAGGCCCACCTGGATAATATCCCTACTCTCAGAACAGCTGATTAACAACCAACATCCCAGCTGCAACGTTAAATTCCCCCTGCCCAGGAACCTAACATATTAACGGGTTCTGGGAATGAGGACACGGACATCCTTGGGGTCTGTTATTCCACCTCCACGAACTTTAAAGCCTATGTTTTTTTGTTTGTCATACTCCCTTCTCACAAGGTCTCTTAATGTCTTTTCCAATTCTAAAAGTAAAAGTCATGGTCCCTGCTTTTGAGCTTCCAGAGAGGTTAGGGTGGTGAGGCCAACCTGAGTACAGTGCGGTGCTCAGTTCAGGTCTGTCAGTGAAAAGGCCTGTGATGGAAACCACAGCTGTACTCAGTTTACAAATTCCCTCGCTATGCAAACCTAATGCACATCTTTAGTTCTATCAAGCTGTGGTCATAAGATAACTTGCTGTGTGGATACAGATAGGGTGTAGAACTAACTGATTTGGGGGTTGCGTTGAAGAAAGAAAATGATGTCCCAGAGGCAGTGGGGGGTGGGGGGGGGGACGGGGCCGGTGTTGAGGAGAAAGTGGCAGTAAGGTCCTGTGAGAGAGGCCGAGGGGCACTTTGGAGGGCAAAAGAGGTGGCCACAGAGAAGTCAGAAGAACCCTTTCTTAGTACCAACGCCTCATGGTCAGGCCAGAGCCTGGAACCCTCTCGATGAAGTTTCTGGCAAGAAGAATGCCCTCAAAATTCAAAACGCTTCTGCTTCATTCTTTGTGAGCCAGCAAGTTTAGAAAAGGGGCCTTCCATAAAGACTAAAGCAATCGTGGAAATTCTTAATGATGTTATGAGAACCGCAAGGTGAGCACTTTGGGTGGTGGTGGTGAGAGTAAAGAAGAATTCCATGGTAGAAGAAACTAAAAAAAAAGGGGATGGGGGTCTAAAAAGAACAGGCCAGGCGTGGTGGCTCACACCTGTAATCCCAGCACTTTGGGTGGCCGAGGCAGGTGGATCACCTGAGGTGAGGAGTTGGAGACAAACCTCACCTTGTTGGCCAACATGGTGAAACCCTGTGTCTACTAAAAATACAAAAATTAGCTGGGCATGGTGGCACGCGCCTGTAATCCCACCTACTCAGGAGGCTGAGGTGAAAGAATCGCTTGAACCCAGGAGGCGGAGGTTGCAGTAAGCTGAGACCACACCATTGCACTCCAGCCTGGGCGACAGAGCAAGACTCCATCTCAAAAAAAAAAAAAAGGAAAAAAAAAAAAAAAAAAGAGAGAACAGTCAACTAGGAGAGCCTCTCCCCAAGGCCTTTCCAGCCCTGGGTGGACATTTTGCATCCCCAAGTCAGGAGTATTTTAAAAGCATCTTTATCACAGTGGTGCTCGGCTACTGCAGAATCAAAGCAGGTTTAGACACTGCCAGGATCAGAATCATATTGAGGTACTTGTTAAAAATGCAGACTTGGAAGGTGGTGGGGGTGGTCTTCATGTCAGACCTTCCCAATCAGAATGTCTAGAGTTGGGGACCAGGAATCTTCATCTTAAACAAGATCCTAAAAAAAAAAAAAAAGTTGAGAGCCAAGGTGGCACATTTTCTTCACTGCCAGAGAGATCATTAAAAATAAATTAACACCTCATCATCAGGTGAAGATGAAGGAACTAGGGCAAGAGGAAGAAAATGTGAGAAAAAAAAGATTTCTGTTTCCTGGTACTGTGACCACCGCAGACAGCAGCCTTGAGAACTGCGAATGTGGTTGCTAACAAGCATTCTAGATTCCCTAAACTGTCTGCTTTCAGACTCAAAATTTTGTGCCACTGAATATTTAGTAAGCAACAGCTTACTGAGAAGATAGGGACAGGGCTGTATTTTGCTCCCTTAAATAATATTAATTGAATTATCATATCGTCTATAGCTATGGTAAGAATATGTATTCATTGCAGTGGGAAGAACTATCAACAGCGTTTAAAGGGAGCATGTTCCCTCAAGCATGTATTTGCCTATTCACTGATGGCTGTTATAATTTTAGGCAAATTATGAGAAAAGTAACCACATGGATGCACACTGGGTACAGCTAAAATTTTTTTCAGATAAAAAAAGCAACAACAAATATCTAACTATGTCTGCCATTATTGATCTTATTCCAGATGGGCTTCTGGTTGTGGTTCAGGGTTCAAACTCTCTTGCTGAGTGAACCATCTTTATTTAAATAACCTTTAAACACTCAATACTGTTTTTTTGTCACCCTCTGCATGGAGGAATACATGCACCACACCTATCTAGACTATTTTTCCTCTAAAGGGTGTGGCCAAGGCTACACCTAAGTCTTTTGTGTGTTCAAGCTAAGTAAGAATTCTGTGGCTAGAGACCAATTCTTTTCATTTTTTGAATGTTTCATCAAAACTAGTTGAGCTACATGTGTGAATGGAGGGTATGGGCATTTAATGGAGACTGCTTTACAAGGCTGGAGATAAATTGCTATTTCTCTCTCCTCCTTTCACTTCTTTAAATTTCATGTTCTTAAAAGATCCCACCTATTCTTTAAACTTTCAACCCCTGAGTAATTTGCTCTCCAAGAGAAATTTTTCTTTAGGTGTGTCTTGCCATAAACCAAAGTTCACACCCTTGGCTATTCGTCCGAATCACCTAGGGAGCTTTTAAAAAATACTGATGCCAGGGCTGTAGTCCAGACCAGGAAAATAAAAATCTCCTGGGATGATCCCCAGCAAGATATAGGCAAGTTTATTCTAAAAGGTATATGGAAACAGAAAGAACCTAGAATAGCTAAGATAGTTTTTGAAAAAGAATAAAGTAGAAAGAGTCACTCCAACTACTGTTAAAGCTTATATAGTTATGGTAATCAAGACAGCATGGTGTGATGGAGGTTTAGATACATATGTGATCTGAGAGACCAAAATATCAACTAAGACAGACCCTAAGCTTAAGCAAACAAAAGTTACCTATGGGTTGAGGGTTCGGGGCCCAGCGGCCATGGCAAATTTCTAAATTCCTACAGCTACAACAAAAACCACACCCTTGCTAAACTAACAATAGGAGTTATGGGGTTGTATTACAACCCAGACCACGGCAACTCTAATTGGACAGAGGACTGGCCTTACAAACATTCTTTTCTGAGAAGTAACAGCAGTCCTTATAGAAGTGATGCACAAACTGTCTTTGTGTACTATAGTTCACCTTTAAAGAGCCAAATTCCACTTAATTTTAATGCTAAGACCCCGCCCCAAAGTGAACATGGATCATTTGTAACATACATTTGCCCATTGTGCATGCACTTTGCTCCCCTCATAAATACGTATAGTTTTCCCCCCAAACTTGCTGAATATGTACGACTCTAATGTGTGATACAAGCCTTGTGAGGCACAAAACTCAACCTGTAGTACTTTCCTCTTCAAGGAGAGAGCAGCTTCGGCCCACATCAAAGACTGTTTCTTCCTGGTTTGCAAACCAGTATCACCAATAAAGCGCTCCCTTCTACTATTAAGCCATCCTGGTGATCTTTTTGAGACAGGAGAGTTCCCTTGGCCTCTTCTCAGGACTCAGGAAGTGGATGGCTTTTTTACTCGGCCACTGCGCTCAATCCCTTATGGGAGGGAGCACACAAGCTGATGGGTGCAAGAACCACAAGGAATACTGGAACCAGCCAGTCGCTCCTCTCTGGCGGGAGCAGGCTCTGTGCAGGCCCCACAGCGGCGTCCAAGCATGTTACGATGCTCTTTTAGCTCTGCCATCCAGGAGCGGGTGTCTGCAACCCCCGGAGCCCCAGAGGGGATATGTTACAGTCAGTGCTGTTTTAGCATTTTCTATCCACAGACGGCTGTTAACCAGCTCAGTGGAGGGTCAGGATGATAGCCTTTGACATCTTGCTCTCTTGGTACCCAAATTCTTGTCCAGTGGCATCCAGGAAGAATCAGGTCACACAAACAAATTGAAGGGTGCTGAATGTGCAGGACTTTATTGAATGGTGGAAGTGACTCTCAGCGAGAAGGGGAGCTGGAAAGAGGGTGGAGCCGGAAGATGATCTTTCCCTGGAGCCTGGCTGTCTCCACTCAAACTCCTCTCCAACTGAGAGTGACAGCGTGCTGGCAGTCCTCACAGCCCTCGCTCGCTCTCGGCGCCTTCTCTGCCTGGGCTCCCACTTTGGCGGCACTTGAGGAGCCCTTCAGCCCTCGGCTGCACTGTGGAAGCCCCTTTCTGTGCTGGCCAACGCCGGAGACAGCTCCCTCAGCTTGCGGGGAGGGGTGGAGGGAGAGGCGCGGGCGGGAACCGGGGCTGCGTCCGGTACTTGTGGGCCAGCGCGAGTTCCAGGTGGGCGTGGGCTCGGCACGCCCCACAGTCGGAGCGGCCGGCCGGCCCCGCCGGCCCCGGGCAGTGAGGGGTTTAGCACCTGGGGCAGCAGCTACTGTGCTCAATTTGTGGCCAGGCCTTAGCTGCCTTCCCGCGGGGCAGGGCTCGGGATCTGGAGCCCGCCTGCGCCTCCCCCGCCACTCCGTGGGCTCCTGCGCGGCCAGAGCCTCCCCGAGGAGCGCTGCCCCCTGCTCCAGGGCGCCCAGTCCCATTGACCACCCAAGGGCTGAGTGCGGGCACACAGCGTGGGACTGGCAGGCAACTCCACCTGCGGCCCCGGTGCCGGATCCACTGGGTGGAGCCAGGTGGGTTCCTGAGTCTGGTGGGGACTGTGGAGAACCTTTATGTCTAGCTAAGGGATTGTAAATACACCATTGGGCACTCTGTATCTAGCTCAAGGTTTGTAAACACACCAATCAGCACCCTGTGTCTAGCTCAGGGTTTGTGAATGCACCAATCGACACTCTGTATCTAGCTACTCTGGTGGGGACCTGGAGAACCTTTGTGTCTAGCTCAGGGATTGTAAACACACCAATCAGCGCCCTGTCAAAACAGACCATTTGGCTCTCTGTAAAATGGACCAATCAGCAGGATGTGGGTGGGGCCAGATAAGAGAATAAAAGCAGGCTGCCTGCACCAGCAGTGGTAACCCGTTGGGGTCTCGTTTGCTTTTTGGTTTGCAATAAATCTTGTTGTTGTTCACTGTTTGGGTTCACATTGCCTTTATGAGCTGTAACACTGACTGTGAAAGTCTGCAGCTTCACTCCTGAGCTAGTGGGACCACGAATTCCCCCCAGAAGGAATAAACTCCAAATACATGTGAACATCAGAAGGAACAAACGCTGGACATGTATCCTTTAAGAACTCTAACATTCACTGTGAGGGTCCACGGCTTCATTCCTGAAGTCAGTGAAACCAAGAACCCACCAATTCCGGACACGCAGCCACTATCTCCAGACATCCAGCAGCTTTTTGTCTTAATGTTTCAGATGCTTCTGTCTTCTGTGTGTCTGCTGAGTTTGGAGCTTGGGGTTCTTAAAGGCACAGAGTTGGGGGTGGGGCAGGCCAAAAGGCAACATTCAGGAAGGAAAATGAATGGTTGTCACTTTAGGCAGCAGGTCCAGTCTTCAAGGTGGAGCCCCTGCTAGGGACACCCCCACCCTCCAGTATTTCCCTTCCTCCTGTCTGTATCATTGTGAACAGCACATACGTCAGTGGAACAGAAAACATAACCTAGAATGATATCCACACAAATATGCCCAAGTGATATTTTTAATGATTTTTAAAATTAACACGTAATAATTGTACATATTTATGGGGTACAGTGTGGTATTTCAATGCATATGTATGTTGTGTAATGATCAAATCAGGGTAATTAGTATATCCATCACCTCAAACATTTATCATTTGTGTTGTGAACATTCAAAATCCAATCTTCTAGCTATATGAAAACATGCAATAAACTGACACTGAGTTTTGACAGATTCAAAAGCAATTTATTCAAAAAAGGATAGGCTTTTCAGTAAATGGCGCTGGAGCAACTGGGCCTACTTAGGCAAAAAATGAAGACTAGACCTCACATCTTATACAAAAGCTAACTGAAAACATCACAGACTAAACACAAAATATAAAACTGAATCTCATTTAAAAAATTAAAAAAGGGGCTGGGCATGGTGGCTCATGCCTGTAATCCCAGCACTTTGGGAGGCCGAGGTGGGCGGATCACCTGAGGTTGGGAGTTAGAGACCAGTCTGACCAGCATGGAGAAACCCTGTCTCTGCTAAAAATACAAAACTAGCCAGACGAGGTGGCGGCGCATGCCTGTAATCCCAGCTACTCGGGAAGCTGAGGCAGGAAAATCACTTGAATCCAGGAGGTGGAGGTTGTGGTGAGCCAAGATGGTGCCATTGCACTCAAGCCTGGGCAATAAGAGCAAAACTCTGTCTCAAAGAAAAAAAAAATAAAAGATATTGTGAATGCTGACTTCAATTAGTAAAATGTTAATTTGTACCTTTAAGCTACAATGATAACCACATAGCAGAAGGTTGCAGTGAGCTGAGACTGCGCCATTGCACTCCAGCCTGGGCAACAAGAGCAAAACTCCATCTCAAAAAATAAATAAATAAATAAATAAATAAATAAATAAATAAATAAAATTTTAAAAGAAGAAGAAAATCTTCAAGACCTAAAGTATGATTCATTTTTACTCACACAACACTTCTGACACCAAATGTGTAGATTTTTTCCACACCACCAATTCTGCAACTCTCCGGACACCAACTGGGTGTCCAATTATTCCATTTAATTCTGACACCAACTACCCAGTGCAAGCATTAAACTCCACAGATAAAGGACTCAGTCCCACAAGACTGACCTCGCTTTAGATGTGTCAAGAGACAAAATTACAACCAATTTTAGTTATAGATCTAATTGGCTTTTATTTACGATTCATGACTGCGCAGCCTTCAATTTAATGATATAGAATGAGAGCTCCCACCAAGCAAGAGCAGAACAGTGTTATTTTGTTTCGTTTTGTTTTGTAAGATAGAAACAGGAAAACAGAACAATAGAAAAATAACTAATTAACTTGAGATTACTTCGGTCTACTTGTTTTTGGTAAGGATTAAAGCAGAGGAAACTTCATTATCATGCCTACAGAAACTGACGTATTTGAGAATTTGGCTATTATCTCTCTCCTCTGATTTCTCCAATGGTCAGATAAGCACCTTAGTTTTGATTTGGTGATATGCAACTTTAGTATGAGTGACTCTATTTTAGTTTTTAGTCTTGTGTGTTGAGGCCTAGTGCAGGAACCTTGTCCCAAACCGTGACCTCCCATGATTTTTGTTTAACAGGTGCCAGCTGCAGGTCCTGGGCCTGCAGCACCTTTGACTGGCTATAAATGGGGTTCCCGTAATGCCCTTCTCAGGTTCAATAATTGGTTAGAATGGCTCACAGAATTCATGAAAGTGATTTATTTACCATTACCAGTTTATTATAAAAGATATTATCAAGAATATAAATGAATGGCCAGATAAAGAGGTATATAAAAAAGGTCCAGAAGGTTCTAAGCACAGTAGCTTCTGTCCCTTTCGAGTTGGGGTGCACCACCCTCCTGGCAGGTGGATATGTTCACCAATGGAGAAGCTCTCTGAACCCCATTGTTTAGGGTTTTTATGGTGGTTCCATTACACAGGCATGATTTATTAGGTCAACAGCCATTAGTGATTAACTCAATCTCCAGCCCCTCTCCCCTCCCTGGTGGGTGGGGGAGTGGGACTGAAAGTTACAACCTGCTGATCACATGGTTGGTTCCTCTGACAACCAGCCCCATCTTGAAGCTACAAAGAGGCCCTCCAGGAGTCACCTCATTAGCATAAATTCAGATGTGTTGAAAGGGGCTTATTATGATAATAAAAGCTATTCCTTTTGCTCCTGTCACTCAGGAAATTCCAGGGATTTTAGAAGCTCTTGTGTCAAAGACTATTGTAACAAGAGATGCTCTATAACCCCTATCACTCAAACAATTACAAGGCTTTAGGTGCTCTGTGACAGAAACCAAAGGCGAAGACCAAATGTATATTTCTTATTTACCACATCACACAGGGCTAGGTGAAGCATTCTTAGACTGAATGCCAAATGCATGGCCCATAAAAGAAAAACATAGAACAATTGAATTTCACTGAAATGAAAAACTTTTATTCTATGAAAGACTCTCAAAAGAGGATAAAAAGACAAGCTACAGAGTGGAAGAAGATATTTACTAACCGCCTATAATCCCAGCAGCTGTGGAAGGCCAAGTAGGGCAGATCATTTGGGTCCAGGAATTTGAGACCAACCTGGGAAACAAGACAAAACCCCATCTCTACTAAGAATACAAAAAATTAGCCAGACATGGTGGTGCATGCCTGTAGTCCCAGCTACTGAGTAGGCTGAATCACTGGAAGTGGGAGAATCACTTGAGCCCAGGAGGTGGAGATTGCAGTTAGCCATGATCACACCACTGCACTCTAGCCTGGATGACAGAGTGAGACCCTGTCTTAAAAAAGAAAAAAAAAAGATATTTGCAAGCCACATATCCAACACAGAAGTTGTAGCTGAAAAATACAAAGAACTCTCAAAACTCAAAATAAAAAAGCAAGCAATCCAATTAGAAAATAGGCAAAAGTTATGAAGAGACATTTCACCCAAAGGAATATACAGATAGCATCAAATAAGCACACAAAAAGCCATTCAACATCATTAGCTATTAGGAAACCACACATTTAAATTTAAATGAAATATCACTATGTACTATCAGAATGCCTAAAATAAAAAATGACATCACCAAATGCGGGCAAGGATGTTACAGCCCAGTGGATTCTTCTTGCCTGTTGCAAAGAAAAAGCCAATATACACTGAGACAGAAGGTGTTGCAACAAAGAAACAGTTTAATAATTGCAAGGCAGCTGAGCAAGAAAATGGGAGATATTTCTTAAATCTGCCTCCAAGAATTTGGAGGATAGGGTTTTTAAGGACAGTTTGGTGGGCAGCAGTTAGGAAACGGCTATTACTGATTGGTTGAGTCAGGGATGAAATCACAGGTGTGTCAAAACTGTCTTCCAGTGCTGAGTCAATTGCTAGGTGGGTGGGGTCACAGTGTGTCCAGAATTGGTGAGTTCTTGATCTCACTGACTTCAAGAATGAAGCCACAGACCCTTGTGGTGAGTGTTACAGCTCTTAAGGTGGCACATCTGGAGTGTGTCCCTTCTGATGTTCAGATGTGTTCCCAGTTTCTTCCTTCTGGTGGGTTCATGGTCTTGCTGGCTCAGGAGTGAAGCTGCAAACCTTTGCGGAGTTACAACTCTTAAGACAGCGTGACTGGAGTTGTTCATTCCTTCCCGTGGGCTCGTGCTCTCACTGGGCTCAGGAGTTAAGCTGCAGATCCTCACGGTGAGTTTTACCGCTCATAAAAGCAACATGGACCCAAACAGTGAGCAGTACCAAGAGCAAAAGAACAAACCTTCCACACCCTAGAAGAGGACCCGAGCAGGTTGCCAATGCTCGCTGGGGCAGCCTGCTTTTATTCTCTTATCTGGCCCCACCCACATCCTGCTGATTGGTAGAGCCCAGTGGCCTGTTTTGTCAGGGCACTGATTGGTGCGTTTACAATCCCTGAGCTAGATACAAAGGTTCTCCACGTCCCCATCAGATTAGTTAGATACAGAGTTTGGACACACAGGTTCTCCAAGGCCCCACCAGAGCAGCTAGATACAGAGTGTCGATTGGTGCATTCACAAACCTTGAGCTAAACACAGGGTGCTGATTGGTGTGTTTACAAACCTTGAGCTAGATACAGAGTGCCGATTGGTGTATTTACAATCCCTGAGCTAGACATAAAGGTTCTCCAAGGCCCCACCAGAGCAGCTAGATACAGAGTGTCGATTGGTGCACTCACAAACCTTGAGCTAAACACAGGGTGCTGATTGGTGTATTTACAATCCCTGAGCTAGATATAAGGACTCTCCACGTCCCCACCAGACTCAGGAGCCCAGCTGGCTTCACCTAGTGGATCCCGCACCAGGGCTCCAGGTGGAGCTGCCTGCCAGTCCCGCACTGTGCGCTCACATTTCTCAGCCCTTGGGTGGTCGATGGGACTGGGCGCTGTGGAGCAGGAGGTGGGGCTCGTTGGGGAGGCTCCGGCTGCACAGGAGCCCATGGAGTGGGTGGGAGGCTCAGGCATGGCGGGCTGCAGGTCCCGAGCCCTGCGCCGCAGGAAGGCAGCTAAGGCTTGGTGAGAAATCGAGAGCAGCGCCGGTGGGCTGGCACTGCTGGGGGACCCAGTACACCCTCCGCAGCCACCGGCCCGGGTGCTAAGTCCCTCATTGCCTGGGGCCAGCAGGGCTGGCCGGCGGCTCCGAGTGCGGGCCCGCCAAGCCCACGCCCACCTGGAACTCCAGCTGGCCGGCAAGCGCTGCACGCAGCCCCAGTTCCTGCTCGCACCTCTCACTCCACACCTCCCTGCAAGCTGAGGGAGTGGGCTCCAGCCTTGGCCAGCCCAGAAAGGGGCTCCCACAGTGCAGCGGCAGGCAGAAGGGCTCCTCAAGTACCGCCAAAGTGGGAGCCCAGGCAGAGGAGGCGCCGAGAGCGAGCGAGGGCTGTGAGGACTGCCAGCACGCTGTCACCTCTCAACAGGACCAGTTGAGTCCATTTCTGGTTGTGGGTCATTGGTCTTGGTGGTGTCACTTGGTCCACCAGAATGAAAAGTCTGAAAAATATCTGAGACACCAGTCTTAAGTTTCACCATAGCAATGTTATCTATAGAAGCAACTACTGGAGAAGTTAAATCTTGTGACCACAAGCTATGTGACCCTTGAGCAGTAAGCAATTATTAAAAAGCAAGTTAGGGAACAATGACTGGTTACTGTTTAACCATTCTTATATCTTAGCAGAATTCAGAATTAGCAGAATTAACTATGCCTATATCTTAGCAGAATTCAGACCCCTAATGTAATTTTAACTTTGTGGCCTTTCATTAGTTTTACAAAGGTGGTTTCAGTCCCTGAACAGGGAGGGAGTGAATTTTGGAGACTATTATCATCTTCGCTTTAAGGTTAAACTGTAAACATTTCTCTCATAGTTAGCATGGCCTACACGCAGGAATGAGCCAATGCTATTAGCTTGTGAAGTCTGAAATAGGATGGAGTCAGTTATGTTAGATTTTTCTCACTGTTATAATTTTGCAAGGGCAGTTTCTAGAATACAAAGAAACTAGACTGCCATGGGGGAGAAAATATAATTTCTTTATTTTTCTTCATAGGTTCTTAGTTGAGACACTGTCCTGAAAACAAAAGTCAGATTAACAAGAGAAAAATCGCAGAAGTTTATTAAAGTGTGCTGTACCCATCATGCAGGAGAGACCTCAGTTCAAAACTATTTCAAAACTTTAGGCAGTTCAAAATGTCAGGCAGTGTTTTAGGGACCTTGCTTAAATAGTATTTAAGCATGTATTAAAGAGCCATGAATCCTATATAGTGACAGACAAAGAAAAGACCATCTTCAGGCTTCCAAAAAGCAGGAAAATGTGGGAAGGTAAATTTATGGCAAGAGTGGAGAATGCGTCTAGATCCTCTTGTGTCACTATATCTGAGCTCTGTCTCTGAGCTGATAAGACAGTGTTGTAAAGGGCCTTGTCTTTAGGTGGGGAAGGCACAGAGGGCAGGAAGACCTTTGTCTTTGTAAATTGCTGTCCAAACATCAGGCAAGCAAAGGTAGGGGCAGAGTGTTCCCCTGCATTTTAACCTTCTTCAGCTCAACAATACCCGGTATTCTAGAGAGAAATATTTTTGTTTCTTTCACTACTCATTCATTGCTGGTGGGGAGTAAAATGGTACAACCACTCTGGGAAACAGTTTGGCAGCTTCTTATGAAATGAAACACACACTAGCCTTACAACCCAGCAATTCCACAGTTGGTCATTTATGCCAGAGAAGAGGGAACTTATGTTTACACAAAACTCTGTACACAAATGTTGATAACAGCTTTATTCATAGCAGCCCCAAACTGGAAACAACCCCAAAATTTTTCAGTGAGTGAATGGTTAAATCAATTGCAGTACCTTTATACCATGCAATATCATGTACCAACAAAAAGAAAGAAACTATTGATGCATGCAGCCACTTGGATGGATTTCAATGAATTGTGCTGAGTGAGAAAAGCCACTCTCAAAATCATATGCACAGTATGATTCATTTACATAACATCCTTAAAATAACAAAATCATAGAGATGGAGAACAGACTAGTAGTTGCCAGGGGATTAGAAATGGAAGAGTAGCATAAGGGAGCCTTGTGGTAATGGCACATTTCTGTATGTTGATTGTAATGGTGATTATGTGACTCTACATGTAAGGTAAAATTGCATAGAACTATGCTCATACACACGCACACACACACACACACACACACGAGTGTATGTAAAACTGGTGAAATCTGAATAAGCTCTGTGGACTATACCAATGTTATTTCCCTGCAATTGATATTGTGCTATAGTTATACAAGGTTATCATTGGGGGAAACTGGGTGAAGGGCACATAGGGCCTCCCTGCTCACGCCTGTAATCCCAGCACTTTGGAAGGCCAAGGCGGGCAGATCACGAGGTCAGGAGAGTGAGACCATCCTGGCTAACACGGTGAAACCACGTCTCTACTAAAAATACAAAAAAATTAGCCGGGTGTGCGCCTGTAGTCCCAGCTACTTGGGAGGCTGAGGCAGGAGAATGGTGTGAACCCAGGAGGCGGAGCTTGCAGTGAGCCGAGATCACGCCACTGCACTCCAGCCTGGGCAACAGAGCAAGACTCCGTCTCAAAAAAAAAAAAAACTTAGCTTGGCCTGGTGGCACATGCCTGTAAACCCCAGCTACTGGAGAGGCTGAGCCAGAAGAATTGCTTGAACCTGGGAGACAGAGGTTACAGTGAGCTAAGATCATGCCACTGCACTCCAGCCTGGGCAACAGAGTGAGACCCTGTTAAGAAAGGGGAAGGGGAGGGGAGGAAAAAAAAAACAAAAAAAACTCATGCCTGAACCCTATCCCAGATCAGGTATAGCAAAATCCCCTAGGCTGGAACCAGAATATCAATATTTTTTAAACCCTCCCTAGGTGATGCTACTATGCATTCAGGGTTGAGCTGCTGTTGTTTTAAGCATGGATTTTCAAAAATACATATACTAAGAAGATGATAACTTGCTTTATAGAGTCTGTGCTTTGAAATTGATCACAAGCAGGCTGGGCGCCATGGCTCACGCCTGTAATCCCAGAACTTTGGGAGGCCAAAGCGGGAGGATCTCTTGAGGCCAGGAGTTCAAGACCAGCCTGGTCAACATGGTGAAACCCCATGTCTACTAAAAATACAAAAATTAGCCGGGCGTCGTGGCTCATGCCTGTAATCCCAGTTACTCAGGAGGCTGAGGCAGGAGAATTGCTTGAATATGGGAGGCAGAAGTTGCAGTGAGCTGAGATCATGCCATTGAACTCCAGCCTGGGAAACAGAGTGAGACTCAGTCTCAAAAAAAAAAAAAAAAAAAAAGAAAACAGAAAAAATAAATTAATCACAAGCAATATTTCAAATAGCGAGACTTCTAAACTACTTAAGAAATTTAGTTGGCCAGGCGAGGTGACTCATGCCTGTAATCCCAGCAGTTTGGGAGACCAAGGCAGGTGGCTCACCTAAGGTCAGGTGTTGGAGACCAACCTGACCAACATGGTGAAACCACGTCTCTACTAAAAATAAAAAAAATTAGCTGGGCGTGGTGGCAGGCGCCTGTAATCCCAGCTACTCAGGAGGCTGAGGCCCGAGAATTGCTTGAACCCAGGAGGCAGAGGTTGCTGTGAGCTGAGATGGCGCCATTGTACTCCAGCCTGGGCAACAAGAGCGAAACTGTCTCAAAAAAAAGAAATTTAGTTTACACATTACCTTTTTGGAATGTATATATCTATTGTTTATGCTGAAGTGCATGACCAGTGATATGTAGGTATTGCTAGAAAGAAAAATGAATATTTTTAAAATAAATGTATATCTGCAAGTGAGTGTGGTCCTTAGTGGTCGTCTTTGGAAATATTACTACTCATATGGCAGTGCTCAGAACAGTACCAGAACTTGTTTGTTATAAAGCCCCCAGACCCAACCTTAGCATTTGCAGAGCCTGCAACAAGAGCACCACTTGAGACTCATATACCTTATATCTAAATAATTAAAAGTTATAAATCAAAATAAAATATATTCCATTCTTCTCGTTTGACATATATACCTTTGTAATAAAAAGAGAAAACTATGTGTAAAGCCATGTTTTTTTTGTTTTTTGTTTGAGATGGAGTATCACTTTTTCGCTCAGGCTGGAGTATAGTGGTGCTGTCTCAGCTCACCGCAACCTCCACCTCCCTGGTTCAAGCGATTCTCCTGCATCAGCCTCCCACGTAGCTGGGATTACAGGTGTGCACCACCACACCGTGCCAATTTTTTGTATTTCTAGTAGAGACGGGGTTTCACCATGTTGGCTAGGTTGGTCTTGAACTCCTGACCTCAACTGATCTGCCTGCCTCAGCCTCCCAAAGTGTTGGGATTACAGGCATGAGCCACCGCATCCAGCCTTAAATCCATGTTTTTTATATGCCTCAAAGTCAGCAAAATACCAAGAGCAACTTAATTTAATTATTATTGCATAAGTTTGGGTATTTTGTTGATGGGTTGGCAAATTTGGATGAGTACAAAGTTAAATATGGTATATAAAATTTATAAGTTATTTCAGAAAAGTTATTTGTCTTTCATGCCTATCAGCAAACATCACTAGTTGTACTAATCAAGTTTGTGTTCTATTCTTGGTAATGATTTAAAGGATTAAAAAATTAAGTGCATTTGTAGTCAAAGTATCAGTTGAATGCATTTTCATAAAAATGTAAAGTAAGTTAAAATCAAAAACATGATTTGCCTATAAGCTTTCCAAAAATGTCATTTTTCTTCCAAACTTAAAAAAAAATCTGTAAAAATCAGTGACAAATTACAAATTATAATAATAAATATTAAATTTTAAATCAAATTACGTAAAGTTGACATTTTTGTTCTTTTTCCATATTGTAATTAAACATTATTCAATTTTTATAAATTTATAAATATTCATGATTGTAGTCTTCAATATCCAACTACAGTAGTCCCCCTTATCTGGGATTTCACTTTCTGAGATTTCAGTTACCTGGGGTCATCCACAGCCCAAAAATACTAAATATGACATTTCACAAATAAACAATATATAAGTTTAAAACTGTGCACCCGTCTAAGCAGGATGATGAAATCTCTGTCCCAACCAGGACCTCAGTGCTCCCTTTGTCCAGCTGTCTCCTTGCTGTAGATGCTCCCCACTCGTTATCACTTAGCAGCCATCTCAGCTATCAGACGGACTGTCCCAGGATAGCAGTGCTTGTATTCCAGTAACACTTATTTTATTTAATAATGGTGTTAAAGGGCAAGAGAAGTGATGCTGGCAATTCAGATATGCCAAGAGAAGCCATAAAGGTCTTCCTTTAAGTGAAAATGAGCCAGGATAGTTCCCTTGACCCTTTAATGGGCAGGAACTGGAGTGCACCGGCTGAGTCTAGCAGGCCACTTTGGTGCCAACAGGGACAAACTTCACTCACTCAAACCCACTGGGCTCAACCCCTCATGGGAGGGAGCATGCAAGCCAGCATCTAGGGGTGTGTTACAGTTAATGCTTTTGTAGCTTTGCCATCCATGGACAGCTAAGCGTTGACAGCTCAGTGGAGAGTCAGGATGATAGCCTTCTTCACCTGCCTTTTTGACACCCAAGTTCTTGTTCAGCATCCAGGAATAACCAGGTTGCACGAACAGTTTGCAAGGTGATGAATGCAGAGGATTTTATTAAGTGACGGAAGTGGCTCTCAGTGGAAGGAAAGCTGGAAAGGGGATGGTGCAAGAAGAAGATGATCTGTCCCCAAGTCCGGCTGTCTCCGGCCAGGCTCCCCTCCAAGGTCCTGCCTTCTGAAGTTAAGCTGCGTCTATCCATAGTCTCCGACGCTCAGTTGCTGCTTCTCCTCTTCATGTTCAGCCACTTGTCTCTTCGCCAGTTGAGGTCTGGGGTTTATATAGGCACAGGATAGGGTGGCAGGGCGGGCCAAAAAGGCAACATGTGGGTGAGAAAACAGGGATAACTCTTCTCATTTAGTGCCACATTTTCCAGGCTTGAAGGTGGGGACTTTGCCGGGGAACCACCCTCTTCTGCCCAGTATTTTCCTGCCTCCCGTCCATATCAAAAATATGACCTTGGCATTTCTTGGCTGGGGTTCAGTCTATCCACAGTTTCAGGCATCCACTGGGGATCTTGGAACATATTCCCCTCAAATAAGGTGGGACGACCGTAGCTGCTATTGTAAAGATTTAGCCTCATACTTCATACAAGTTACATCTAGACCTATATATATAATAATATATATATATTTATATATATATATGTAATACAAATTGCTTAATATTTTGAAATCTTTCCCAGTTACCATGGGTAATTCTTGTGAACAGCCTCCTCATTCAAACACTGTAACAGGAAGAGATGGGTGAAGGTAGACACTAGACACAAATAAGAAATGATACTTCCTTACACAAGAAGCTACTGCATTCAGCTCTCTGAGAAAATGTGTTTGACGGGGTCATTCATTTATCTTTTCTCTCAGTTTATCTTTTGAGCATTTCTGCTACTCAAAACCACTGGGTTCTCCACAGCAGTGTCGGCAGAGAACAACCTCACAGTGTTCAGACGCAGTTGCCTTTTGTTGCAAAGCTATCAAGGACAATGTGCAGGAATTTTTCTGAAGTATTTTCCTGCGGTCTGATCAGTGCTAATCATGATGGCAGATGTTTTAAGGTTATGAATTTTACTGTGTCAGGGCTGAGCACTTGATCTTGAGTGACAGAGGCTCTGTGTGTTTTTTTGTTTTTTGTTCTTTTACTGTATTTGTGATATGTGCACGGGCCTTTAAATCATGGGCCCAATATAGGGCCTGTTCTTACGCAGGATGGAATTGCACCCATTCCATAAAATCGGCCTCATTTTATTGTTTATATCTCAATTGTACATGTGATTCATTTGATTGCTCAACTTTATTTACCATCCTGGGCTCGAAATAACTTTGATTGTTTTAAAAATCATGCCTGTCCACAAATGATGGTCTTTTACCATCCCATGATATCCAGAAAATTTCCAGAATATATTTTGGATTCATAAGGAGAATCCCAAAAACTTTTGAACAGCAGCAGCAGCCCTAGACTATCTGTGCAGTTTCTCAAGGTAAAGCATTTCAAAGTCAACAATATTGATTTATTAAAGAACATGTTATTTTAAAATCCAATCTTGAGAGCTCACGGGTACCTGGCTACCATCCTGTAAAAACTAGAAGAGGCTGAGAAAGTTGCTGAGGAAAGAGGGAAGTTTGAAGGTTATTGCAATTAGGCTTGATGAGAGACAGAGAAAAGGTGGAATCACAGGTAATTTATTTATTTTTTATTTCTTTTCTTTTCTTTTTTGAGACAGAGTCTCGTTCTGTTGCCCAGGCTGGAGTGCAGTGGTGTGATCTTGGCTCACTGCAACCTCCGCCTCCTGGGTTCAAGCAATTCTTCCGCCTCAGCCTCCTAAGTAGCTGGATTACAGGCCCGCCACCATGCCCGGCTAGTTTTTTTGTATTTTTAGTAGAGATGGGGTTTCACCATGTTGGCCAGGCTGGTTTTGAACTCCTGACCTCAGGTGATCCATCCGCCTTGTCCTCCCAGAGTGCTAAGATTACAGGCATGAGCCACCGTGCCTGGCCGAGTGCCAGGTACTTGAACTCACAGATGCTCAGCACTTGCCAAGTGAGGCACACCAGAAGTAGGGAAAATAGTTTGGTGTTGGTGGTGGCTGTGTAGGACTTGGGAGGACAAAGTGCTGTTGTTGAGAGATGGATAAAGAGACCAGACTGATGGGCCAGAACCTGAAGTATCTGAGTGCTGCCAAAGAACATCACTCTCAAAGGAAGGCACATGAGGAACAGATAAAGAGTCTTATTAGGCAGGGCGCCATGGCTCATGCTGGTAATTCCAGCACTTTGGGAGGCTGAGGCAGGAGGATCACTTGAGGCCAGGTGTTTGAGACCAGCCTGGGCAACATGGTGAGACACCTTCACTACAAAAAATTTAAAAAATTAGCCAGGCATAGAGGCATGTGCCTATAGTCCCAGTGACTCAGGAGGCTGAGGCGGGAGGATTGCTGGAGCAGGGAAGTTCAAGGCTGCAGTGAATTATGATCACACTACTGTACCCCAGCCTGGGCGACAGAGCAAGACCCTGTCTCAGGAAAACAAAAAGTCTTATTAAATCCAAGGAGGGGAAGACTAGGGTTGAGCTTGCTGAGAGACTGAGAGCCACATCAGAAAAGATGATGACTTGGAAACTGAATCAAAATGCACCAGAGAGAGGCAATTCTACACACAAAAAATGCTGGGCCGGGCTTTGCTGGAACCGATTGAGGTGTGGAACACCCTCATTCCTGCACTGAGCTACTCCTCCCTGACTCCACCTGAGCCTACTTGCCCCAAATTAACCTTTAAACTGAGGGCTGACATTTACCTGGCAGGCACCTTTCTTCTCCTTCCTCTTTCCTTCCCAAATTGCCTATGCCACTCTCCCCATAAATCTCATCTAAGCTCTGGGCCAAAGACCTTCAGGAACAACATGTAAGGGAATGTGAGCAAAAAAGTCTTTAAAAACATATGATGGACACATTTTGTAATTACCTTTATTGATGTTGTGTATAAAACATTCCAGATAATTCTACAGCTCTTAAGCTGTATGTAAGCACTTTTTCAAATTTTAAAGGTAACTTTTCAGCCTAATCTATACTGGTCCCTCTCTCCTTATCAGAGCCAAACACTGAAACTTCATTATTCCATGCCAAGCACCGTGTAAACCAGAAAGATGATTTCAGGAGGAGTTTGCATACCTCCAAAAACAAAATTCCCAGGTTAAGGGCATCCTGGGGCATGTTTTTAAGTTAGTGACCAAACAAATCAACGTGATGAGACTGTTTTAGAAAACCAAACCTTTGTCTCATTCTTTCTGTAGCCTCCTCCAACAGAACAACTCACATATCATGTTATGGCATCTACTTCTTCCCATAACTTGTTTGCAAAAAATGTTTGCCACTGATTTAGCTAGGCAAAACTCATCTCATCCCATGTTCCTGGATCAAAACCTTCCCTGGTTTCTTTTAGAGGGAAATGGCATTTCAAGACCACAATCTGGTCTGTAAAGATGCTTATTGCTACGAGTTGTTCACTGTTTCATGAATATAATATTCTCCAAGTTCTCACAAGTTGAAAACAGATTGTCTATACCCTTCATACTTAAAATTCATTTTTCCTGGATATAAAATTCTTGGCTCTAATTTTCTGTCCTTGAGTATTTAAAATGTTGACTCCATTTTCTTCTAACGTAAAGTGGTGGTGTTGAAAAATGATAATCTCAGTTTCTTTCCCTTATAAATAACATGATCTTTTTGGCTAGAGGCCCAAAGGATTTTTTTTTTTCTCTAAAATCCTGTAATCCTGTACTTTTACTAAAATATGTCTTAGTGTTGGTCATTCTGGGTCAATATTCTCAAACATGCAATGCACTTTCTTCAATATAGAATTTCAATTTTCTATTTCATACAGTTTTCTTGAACTATAATTTGTGATAGTTGTTCTATTCCCTAACTTTTGTATATTTTTTCCAGAAACTCCTGTTAGCCATATTTTATATCCTCTTTGTCTATCTTCAATATTTATCAATTTCTCTTTGTTTTTTCATATAGTTCTTCATTTTTTAACCTTTAAAAATGTTTTCCCTTTCCATCTTCTATTTCTTTTAAGGAGTTTGTGCTTGCATTTTTTCTTGTTTAGTTTTAAGAAATTATTTATTTTCTTTCTGGCTCTTTCCTTAGTTCTATGACCACATTCTAAGTTTTTAAAAATTCTGATTTGTGTTATTTTTTCAACTTTTTGTACAATTTTCTTATTGCCTTTTAGCTCATTGTGAAAGAGAAGATTACAATTTTGATCTTCTCTATGGACATGGCTTTCTGCCATGCTTTCATTGTCTGTAGGGATATTATCTTGCTCTTTGTTATCTTTTTTCTAATAGCTTTGTGTAGGAATTGGTTGCTATCAATTTCCCACACTCATTTTATGTGAAATTGGTTTGCTGAACTTTTAGAAGGAGGCATGGTTCAGGGTAGCTTTTTAACTTCATACGACCCTCACTTCTGTTACCTGAAAACAATAAAATGTAATGAATACAGTGTTCAAAAATCAAGTGGCTTGCTTTCTGAGATTTCTTGGGTGTGTCCTCTCTCACATGTATTTAGATCTTCTCTTTATTATTCTCTCTTACTACCAGCACTTTTTCTTCAAAGTGGAGTGCTCTCTTGGAAAAAGGCCCTGGTAGACCAATTTTGAGAGTTCATAGGTCTTTGGGCCTCCTGGGTGTGAGTCATAGCCATATTCCCAGGTGTAGACTATGTTGCCTCTAGAATTCATAGAGGCCCACCAGGCGCTGTGCTTCCTTCTTTGTGTTAGGGGATGCAAGATGCAGCAATATGCCCTTACTTTGGAGGATATGTACCAACACAATCCTGTCCACTAGACCCCTAAAAACCTTCCTGATTTGGCCGATCTCTGGATCTTTGTAGGATTTATTTCCCATTCTCTGGAGTACATGGGTCTCACCAAGGCTTCCAACTTGCACAAGCCACCTCTTACTCATCCTTCCTGACCAGTATGATATCACAGATGTAATGAATCAATGTGATGTTCTACAGCACTGATTACTAGACAAAAAATTAGAAATAAAAATTTCTAATAAAAAATTAGAAATAACCTAAATACCCATCAATGCCTATGACTGAGTAAATTATTACACAATATTAATTATTATACAATAATTTACTCAATCATAGGCATTGATGGATATTTAGCATATTCATCAATGGATATTCAGCATATCTATATTTAGGCATTGATGATATTTAATATATCATAGAAACCTCTGTGAATCTATAGATGTTTCCTTTTTTTTTTTTTTTTTTTTGAGATGAAGTCTCACTGTGTTGCACAGGCTGGAGTGCAGTGGCACATCTCGGCTCACTGCAACCTCCACCTCTTGAGTTCAAGCGATTCTCCTGGATCAGCCTCCTGAGTATCTGGGATTACAGGCGGGTGCCACCATGCCCAGCTAATTGTTTTTGTATTTTTAGTAGAGACAGAGTTTCACCATGCTGGCCAGGCTGGTCTTGAACTCCTGATCTCAAGTGATCTGACCACCTCAGCCTCCCAAAGTGCTGGGATTACAGGCATGAGTCACCGCACCCGGTGATCTGTTTCCTTTTAGTGGCTGCATCAACATGAACATGCAGCCATTAAAAGCAAACAGATCTATACATTTACAGAGGTTTCTATATTATTACATGAAAAATGCAAGTTACAGAGTGCTGAGTATAGTGTGTGCCTATTTATGCACAAAGAAAAATATATGTTTGTATTTATTGTTATTATGGTTTGTATATGCATAAAAGGTCTGGAAGGTACACAGTAAGCTGTTGTGTCAGTGTGTCTCCTAAGAGTGGAGAACAAGGCCAGGCGCGGTGGCTCATGCCTGTAATCCCAGCACTTTGGAGGCCGAGGCGGGTGGACCACCTGAGGTCAGGAGTTCAAGACCATCCTGGGCAACATGGTGAAACCCCGTCTCTACAAAAATACAAAAATTAGCCTGGTGTGATGGCGGGTGCCTATAATCCCAGCTACTTGGGAGGCTGAGGTGGGAGATTCACTTGAACCCAGGTGGTGGAGGTTGCAGTGAGCCAAGATCATGCCATTGCACTCCAGCCTGGGTGACAGAGTGAGACTCTGTCTGAAAAAAAAAAAAAATTAAAGAGTGAAGAATAAAATATGGCGGTAAAAACTGGAGAAGAGAACTTTCAGTTTTAATTTCCACAAGACTGTCAGAAATTCTGTTGCTCAATAGTGCCTTGGGGATAATATGATTTTGAGGAACTGTACCATGGTTTTAGCTCACATGTCACATATCTGAAACAATGAGCCCCTGAAATTAAGGGGAAAATGAGCATTGAGGTCACATACACTTTTCCACAGAACATGGCTTCAAGATTATTCATTTTACTGCTACTTAGTATTTCATGAAGAGGTTGTATCTGTTTATTTAAGTTTTACCTGCCTCTTGAACATGAAAGTTACCTGCAATTTCCCCTGCTTTCAATATCTCTGCTATAAATATATTTGAATATGTAGGTTTAAAAAAAATCTTTGGGATTATTCCTTAGATAAATCCTCCCTGGGTCCAAATCTGTGATCCTCTCACAATTCATGTTACCTATTATCCTCCAGAATGACTGTCACCTCCAAGTGAAATTGCCAAAAGCAGTTCCCACATTCTCAACTTCCTCGAGTCCTATTTATTCGTGTTAAGTTGAATTTATTCTTTCACATTAAAGGCCAGAGAGTTCTGCCTAGACTACTTAGAAATGGTCAGTGTGCCACTTAACACCATTGGCTTTCCTAGCTCTCAGACCTTCAAACTCAAACTGGATCTAAACCACCAGCTCTCCTGGATCTCCAGCTTGCTGACTACAGATCCTGGGACTTCTTGGTCTCTGTAATTGCTGAGCCAATTCCTTATATTAAACATATATCTCCCATTGGCTCTGTTTCTCTGGAGAATCCCAGCTGATACAATAAGATAGAAAACTAGATAAATAAAGATATTATAATTAAAATAATATTTCAGTTTAATTATTAACTATGATATGCATAGGTATCTCTGTAACCGATGCTCTCTGAATAAAATATTCAAATAAACATGTTACAGTGTGCATATAAACACATGGGTGCATGTAAAAAATAACTGAAACTGAGGCTGGGCGTGGTGGCTCACACCTGGAATCCCAATACTTTCGGAGGCTGAGGCAGGCAGATCACCTGAGGTCAGGAGTTTGAGACCAGCCTGGCCAACATGGTAAAAACCCATCTCTACTAAAAATACAAAACTTAGCCAGGCATGCTGGCACACGCCTGTAATCCCAGCTACTCGGGAGGCTGAGGCAGAATTGTTTGAACCTGGGAGGCAGAGGTTGCAGTAAGCCGAGATCGCAGCGCTACATTCCAGCCTGCGCAACAGAGTGAGACTCTGTCTCAAAAAAAAAAAAAAAAAAAAAAAATGAAACTGAATCCATCCATTGACAGACTATATAGAGGAAGCACTTATGTATAATACTAGATGATGAACACACTTAACACATCCACTGACATACAATAATGTCTTATGTGATGCAGAGTGGAATACAGTCCAGAATGGTAGAGTTGAGTTTAATGGACAGATATTTTTGGCTGGGCATGGCAGCTCATGCCTGTAATCCCAGCACTTTGGGAGGCCAGGGCAGGTGGATCACCTGAGGTCAGGAGTTTGAGACCAAGCTGGGCAACAAAGCGAGACCCTATCTCTGCAAAAATAGAAAGAGAGAGAGGAGAAAAATATTACGTACTGCTTCCATTTCTACAATCTTAAATGCAACCCGTCAGTTACACTCGCCATATTTCAAGTACTCACTTGCCACATGTGGTGAGTAGCTACCAGACTGGGTGGTAGTTAAAGGGAAATGCAGTGTCATATGGAAGCTTGCTGAAAAATAAGAGAGATTTGCATACATTGTACAGACAGGGATACAGCTAATAGAGTGGGAGAGCGGGTACTACACAGTAATGGACAATGTCCCCAAAAAGACAATGAAGATACAGGATTCAGAGCAACCGTTCTTGGAGAGGAGAGACATCCCATTTTAGCCCTAAAGCTGCCACTAAGTAGCTACTCCTTCTCCATGTACCCACCCCCACCTCCTAAAGAGAATAAGGTAAGACTAAAGCCCCCCAAATGGTTGCGAAGGATGAGGAGACAGCATGGGATATTTTAAAAGAGCGTGCCTGCTGCATTAGACAGTCCTGGGTTCAAATCCTGTCTCCACCGTTTGTCATGTGACTTTTGTCAAATTATTTGAGCTTCTGATTCCTTATAATGTAGGTAGGGAAGAAACTACCTATCTTAAAGTATAGTGTGAGAATTAAACAAGGCACACAAAGAAATACTGCAGTAACTGTCTCATTAGAAGCACTCAATCTCTCATATCAACTATTAAAAACACTGTTTACTGTTCGGGTGCAGTGGCTCACCTCTGTAATCCCAGTACTTTGGGAGGCCCGAGGCAAGTGGATCACCTGAGGCCAAGAGTTCGAGACCAGCCTGGCCAACATGGCGAAACCCCATCTCTACTAAAAATTAGCTGGGCCTGGTGGTGCACACCTGTAATTCCAGCTACTTGGGAGCTGAGGCAGGAGAATTGCTTTAACTCAGGAGGCGGAGGCTGCAGTGAACCAAGATCTCCCCACTGCACTCCAGCCTGGTGACAGAGTGAGACTCTGTCTCAAAAAACAAAACAAAACAAAAGAAATACTGCTTACCTATTTCATGAATTTGCCTGGTACTCTATCAGGTAGCTAAAAGGAACCCTAAGCCTACCATTTAATAAATTGTACTGGGTACAACTGCCAAGTCGCAGAATATTAGTGGTGGACTGAAAGTGTCGTGGGAGATATGGACAGCTTCTACCGTTGAGAGGTGAAAGCGTGCTGGCAGTCCTCACAGCCCTCGCTCGCTCTCGGTGCCTCCTCTGCATGGGCTCCCACTTTGGCAGCACTTGAGGAGCGCTTCAGCCCGCCGCTGCACTGGAGCCCCTTTCTGGGCTGGCCAAGGCCGGAGCCGGCTCCCTCAGCTTACGGGGAGGTGTAGAAGGAGAGGCGCGGGAGAGAACCGGGGCTGCGCAAAGCGCTTGCGGGCCAGCGCGAGTTCCGGGTGGGCGTGGGCTCAGCGGGCCGGCACTCGGAGTGGCCGGCCGGCCCGCCCCGCCGGCCCGGGCAGTGAGGAGCTTAGCACCTGGGGCAGCAGCTGCTGTGCTCACTTTCTCGCCGGCCCTTACCTGCCTTCCCGCAGGGAAGGGCTCGGACCTGCAGCCCGCCATGCCTGAGCCTCCCCGCCGCCCTCCGTGGGTTCCTGCGCTGCCCCCTGCTCCACCGCGCCCAGTCCCATTGACTACCCAAGGGCTGAGGAATGGGGGCGCATGGCGCGGGACTAGCAGGCAGCTCCACCTGCGGACCCCGTGCACATCCACTGGGTGAAGCCAGCTGGGTTCCTGAGTCTGGTGGGGACTTGGAGAACCTTTATGTCTAGCTAAGGGATTGTAAATACACCAATGGGCACTCTGTATCTAGCTCAAGGTTTATAAACACACCAATCAGCACCCTGTGTCTAGCTCAGGGTTTGTGAATGCACCAATCAACACTCTGTATCTAGCTACTCTGGTGGGGACTTGGAGAACCTTTGTGTGGACACTCCATGTTTACCTAATCTAGTGAGGATGTGGAGAACCTTTGTGTCTAGCTCAGGGATTGTAAATGCACCAATCAGCACCCTGTCAAAACAGACCACTTGGCGCTCTGTAAAGTGGACCAATCAGCAGGATGTGGGTGGGGCCAGATAATAGAATAAAAGCAGGCTGCCCTAGCCAGCCCTGGCAACCGGCCCTGATCCTCTTCTGCACTGTGGAAGCTTTGTTGTTTCACTCTTTGCAGCAAATCTTGCTGCTACTAACTTTCTGAGTCCACACTGTGTTTATGAGGTGTTGTACTCACCATGAAGGTCTGCAGCTTCACTGTTAGAACCAGCAAGATCACGAACCCAGCAGGAGGAACGAACTCGAGACGGGCCGCCTTAACAGCTGTAATACTCACCGCGAATGTCTGTAGTTTCACTCCTGAGCTTCTGAGACCACAAACCTTACCAGAAGAAAGAAACTCAAAACACATCCAAACATCAGAAGGAATAAACTCAGGACATGCTGCCTTTAAGAACTGTGACACTCACTGTGAGGATCCACAGCTTCCTTCTTGAAAATCAGTGAAACCAAGAATCTACTAATTCTGGACACACTTTAACATAACCATCATCCTTTTAGGTTAGGGCCAGCTGCAACTAAATCTCCTATCTCCAAGTCAAAACCACATTATGAGCCTGAAAGAGGACAAAATATAATTAAAAGATATCCTCCCTTGGTATCATACAGTTGACCTTTCTTTTATCTCTGAAAACCTAAACTTGATGTGATGTTTCACGAAGTATTTGAGATGTTCCCCCAGTTTTGTGGGGTGAGGCACCCTTACCTAGACTCTTGAAAAGGCATTTTTAAGTCCTGTGGCAGCCAAATCACCTCAGAAGTAGCCCAGCCAATATCCAGCAGTGAGGGAAACTGCTCCTGGTGAGGATTACCCATCATGCCTGTGTGCCCCGCCTACACCATGCATCTAGCAGCAATCCCCTCAACAAGTTTTGGAGGGACCTGAGGAATAAACAAATTTTTGCCCCTCCAGGTTGTCCACTCCTACTGGTCACTTTCCCTATCACTACTAATTGGTTGGAAGTCCTAGTCACTCTACACTGTCATTTTTGTGGTGTAATATCCTCAGTGGTAAATCAATGACAAAAGAAGTGGAATGATTTGATGGCTTATAAAAGTGATCAGGTCTTCAGAAAGCCTGTGTGCAGGTGTTTTATTATGAGGCATTTCAAACAGTCAAGAAAACAGGGAGAAGAAAACAAGCTCTCAGTCACCACCATCCAGATTTAATAAATGTTCCCATTTCCCCATGTTTACTTCACATGTTTCTAAGGAAATAAAGTATCACAGATGTAGTTGAAGTCCTGTTTCTCCCTGTTCTTGAAGTCACGTTATTATTTTTTAACTTTAAAAACTTAAATACCTAGATTGTGAACATAGCGGTAATAAATCTGAAAAGAGCGTTCAAAGGCAAAGTGAAAATTCTATTCTTGTGTTCTACGGGCTTTGATTTAACTAGTGATAGGGCCACATTTTCCTTCTCATTTATGGTGCCATTCTTTTTCCTTTTTCAAAGAATCTCAAACCCAGAATTAGAGTTTTTCATTGTGTACTAGCAGGTTGTGAACAAAAAGTAGATCCATATTTCCTTCCAAATTTCTACCTGACTTCAATCTAAATTATTAAGGTTTAAAATGCCCAAAGACATCACAGAGGTCTTGCGTAATTTCACAAGTTAAGACATTTGGTTTTATATTTTATTTTCTCATAGAGTAACCATTTAGGGTTGCAATGTGGCAGAGTGCTAAACAAATAAACAAAAAGAAAGAAAAAAGCCAAAAAACGAAGTGCTGCTTTTGCCCAATCAAAATCTTTCTATTCAACTCACTTTTTATTCATTTCCATCAAAATCTGAATATTTACTTATCCACCAATTTGTTCAAATTTATGTAACTCAGGGTGAAAGCTCAGTAAATTTAATAAAAATTTATGTTATGTTATTAACTGGATTTTAGTTAGCATCTGAATTTTTACATCCTATAAGACTGGACTGTCTAGAAGTTAAGAACTTTTTATTACTTTCCAAGGATCTATTTGGAAAATCTAGATTTCCCCTTAAGTTCATTATTTTAAATTATTCTTTAAGAAATAAAAGGCATTCAAATAGAAAAGAAAATTAGTAAAATTTTCACTATTTGCACTTATATATACAAAACCCTGAAGACTCCATTAAAAAAATTGTTAGAACCAATAAGCAAATTCTGTAAAGTTGCAAGGTACAAAATCAATGCACAAAAATCACTAGGGTTTCTATACATTAACAGCAGGCTATACAAAAAATAAATCAAGAAAACAATCCCATTTACAATAGCTACAAAAAAAGTAAGTACTTAGAAATAAATTTAACCAAAGAGGTGAAAGGTCTGTACACTAAAACTATAAAATATTAATGAAAAAATTTGAAGACACAAATGGAAAAATATCCTGTGTTCATGAATTTAAAGAATTAATATTTTTAGAAAGTCTATAGTGCCCAAAACAATCTACAGATTCAATGAAATTCCTATTAAAATTCCAATGTCATTTTTCACAGAATTAGAAAAAATAATCCTAAAATTCGTATGTAACCACACACACACACACACACACACACACACACACACACACCTGAATAGCTAAGGCAAAATTTAGCAAAAAGAACAAAGCAGCTGGGAATGGTGGCTCACATCTGTAATCCCAGCACTTTGGGAAGCTGAGACAAGAGGATCACTTGATTCCAGGGGTTCAAGACCGCCTAGAAAACATAGCAAGACCTTGTCTCTACAAAAAATAAAAATAATAATAAAAATTTGCCAGACATGGTGATGCACATCTATAATTCCATCTCCTTAGAAGGTTGAGGTGAGGAGATCTCTTTAGCTCAAGAGTTTGAGTCCACAGTGAGCTATGATTGTACCACTGCACTCCGGCCTGGGTGACAAAGTGAGACCCTGTCTCAAAAAAAAAAAAAAAAAAAAAAAAGGACAAAGCTAGAGGCATCACCTTAACTTGATTTCAAACTATATTACAAAGCTATAATAGTTAAAACAGCATGGTACTGGCATAAAAACAGATACATTGACCAACGGAATAGAAAAACAGAGAACCCAGAAATGAACCCACATATTATAATTCATTAATTTTTGACAAAGGTGTCAAAAACACACAATGGGAAAAGGACAATCTCTTCAATAAAGGGCATTGGGGAAACAGGATAACCACATGCAAAAGAATGATATCAGACTCTTATATCACACCATCTGCAAACATCAACTCAGGCTGGGCACAATGGCTCATGCCTGTCATCCCAGCACTTTGGGAGGCCAGGCGGGCAAATCGCTTAACCTCAGTAGTTCAAGATCTGGGCAACATGACAAAATCCCGTCTATTTAAAAAAAACAAAAAAACCTCAAAATGATTAAATATTTAAATATAGGACTTGAAACTGTAAAACTAATGGAAGAAAACATCAGGAAAAAACTACACAGCATTGATTTGGGCAATTTTTTTGGATTTGACCCAAAAGGCTCAGACAACAAAAACAAAAATAGCCAAAGGGACTACACCAAACAAAAAAGCTTCTGTATGGCAAAGGAAACAATTAATAAAGAGACAACCTATGGATTGGGAGAAAATATTTGCAAGCTGTACATCTGATAAGGGCTTAATATCCAAAGGAACTCAAATAGTTAAATAACAAGAAAACAAATACCCCGATTTAAAAATGGGCAAAGGATCTTAATAGATATTTCTTGAAAGAAGACATAAAAATGGCCAGCAGATACACAAAAAATGCTTAACACCACCAATCATTAGGAAAATGCAAATTAAAAACACAATGAAATATCTCACACTTACAATAGCTATTATCAAAAGGACAAAAGGTAACAAGTGTTGATGAGGATGTGGAGAAAAAGGAATCCTTGTACACTGTTGGTGGGATGTAAATTAGTACAGCCATTACAGAAAACTACACTATGGAGGTTCCTCAAATCACTAAAAATAAAATCATGATATGATCCAGCAATCCGTCTTGTAGGTATAGATACAAAGGATTTGAAATTAGTATGAAATTAGTATGTTGAGTTATCTGCAATCCCATGTTAATTACAGCCTTATTCACAATGACAAGTTGTGGAATCAAAATAAGTGTCTATAAATGGATGAATGGATAAAGAAAATGTAATAGATACCCACAATGGATTATTATTCAGCCTTTAAAAATAAAGAAATCCTATCATTTGCAACAACATGAAATGAACCTGGAGGACATTAAACTAAGTGAAATAAGCCATAACCATGCACAGAAAGACAAAGACTGCAGTTCTCACTTACCTGTGGAATCTAAAACAATTGAACTTCTAGAAAGACAAAGTAGAATGGTGGTTACAGAGGCTAGGGCTTGGGAGAATGGGTATTGACTAAAGGGTAAGAAGTTTCAGTTAGACAAGAAGAGTAAGTTTTTTGAGACATATTGCACAGTATAGTGACTATAGTTAATAATACTACATCATATATTTCAAAATTGCTAAGAGTAAATTTCAAAAGTTCTCAACACAAAATGCGATAATTATTTGTGATAATGGGTATGTTAATTAGCTGGATTTAATTATCCCACATTATATACATGTATCATAAGATCACTTTATACTCCATAAATATATACAATTATACTTTGTCAAAATACAATAAAAATTTTAAAACCAAATTATTCTTTGATAAAGTGTTATAGCCATTCTCAAAGAAGAAAATCACCAGAAGGATGTAATGACTTTCACCAAAGAGTAAAGCAATGCTTCATCTTTCCAAGATTTCTCCACATCTCCTTCCCAGAGTTCTTTTTTGTTTTTTTAAAGATGGAGTCTCACTATGTTGCCCAGGCTGGACTTCAACTCTTGGGTTCAAGTGATCCTCATGCCTCAGCCTCCCAAGCAGCTCAGACTACCATCACACATCACCACGTCTAGCTTCCTTTCCAGAGTTTTATTTTCCTCCAACACATGAATTTCTATGACACTGTCTACTACTTTTAATTTTTTATTAAATTTTATCTTATAGTTATTTGTGAACAAGTCTTATATTCCCTTTTATTTATTTATTGAGACAGAGTCTCACTTTTATTTATTTATTGAGACAGACCCAGTCTGGAGGGCAGTGGTGCAATCATAGCTCACTGCAGCCTTGAACTCCTGGGATCAAGGGATCATCTTGCCTCAGCTTCCCAAGTAGCTAGGACTACAGGTGCACACCACCATGCCTGGCTAATTTTTTTTTTTTTTTTTTTTTTTTTTTTTTGTAGAGATGGGATCTCTCGTTGTTGCCCAGGCTGCTCTCAAACTCCTGGGCTTAAGCAGTCCTTAGCCTCTTAAAGTGTTGGGATTACAGGAGTGAGCCATTGTGCCTGACCTATATCCACTTTTAGATGTTGGATATCTTAAGGGGTAGGTCTATATCTTACCTTTTGATTTGTTTTATTTTTCAATCTTCCATGGCACCTGACTCAACACTTTGCACAGAGAATGAAAGATGGAAGAAATGAAGTAGTGGACAAGCAAACATCAATGTGGAGACAGATTCTCATTTTCCCCATTTGGTCTTGGCTGCTTAAGAAAAGGTGAAAAGCAGGAGAAGATGCTTCCCGGTACTGCAACGTAGGGCAAAGTGGAGCTGACAAATGGAAAGAATGTGACCTTGGGAATGAGATTCTTGCCTTTTCTGAGGTATGACTACTAAGTAGTATTGCATAAGAAAAAGTGCCTTGCTTTTATAATTGATGAATAATAACTATCATGATTGTTCCTGGAGAGAGCACTTGCTCACAGATAGATGGGACATCCAGACTCCAGGCCTGGTTTTGCTACAGGCTGAGCAGCTGTGCAACTTCAGGCAAGTCATTCACCCTCTCTGGGCCTCTCTTTTCTCATTATTGAAGTTGAAAAGTTATGTGTATAATTGATGAGAAAATCAGTGAGGTGTCCTCCAGCTCTAAGATTTAGAAAATAAATGTTTAATGTTACGAATTCATCATCCTAGTTCCTAGTTGAGGAACTCCATAATTTCTCTCTCTCTCTCTTTTTTTTTTTTTTTTTTTTTTTTTTTTTTTTTTTTTTTTGAGACAGGGTCTCACTCTGTTGCCCAGGCTGGAGTGCAGTGGCATGGTCAGCTCACTGCAACCTCCACCTCCCAGGTTCAAACACTTCTCATGCCTCAGTTTTCTGACTAGCTGGGATTACAGGCGTGCACCACCATGCCTGGCTAATTTTTGTATTTTTAGTAGAGACAAGGTTTCACCATGTTGGCCAGGCTGGTCTTGAACTCCTGACCTCAAGTGATCCGCCCACCTCAGCCTCCCAATGTGTTGGAATTACAGGCATGAGCCACCATGCCTGGCCCTCTTGTTCTTTTCAATAGCAACACACTTGATACATTTATAGAAACTACTACTTCTAAGTTTTGTTTCACTCCATGAAAAAATAAGAATTCAATTTTTAAAAAATCTATGCATCTTTCAGAGAAAAGTATTTAACTCCTTTTTTATATTATACCATCCATTGAGCATGTCTTCAACATATTTTTCCTGAATGAATGAATAATGCTTTAGTGGGTGTTTGCCAAAAGTTCCAAAAATAATAATTCATATTTCCTACTAGGTTTGATTCTTTATAGACCTCCAGCTTCGCTTTTCTTCTTTACTAAAATTGGCTTTGAGTCACTGGTATGATTCATAACTTTAAAAAGCAAGTTGAACCTGAAATTGCCCTGGCAGGAAATTAGCTGAGGAACACAGAACAAGTGAAAGGGAGAAGCCCACCACCAAAAAAAAAAAAAAAAAAGTTCTTTTTTTCATTTTCTGGTTCCTGATATGAAATGAGGAAGTGTCAACAAGTAACTTTATTCTCATCTCTCTCCTTCCATTGCTTGAAATAGTCAAAATCAGATGCAAAGTACAGAGCGCTTAAATCTCCAGAATCCAAGAGGCACATGTTTCAGGTGTGGCTGGCCTCCCCACTCCACCCCTAGATGAGTCATTCATCGAGAGGTAAGCAGAGCAAGATGAATTGGCATCCTGTGGGTGAGAAAAGGTACAGACCCGGTTTCAAGAGATCCAGGTCAGGCCTTGACCCACAAAGAAATCATTGATGTCAGACAGGGAGAGACTGATGAGAAGAGCAGAGAGATGGCTGTCAGAGAGCAGAGAAGATTATCTAACACAGCCAGATCTGCTGGTATCCCATAAAAGGGCAGAGAGAGCAGAGGGGCGAGATGCGCAGGCGACATTGGGCAGGGGTTCTGACTGATGTGAGGAGGCGAGGCTTTTCCTCGTTGTAGAAGGGCGGCCATCTTTGAAGATGGATCCTGAAACCTAAGAGGGTGCTTTCAGTTCCCGGCTTTCAATATCCTCTCTGCAACCCAAGCTTTCAATAATATCTGGCAGTTTGTTAGGAAGCCACTTTGCCTTCTCCTGGGCTATTTTCCCATGGATAATAGCAGCATATCCTTTTGCTTGTCTGGAAGCCAGTAAAAGTAATTATTCTAGGAAAGTAAACAAGACACCCTCGGAGAGTATAATACAGTCAGGTCGGAGTGGGGTGGTTTGAGTCTTTAGTCAGTGCAAGGAGGTTTCCTAATACCCACCCCCCATCATGTGGGTACAAAGGGGTCCTGCCCTGGACCCCCTGCTTCAGGAAGTTCACTCTTGCCCTTCTGTGGTCATGCCCTTCCTTCAGGGCAAAAAGGACACACCTGCCTGGAGCTCATGCCCTCTCTTCTACGTCTCACTCCAGGTATATGAGGCCCTAGGATTCTCTCTGCAAATGGCGCTCAGCCCTTTTCCAGGCCTGGCACTGGTCTCTTCTCTGGGTCTGCTCCAAAGGACAGAACAGCTAGAGAACCCAACGTGGCACTGCAGGTGGCCATGGCAGCCATTGGGGAGGTGGTGGAAGGTGCATTAGATGTCTGTGCAAGACTAGGGTGTCCACACAGGTACCATGTGCTACATCCTCTGCAGTACAGGGGTGGGGCTGGTGGTGAGAAGAGAAGAAGGGCACCCAGGAGGTGGGTGTTGCAGCCTGGGGACTAGACCGGTTCTCCACACTTCAGTGAGCAACACTAAGTAGCCCAAGAATTCCCAATCAGACCTTGCCTTCCAAGTGTCATGAAAGAACACTTGTCAGCCGGGCGCAATGGCTTATGCCTGTAATCCTAGCAGTTTGGGAGGCTGAGGCAGGTGGATCACCTGAGGTCAGGAGTTCGAGACCAGCCTGGCCAACATAGTGAAACCTTGTCTCTACTGAAAATATGAAAAATTAGCTGGGCATGGCAGTGGGCACCTGTAGTCCCAGCTACTAGGAAGGCCGAGGCAGGAGAATCTCTTGAACCTGGGAGGCGGAGGTTGCAGTGAGCAGAGATCACGCCATTGCACTCCAGCCTGGGCAACAAGAGCGAAACTCCATCTCAAAAAAAAAAAAAAAGAAAGAAAGAAAGGAAGAAAGTACACTTGTCAATATAGAAGGATGGACCATATTTTATTTATGAAATTACAAGCTTCGTTTATAACTTTTAGACCTATGTCATGCGGGCCTCCATTTGTACTCTTGCCTGGGCCCTGAAAATGCTGGAAGTGGGGTGACCACACCATGTATTTCAATCCTAGGTTGGTTATTTATTGCTTTTATGGTGACAGAAGGATTGGAATTTGGTCAGTAGTGAAGGATTGTTTCTTTGATACATACCAATTTTTCAGTCTGTCAAAGGGATCACCAGGCTCTATATCCTAGAGCAATATTTAATCTAACATCAATAATTCATGACAATACCAGAAGAGGGGCTATAGTTTTCTTTGTAAAGGAAAATGAAGGTATCAGGTTGGATTATGGCTTCAAGAAATAACTGTAGTGACAGCTTTTCTTTATTTAAATTTCTAGACTTTTTCTAAGTATCTTTATTAAAGGACTTTGTGAGGTTGAGTATTTAGCAAATTAGTGAATTTTCTGTATTTTCACTTATTTTAGAGAAAGAACTATCACAATATTTAAACATTTCTAACCCTAAAAAAAATTTAATGGATCTCAAAACTTGCACTAGTTATTACTATAGCAACTACCCTGGGCTGCTAAGCCCACTCGTCTTGCTGCTCTACAAATCATAAAAATACCAAATAGACACCAAAGCCTTGTTAAATGCATCCTGACACAGTACAGAATTCTGTTTTGTAGTCTGTCTCTAACACTGTTTAAGGGGCTTAGTTGCCAGGGAACCTCGTCATCACAGCATCTTGCTTGGGCTCTGGTCCTAACAGCAATCTTGGAGAACAACTCATTGTAAAATGCCAATTACCATGAAGAAAAATGCTTTGAAAGTCTTCTTTAAAAAGAGGCGGACTCTATTTTACTTTTTGTAGCTTCATCACCATATTTATTTGGGCTTTGTGCATTTAATTAATGATTCTGTAATAGATATTTCATTCCATTGATGATTGGTTTGGTTATGCAAAGTACAGTGGTAAAAGAATGTGCTGGAGAGAATGAGTTCACTCACTATCCAGATGAGACCCAACAAATAAAGACCATTCTTTTTCAGTAGTGAACATCCACAGCCCAATCCAAAGCCTTCAGAAGAAGGGGAGAGGTCCTCCCTCATTTCTCCCTTTCCTAAGGAGTGCATATACCCCAGGTATCATCACAGATGCACCCCTACCAATGACGTTACTCACCCTGGTCACTGCCAGCCATCACTGATTTCACCACCGCTGACTCTGTCTTCTCTTTACAGCACTAATTCCTTGGAAAAGCTTTAAAAAAAAATGACTGGGCGCAGTGGCTCATGCCTGTAATCCCAGCACTTTGGGAGGCCGAGGTGGGTGGATCACAAGGTCAGGAGTTCGAGACCAGCCTGGCCAATATGGTGAAACCACGTCTCTATTAAAAATACAAAAATTAGCCAGGTGTGGTGGTGGGCACCTGTAGTCCCAGCTACTCAGGAGGCTGAGGCAGGAGAATCAGTTGAACCCTGGAGGCGGAGGTTGCAGTGAGCCGAGATCATGCCACTGCACTTCAGCCTGGGTGACAGAGCGAGGCTCAGTCTCAAAAAAAAAAAAGAGGGATATATGGGCGAGTGTTTCTGCCCACTGGATCTCCCCACTGCCGAACTTTGACATTGCTCTTTCACCGGAGCTAAATGAGTCAAAGCAGCCATCTGTTTTTCTATAGAGAGGGCTAGACAGTTCCGTTAATTTTCTCTGATTAACAGGCTGTGTGATATCATCACCTCCTCCTTAATATCTTGTAACACCTCTATCATAACACTTGTCTGAATCTCCTTGTATTTACTTGACCACAAGCTCTTTGACAGCAGGGGTTTTATCTACCTTGCAATGATTTTACATACCTTGCAAATGATTACATCTCTAGCACTTGCTCGTGCCACACCGTGAGTGCCCTAGAAAGGTTCCTTGAACTCAACTGAACCTCAAAATTTAGGAAAATAATGGTGCAGGGCTGTTTTCAAAACTACAGTGGGTATCTACTCACCCTCTTTCCCAGCTCTCACCCATCTTCCCAGCCCAACAATCTCATGTTATGGTCAAAGAGAAACCCCTTTATCACCTACAACCAGCCCTGATCTCCAGGCCCAGCCTCCAAGGGTGTATACAGGTTGTTCTAGATGGCTGGGTTGCATTTTAGTCTTGGTGGCTTTGGTTTTAATACAACTCCTCAAAATTAAGAGTGTGATCAGGAGAAGAAGAGGAAGCTCATTTCTGTTTGGGTGCAGCAGGGGACATAGCACAAGCTCCCTGTTCTGGAAGCCATTCAAGCTAGGACCTTTAGCTTCAAGCTATGACCTCACTGCATCTACTCACTTGACCTGGTTGGGTGGTGCAAATGGGATCAGGAGAGTTGAGTACTACAGAAATAGAATAGAAGAATGGGACATGGAAAAGGGATGCCCTTATGTTCATTTTTTTTTTTTTTTTTTTTTTGAGACAGAGTCTCACTCTGTCACCCAGGCTGGAGTGCAGTGGCGTGATCTCGGCTCACTGCAAGCTCCGCCTCCCAGGTTCACGCCATTCTCCTGCCTCAGCCTCCTGAGTAGCTGGGACTACAGGCACCCTTATATTCATTCTTAACTCCTAATCTGATAAAGTTGTAATTAACTAAATTACAACTTCATTATTCTCTAAGGGGAGCTAATTCTACCTTTCCTTCTGGCACTCACCATTTACTGAACAATTCTTATCTGAGTGTAGAATGTGACTATACCCACCAAGGCAAGCCCAGCCACCTTAGTAGCCATATGAGTAGATATAAAAAGATTGTTTCTTGGTTTGGAGACATAGCTACCATTTACAGAACCATCATGACTGTTTACACATTGGCCTCTTTAACGAAGAGCCTTTAGGGATCTTGACCATAGAATGTAAAAAAACATAGTCCCTGGTCTCAGGTAGCTCATAGTTTAATGTGGGAGAAAGACTCAAGTAAATCAGTAATTATGGCACGTTTATTTGGTATGTGTTATTTATGACAGAGTTATACTCAGGGTACAAAGAAATATTTGGAGTACAAAAAAAAAAAAGGCACCAATCAGACTGGGGAGGAGGAGTGTCAGGAAATTCCAAGATTCAGGATTAAACTGAATCTCGAAGGCCAAGTGTGATGTGGAAGAGGTGAGGAGAGGAAGGAGAGAGAGCAGGACACCCTGGCAGGGGCCTTAGGACATGCAAAGACTCAGAGGTATAAAAGCTGGGGATGTCTTGGGAACGGCAAATGTAGCACATTGGAAAGCAGTGGGAGGTGAGACCACACACATCATCTGGGGCCAGATCATGGGGGAGCGGATGTGCTAAGTTCAATTCACAGGACCACATTTTGGCTTAGGCTATCCCCTGTACTGTAAGCTCCAGAGAAAGCAGAGAACATACCTTCCTCATTTATTTCTGTATCTACAGTGTCTGGGCCATGGTAAACTCTCAACAGATGTGTGCTGGATAATTAGATTAATTCATTCATTAAACCTATCACTGGGAGAGGAATGTAATTTTATCAATGACAAACAACATTAGCATATTGTTACTGAGGAATGAATTTAAAAACAATGTAAAATACAAAAGATACTTAATTAAAGATAACAAGCTTTCAGCACCTACCACAAATAACATGAAGAGGTTTAGATTCTATCTCACAGAGCTGTTAAGGGAAAGTGCTCTCTATCCAGACCCCAAGAGAGGGATCTTGGATATCTTGCAAGAAAGAATTCAAGGTGAATCCATAGAGTAAAGTGGAAGCAAGTTTATTAGGAAACTAAAGGAATAAAAGAACGGTGACTCCATAGGCCGAGCAGCAGCTTAAGCTGCTCGGCTAAGGATACTTATTGTTACTTGTCAATTGTATTCTAAACAAGGGGTGGATTATTCATGAGTTTTCTGGGAAAGGGGAGGGCAATTCCTGGAACTGAAGATTCCTCCCCCTTTTAGACAATATAGGGTAACTTCCAGAGGTTACCGTGGCATTTGTAAACTGTCATGGCACTGGTGGGAGTGTCTTCTAGCATGCTAATACATTATAATTAGCATGTAATGAGCAGTGAGGACAACCAGAGGTCACTTTTGTCACCTTTTGGTGTGTTTTGGCTGGCTTCTTTACCTCATGCTGTTTTATCAGCAAGGTCTGTGTGACCTGTCCATTATACTGACCTCTTATCTCATCCTGTGACTTAGAATGCCTAACCTCCTGGGAATTCAGCCCAGTAGGTCTCAGCCTTATTTTACCCAGCCCTTATTCAAGATGGAGTTGCTCTGGTTCAAATGCCTCTGATGGAGCTTTTTTTTTTTTTTTTTTTTTTTTTTTTTTTGAGACAGAGTCTCACTCTGTCACCAGGCTGGAGTGCAGTGGTGCGATCTCGGTTCACGGCAACCTCCGCCTCCTGACTTCATGTGATTCTTCTGCCTCAGCGTCCCAAGTAGCTGGGACTACAGGCATGCACCACCATGCCCAGCTAATTTTTATATTTTTAGTAGAGATGGGGTTTCACCATGTTGGCCAGGCTGGTCTCGATCTCTTGACCTTGTGATCCACCCGCCTCAGCCCCCCAAAGTGCTGGGATTACAGGCATGAGCCACCTCGCCCGTCCTGACAGAGCTTTTAAGGATGCATGGAGTTCTGGGGAGTTGAGTCTGTTTTCTTGTCTCATCAGAAACACATCAGAAAACACCTTTGAAGTTTAAGGTGCCAGCAAGTGTCCCTAAGCATTCTAAGTCTACACGCTGTGCCCCGTGCAATATCACTTAAGTTAAACTAATACCTTTTCTGCTGGTCTTCACACAGCTACTAATATGTTCTGATATATAACATTTCTCTGAGAGGGGAATCAAGAATGCAATTTTGGCTGGGTGCAGTGGCTTACAACTGTAAGCCCAGCACTTTGGGAGGCTGAGGCGGGCAGATCACCTGAGGTCAGGAGTTCAAGACATGCATGGCCAACATGGCAAAACCCTGTCTTCTACTAAAAAGACAAAAATTGGTCAGGCACGGTGGCAGGCGCCTGAAATCCCAGCTACTTGGGAGGCTGAGGCAGGAGAATCGCTTGAACCTGGGGGTGGATGTTGCAGTGAGCTGAGATTGTGCCACTGCACTCCAGCCTGGGTGACAGAGCAAGACTCTGTTTCAAAAAAAAAAAAAAAGAAAAGAAAGAAAAAGAAAAAGAAAGAAAGAACGCAACAACCATATTTGAGCAAAAATTCCTTTTTTCAGTGAGCATCCTCAGAAAGCTAATCTAAAGGGCAATTGTTCAATTATCTCTGGAGGTTCTCTATTTACTAAGCATTTCTATGATTTCCTATCAGATTCTGATCAAATCATTTCCCCATGAAATATCATTAAATCGTTTCTTCCAAGAGAAAGTTTAAAATCCTTAGCATGAAACAAACAGCCCTTCCCAATCTGTTACCCAGCTTTCCAGCCTCACTCCCAGCTTTTCTCACGCACCATCCTGCCTAACTGCCCCGCTGAGCTCCCCTCTACCTGCTGAACATTCCACACTCTTTCAATCCCCTGTGATCTTTGCACATACTTCCTCTTCCAGAAAGACCTACCCACAGCCCACTATCTTCTCCTGGAGCCTACTGCTCTCACCTTTAAGACTGGTGAATACAGCCGTTCCTGACTTCCCACCAAGAATGTTCGTCATTTATTCCTTCCTCCTCCCACAGCATTGTACATTTGCCTATAAGTATTTACCTCCCTACATTATAGTTATTCATTTGCAGGTCTATCTCCCCTAGTAAACAGTCAGCTTTTCAAGGGCATAGCTTTATCTTATTTACCATTCAGTCCTCAGCTCATAGCATGGAATTTTACACACAGTAGATGCTCAACAATGATTGATGAATGAGTGACTCAGTAGTAAATGTGATATAAATGTAGGAGCAATGAAATTAGGTAGATTTAGGCCGGGCGCGGTGGCTCACGCCTGTAATCCCAACACTTTGGGAAGCTAAGGCGGGTAGATCACGAGGTCAAGAGATCGAGACCATCCTGGCTAACATGGTGAAACCCCATCTCTACTAAAAATACAAAAAAAAATTAGCCAGGCGTGGTGGCGGGCGCCTGTAGTCCCAGCTACTCGGGAGGCTGAGGCAGGAGAATGGAGTGAACCTGGGAGGCAGAGCTTGCAGTGAGCCAAGATTGCGCCACTGCACTCCAGCCTGGGCAACAGAGCAAGACTCTGTCTCAAAAAAAAGAAAAAGAAATTAGGTAGATTTCTGCAAACATAGTATCTATCTGTGGGTCCTTGCCTTCCAATTGTTTGTGATTATATGATAAATTAGTTAATCATCATGTCTTTCTTTAGTTACATAGTAACATATTAAAAGAGGTTTACTAGCATCTAATAAACCTGTTTTCTTCCAAATGTGAAGTATTATTGTTCCCACTTTAAGAGGCATGAAGGTGTAAGGAGTCATACCCAGATGAGAGTAGTCCCTCTTTAGGCATCAGTCTGTTCTTGACTGGTTTGACCACCTTTAGCTTCACTGGAGACCATAAATACTAATAATTAGTGAGGTATCTCTCATTAAGGATATGCAAAGGAATTATTTCAAAACTCAGGACTTTATAAATTCAACAAAAGGACTAATTACAAAAAATGAACCTGCACTGTGAAATGAATAATATACAACTTTCTATTAACAGACACATAGTCAGGTACCTATAACCCCTTCTCAGCTGAAATTTGCTCTCATACAAAGTTCTGATATATATAGATTTATTTGTAATACGTTTTCAGCAAGTAAGAGAGTTTCACTTCAAGCACATGAAAATTATTACTCCCTCTATCAGGGAAACACAGAAAAAAAGAAAACTAGAGACTGAGAAAAGAAAAAGGAAGTAATATGAATGATAGCAGGCACAGTACTTGGTATACAGTAGGACCTCAGGAGATTTTGTTGAGTTGAGCTGGATTGAGATGGGGACATAGAAGTTTGCGCAATTAAGCAAAGAAAAAAATTCTTTTAATTTTTATTTTAGGTTCAGGGGTACATATGCAAGTTTGTTTGTATAGGTAAACTTATGTCACGGGGGTTTGTTATACAGATTATTTTGTCACCCAGATACTAAGCCTAATATCCAATAGCTATTTTTCCTGATCCTCTCCCTCCTCCCACCCTCCACCCTTCAGTAAGCCCCAATGTGTGTTGTCCCTCTCTACGTGTCCATGTGTTCTCATCATTTAGCTGCCACTTATAAGTGAGAACATGCAGTATTTGGTTTTATGTTCCTGCATTGGTTTGCTAAGGACAATGGCCTCCAGCTCCATCCATGTTACTGCAAAAGACTTGATCTTGTTCTTTTTTATGGCTGCGTAGTATTCCATGGCATATATGCACCACATTTTCTTTATCCAATCTGTCATTAATGGGCAATTATGTTGATTCCATTTCTTTGCTATTGTGAATAGTGCTGCAATAAACATTTGCATGCATTTGTCTTTATGATAGAATGATTTATATTCCTCTGGGTATATACTCAGTAATGGGATTGCTGGGTTGAATGGCAGTTCTGTTTTTAGGTCTCTGAGGTATCACCACACTGTTATCCGCAATGGTCAAACTAATTTACACTCCCACCAACAGTGTATAAGGGTTCCCTTTCAAAGAAAAAAAAAAGCTGAGGGAACGTAAAACTAGGCCTTAGAAATGCACTATCAGATATATTAGGAATGAGAAGGCTATGATCAGTAAAAGAGGGTCTGACAGCACATAGAACCCATGAAGCCACTGAGGGCAGTGGGGGATCATTGTTGCAGAGCAGCAGGGAGAGGCTCAGAGACATGGTCCTACCTGATCAACACAAAGCTTTGCCCATCATGAGCATTCAAGTGAGGCTTTGTCTCTGGAGTTCTATAGGGATTCTGGATTTGGAGAATAAATTGCTTTGCAACATAAAATGAAAAAGACTCTCACTGGGGAGTGGAGGCCCGGAAAGACAAGGGGCAGCCTCAAAACCCCATTGAGCACTTTTCACAGAAAGCCTGGATGGCTTATAGTGAGCAAAAGATGATGAATGGGAGGTAACTTTACAGACTTCGCGGTCTGCATGGGGCATGTAAGACAGCATAGAAATCGTCTTTATGAATGAGTTGTCTTTCTGGTTTGATTTCAGTGACATATACATTAGTAAAAACAATAGCTAATCTTTCCTATTCCAAGCTTGTTTTCTAAGGGCTTTACATAAAATAAACCATTTAATCCAATTAACAACCTCATGAAACTGGTATCAGCATTATTTTCATTTTATAAACAAGGAAGCTGATACGTGAAAATATAGTTTGGCTAGTAAGTAGTGGAGTAGCACTGGGAACCCGGTCAGTGTGACTACTGCACCCACAAATACCTCCAGGCTGGGGTTCTTTTGTTTTGAGACAGAGTCTCACTCTGTTGCCCAGGCTGGAGTGCAATGGTGTCATCTTGGCTCACTGCAACCTCCTCCTCCCCGGTTCAAGCGATTCTCCTGTCTCAGCCTCCCGAGTAGCTGGGACTACCAGCACTCGCCACCATGCCCAGCTAATTTTTGTATTTTTAGTAGAGACAGGGTTTCCTCATGTTGGCCAGGCTGATCTCGAACTCTCGACCTCAAGTAATCCGCCTGCCTCAGCCTCCCAAAGTGCTGGGATTGTAGGCATAAGCACCGCGCTGGGCCAAGCTGGGTTTCTTATAGTAACTGCCCGCCTCTCCTCCTCAGTCAGGTATTAGGAATGACCAAGGTGGTGATTGTCAGAGACCTGTCATAAGGGCTGTTCAGCACAAACAAATGTACCAGTGATCATGTCTATGCTAAGCCACATCCTAGTTTGGAACCTGCTCGCTCTGGATCAATGACAGGAACATGACCCAGGGTGGGTCAACATTGAGCCCACCCCCTCGATCACAGTACTAATTCAAAAGCTGGGAATAAAAATTCAGTCTGGAGAGTCTGAGCCGTTCGCTGAGATCTTTCAAACTGAGACTGAGAAAAGGCATCTTTTCATTTCTGCTTACAGATCTTTCAGGATGTGACTTTGACACTTGCTGCTGGCTACATTTCCTGCTGGGCAGAGAATGTCCATCTCTATTAGCAGAGAAGGAAGCTTAAGTGGAGCAAAGGAGAAAGAGGTTGGGGGGAGTGAGCTGACAATGTTTGAATTCCTGGTTCCAGTTCCTGGGACCCCAGAGCGGCTCTGAGTCCTGCCGATGGTCCTTTGAGCCACCTCTGTGTTCTTCAGTTAAATCATTTTTTTTTTTTTTTGAGATAGAGTTTCACTCTGTTGCCCAGGCGGGAGTGCAGTGGTGCCATCTCGGCTCACTGCAGCCTCCGCCTCCCAGGTTCAAGCAATTCTCTGCCTCAGCCTCCTGAGTAGCTGGGATTACAGGCACCCGCCTGGCTAATTTTTGTATTTTTAGTAGTGACGGGGGTTTCACCATCCTGGCCAGGCTGGTCTTGAACTCCTGACCTCATGATCCACCCGCCTCAGCCTCCCAAAGTGCTGGGATTACAGGCGCAAGCCACCGCACCGAGCCTAAATCATTCTTTGTGTTTAACCTGGTTTGGGTTGATTTTCTATCATTTCCTGCTCATAGTGTCCTAATTCAACACTCTTCTCTCAATATGCAGCTCTGCCAGCACCTGTCTTTGTTCAAGAGGTCAGCTGCTGAGGCGTGTCTGCATCCCACGTAGACCACATGCCACGCCAGTGCGTGTCCTGTGCCAATCTGCATCTGTCTGCACAACACGGTCTGCATTCTGATCCATGTATTTCAGAAGACATTTCAGCCATTTATACCTACAATTCTCAAAGTTTAGCTTTTCAGACATATGTATATATTATGTTTATATTGCCTTCGCTTTAGATATGTAAAAGGAAAATACATCTTGGGGGCCCCAAATCACTAAGCCACAGGGAAAAGTCAAGCTGGGAACTGCTTAGGGCAAGCCTGCCTCCCAGTCTATTCAAAGTCATCCCTCTGCTCACCAAGATAGATGCTATCCGATTGCCTCCTTTGGAAAGGCTAATCAGAAACTCAAAAGAATACAACAGTTTGTCTCTCACCAACCTGTGACCTGGAAGCCCCCTCCATGCTTGAGCTGTCCTGCCTTGCTGGATGGAATCAATATACATCTTACATATATTGATTGATGTCTCATGTCTCCCTAAAATGTATAAAGGCAAGCTGTGACCCAGCCATCGTGGGCACATCTAGTCAAGACCTCCTGAGGCTGTGTCACGGGTGCACGTCCTCAACCTTGGCAAAAATAAACTTTCTCAATTAACTGAGACCTGTCTCGGATATTCGGAGTTCACAGATAGCTCCATTCTAATTGCTAGTACACAAATCCAAGAAAATGTGGAACTTCGGGGAGGACTCCAAAATTTGGGAACTTTTTCTTTCCTGTGATGAAAAGCTTTAATCCTTGTCTTTCGGCAGAAAATGAGTAGCTTGCACTTAAAATGCAGGCTGGAGAACTTTTTCCTCGAAGTCTGTCCCTCTCTGATTGACAGTCTCTAGTTGTCACAGCAGGGGTTAAAAATAAGCTACTTCCTTCCTCCCTCTTTGGAGTTTTGGTTTTTAACTATTTAATCTCCACTATATGTGAACCATAGTCTGACTAAATATTTTGCCTAAGGTATAGCTGATTAATAGATAAGTAGATCTTTTCTCTTTCCATGTATATCCTAGTAGTCAACACTGTCTCGAAATAATGTACACAAAAATCAAAGGACTAGAAAAATATAAAGTAGTGAGTAGATAATTCAAAGTTAAAGACGACAACCAATAAAAGTTGAGATTTAACCGCCTTAAGTTATTTTTTCCTCATCGCTTTGAATAAAAAGCTAAACTGTAGATTCCAGCCGAGTTCCATCTCACTGGGTTCTGCCTTTTTCTTGGGTGGCTTTGTACATGGAAAACCGATAGAGGCCTTCTCCTAACAAGGGCCACATCACCTGTAATTAATTTCCAGGCTTCCAACCATGAGCACAGGGAACACCCACACCTTCCCTCCCCTAGCAGCTCCGGGGCAAGCCTGCCCAGCAAAGCAATCTAGAAAGTGATTTCGTTTTCTGACTAATGCAGAAGAAATCCTCTTATAACGACTTAAGTAAGCTGTCAGTCAAGCAGTATTTATTGAGAGCCACCTTCAGGATATTCAGGAAGGAAACTAATGCTGGAGACAATAGAGGAAGCCAGTGCCAAGGGCGTCAGATGCCCCTGAAGGGTCTAAGTAAAATTGCAAAGTGGGAGAACTTTACCTGCCTTCTTCCTTTCTTTTTTTTTATTTATTTCTTTTCTTTTCTTTTTTATTTTTTTTAAGAGGTGGAGTCTCACTGTGTTGTCCAGGCTGGCCTCAGACTCCTGAGCTCAAAGGATCCTCCTGCCTTAGCCTCCCAAGTAGCTGGAACTACAGGTACACAGCACCATGACCAGCCCCTCTTTCCCTCATGGTTTCTTGCTCTCTCTGCACCTATTCCTTTTCTAATATAATCAATCTTTTCATGCTGTCCCACTCCCACTCCTAGCCCTGCCATTCATTCATTCCTAAAGGCACACATTTATTCATTCAGAAAATATATATATTGGCTATCCACTGTGTTCTAGGCACTGTTCTAGTCAGTTGTAATACAGCGGTGAATAAGCAAAAATCCCCAGTCCTCAGAAGCTCTTATCTTAGTGACGGTAGACAGAGAGAAAGAAACACACAATAGGTGAGATGTTGATAAATGCTGTGTAGAAAAATAAACTAGACTGAAGGGGTCAGAGAGAAGGGGGGCAATGCTTTTTTTTTAGAGGGTGGCCAAAGAAGGCCTTGCTGAAAACACGATTTTGGGGCAGAAACACAAAAGAAGTGAGGGGGCTAAGGCCTGTGGATATGGGATCCTGGGGTAAGAGAGTTCAGCCAGAGGAAACCATATTGTCAACACCATGAGGCAGGAGAGTGCTTGGGATGTTGTAGAAACTGTAACAAATCCAGTGAGGCTGGGGTCCTGTGAGTGAGAAGGGTGGGAGGAAATCCCCAGGTGCACATAAGTCTGGGACCTTCAAAGCCCCTTGTTCTCTGTGAAAGGGTAGGCTAGAAGAAAAGCTTCCCTGACTGTATAACAAAAAGAGCAAACAAGAAATTGATCTCTACCAAGGAAACAGAGGGAAAAAGTCTCTCGTGAGAATTTGTGCCACTAAATTTGTCTATATGTGGATCTGGGCTTTGAATTTAAATATGTATGCAACTGTTAAATCCCCAAGTTGAGAAATTAAATGAAAGTGGTCTCAGGTTATTAGTACCACACAGGGCCAAAACCAGACAAATGAAAATCCTCTTTGGAGGAAAATATCTTCATCTCAGACTTCCCAATATTCCCATAGATTCAGTTCTGTCAAATATGAGGTCACAATCAAAACGTGTGAAGCATCTGAGGAAGGAAGCCCCATGAACAAGAGTCAGTAGAAATCACAAACAAAAGATTTAGAGCTCCTAATGACTGCAGATGTTGGAATTATGAGATATTATATTTTTCAGAGTATAAAATAACTGTGTAAAATGTTTAAAGCAACAAAAGTTGGGATTTTAAAATATCAAAGGAAAAAGCACTATTAAATATGCCTGGGCAGATTTGAAAAATAACCTAATAGAAATTATAGGAAAAAAGACGGTGATGGTTGAAAGAAGAAACTGAATAGCTATATGAAAAACAGATAAGTGATAGCTGAAAAGACAATTGGTGAACTGGTAGATGATCTGAATAGATTGTGCATAACTTGACACAAAATAAAAGCAAATGAAAAATATAAAAGAAAGATTAAGAGATATGCAGTTAAGAGTGAAAGAAAGATCCTAAATCAATATTCTAAAGTTCCCCCTTAAGACACTGGAAAAAGTAGAGGAAACCAAACCTAAAAAGTAGAGCAAGCAGAAGGAAGGAAATAATAAAGATTAAAGAAGAAATTAGTGAAATATTAAATACAAAAACAATAGAGAAAGTCAATGAAACCAAAGGATGGCTCCTTGAAAAGACTAAGAAATTGACAAAACTTAAGCTACATTAACCAAGAAAACAGAGAGGAGAATTAAATTACCAGAACCAGAAGTGGAAAAGGGGAGATTACAATCAATCTTATACAAATAAAAGGTTCATAAAGAATACTATAACCAATTGTATGCCACTAAATTGGATAACTTAGATGAGATGGACAAATTCCTAGGAAGACACAAACTACTGAAACTGACTTAAGAAATAGACAATCTGAGTAGACACATAACAAATAAAGAGATTGAATTTACAATTTTTTAAAAAACTAAGACTATGTTTTCAGGGATCATTTCTATGGTTTGTTACTAGAGAAGTTTATCTGAATGTGTGGAGCACCAACGGTCTCAAATTAATGATCTAACATCACACCTAGAGGAACTAGAAAAACAAAAACAAACTAACTCCAAGACTAGTAGAAGAAAAGAAATAACTAAAATCAGAGCAGAACTGAATGAAATTGAGAACCAAAAATTCACCTAAAGGATCAAAGAAACCAAAAGTTGGTTCTCTGAAAGGATAAATAAGATTGATAGGCCACTAGCTAGATTAACAAAGAAGAGAGAAGATCAAATAATGATAATCAGAAATGACAAAGGTGACATTACAACCAATCCTACAGAAATACAAAATATTCTCAGACACTTTTATGAACATCTTTCTGCACACAAACTAGAAAATGTAGAGGAAATGGATAAATTTGGGGAAACACACAACCTCCCAAGATTCAATCAGATAGAAATTGAAACTTTGAACATACCAATATTGAGTTACAAAATTGAATCAGTAATAAAAAACATAGTAACCAAAAAAGCCCTGTACGAGATGAATTCACAGCTGAATTCTACCAGATAAAGAGCTGGTACCACTTCTACTGAAACTATTACAGAAAAATCAAGGAAAAGGGATTCCTCCTTAACTCATTCTATGAAGCCACCATCACCCTGATACCAAAACCTGTCAAAGACACATGATAAAAGAAAACTACAGGCTAATATCTGTGATGAACATAGATGCAAAAGTCTTCAAAAAATGCTTGCAAACTGAATCCAGCAGCACATCAGAAAGTTAATTCACCATGACCAAGTAGACTTCATTCCTGGAATGCAAAGTTGGTTCAACATACACAAATCAATAAATGTGATTCACCATATAAACAAAATTAAAAACAAAAACCATATGATCATCTCAATAGACACAGAAAAGGCTTTTGATGAAATCCAACGTCCTCCATGATAAAAACCCTCAACAAACTAGTCATCAAAGGAACATACCTCAAAATGAGAGCTATCTATGACAAACCCACAGCTAACATCATACTGAATGGGCAAAAACTGGAAGCATTCCCCTAAAGAACAGGAACAAGGCAAGGATGACCACTCTCAGCACTCCTATTCAATATAGTACTGGAAGTCCTAGCCAGAGCAATCAAGCAAAAGAAAGAAAAAAAGCCATCCAAATAGGAAAAGAAGAAGTCAAATTATCTCTTTGCTGATGATATAATTCTATACCTAGGAAGCCCTAGAGACTCCACCAAAATAATTTTAGAACCGATAAATGATTTCAGTCAAGTTTCAGGATACAAAATCAATGTGCAAAAATCAGTAACATTTCTATACACCAATAACATTCAAGCTAAGAGACAAATCAAGAATGCAATCCCATTTACAATAACCACAAAAAATGTAAAATACCTAGGGTTACATCTAACCAAGGAAATGAAAGATCTCTACAAGGAGAACTGTAAAACACTGCCAAAAGAAATCATAGATGACACAAACAAATGAAAAAACATTCCATGCTCATGGATTGGAAGAATCAATATCATTAAAATGGCCATACTACCCAAAGCAATCTATAGATTCAACACGATTCCTATCAAACTATCAAGATCGTTTTTCACAGAATTAGAAAAAAATTTCTAAAATTCATATGGAACCAAAAAAGTACCTGAATAGCCAAAGGAATCCTAACCAAAAAGAACAAAGCTGAAGGCATCACACTACCCAACTTCAGACTCTACTATAATACTACAGTAACCCAAACGGCATAGTACTGGTACAAATACAGAAATATAGACCAATGGAACAGAATAGAGAACAGAAATAAAGCCACATACCTACAACCGTCTGATCTTCAACAAAACTGACAAAAATAAGCAATGCGAAAAGACTGTCTATTCAATAAATGGTGCTGGGATAACTGGTGAGCCATATGCAAAGGAATGAAATTGGACCCCTACCACTCACTACACAAAAATTAACTCAAAGTGGGTTAAAGATTTAAATGTAAGACCTGAAACTATAAAAATCCTGGAGGAAAACCTAGGAAATACCCTTCTCGACACTGGCCTTGGCAAATAATTTATGGTTAAGTCCTCAAAAGCAATTGCAACAAAAACAGAAATTGGCAAGTGGGACCTAATTAAACTAAAGAGCTTCCACACAATGAAAGAAACTATAATAAACAGAGTAAACAACCAACCGAATGGGAGAATATATTTGCTAACTGTGCATCCAATAAAGGTCCAATATTCAGAATCTATAACGATCTTAAATAAATCAACAAGAAAAAAACAACCCCATTTAAAAGTGGGCAAAGGACATGAACAGACACTTACCAAAAGAAGACATACAAGCAGCCAACAAACATATGAAAAATGCTCATCACTCATCAGTAGAGAAATGCAAATAAAAACTGCAAATAAAAACTTTTTAGTATTAGCCATTCTGACTGGCTACTACTACTACATCTCATACTAGTCAGACTGGCTACCACTAAAACGTCAAACAAAAAGAGATGCAGAAGAGGCTGCAGAAAAGAGGGGATGTTTATACACTTCAGGTTGGAATGTAAGTTAGTTCAGCCACTGCGGAAAGCAGTTTGGAGATTTCTCAAAGAACTTAAATCAGCACTCCACCCAACAATTCCATTAGTAGAGAAATACCCAAAGGAATATAAATCATTCTACCAAAAATACACATGCATTTGTATGTTCATTGCAGCACTATTCACAATAGCAAAGATAGGGAGTCAACCTAGGTGCCCATCAACAGTGGGCTGGATAAAGAAAATGGGGTACACATACACCATGAAATACTATGCAGCCATGAAAAGGAGAAATTCATACTATTTGCTGCAACATGGAAGCAGTTAGAGACCATTATCCTAAGTGAATTAATGCAGTAACAGAAAACCAAATACTGCATGTTCTCACTTACAAGTGGAAGCTAAACACTGAGTACACATGGACATAAAGATGAGAGCAATGGACTCTGGGGACTGCAGGAGCGGGAGGAGCAGGAGGTGGGTGAGGACCGAGAGACTGCCTACTGCGTGCTGTGCTCACTGCCCAAGTGACAGGATCATCTGCTCTCCAAACCAGAGTGTCACACAGTGTTCCCGTATGACAGACCTGCACATGTACCCCCTGAATCTAAATTAAAAGTTGAGATAATTTTTTTAAAAAAACTACCCACAAAGGAAAGTCCAGGCCCAGGTGGCTTCGCCACTGAAATTGATCAAACATTAAGGAATTAGTACCAATAATTCATAAACTTTTCCCAAAAAATACAAGAGGAAAGAACACCTCCCAGCTCATTCTATGAGTCTGGTATTAACTGGACTAATAGTAAACTAGACAAAGGCATTGCAAGAAAATCAAAGAACATTATCTCATGAATATGAATGCAAAAATTCTCAACAAAGTACTAACCAAATCTGGCAATGTATGAAAAGAATGATGCACCATGACAAGTGGGATTTATCCTAGGATATAAGGTTGGGTTACCATCCAAAAATCAACTAATGAAAAACACCATAGCAATGGAAAGCAACATCCACAAGATCATCTCAATAGATGCAGAAAAGATGTCTGACAAAACCCAACATCATTTTAGGATTAAACACACTCAACAAGCTGAGAAGAGAAGATAATTTATTCAACTTGATAAAGGGCATCTATGAAAAAACCCACAGCTAAATCTGTAATTAATGATGAAAGACAGGACACTTTCCTCCTAAGATTAAGAAAAGTACAAAGATGTCTGTTCTCACCACTTCTATGCAACATAGAATAGCTGTGGCAATTAGGCAAGAAAAGAAAAGGCATCCATATTGGAAAGGACAAAGTAAAACTAACGTTTTCATAGATAACATGATCTTGTATCTAGAAAATCTTAATGACTTCACTAAAAATTACTAGGACTAATAAATGTGCTCATCAAGGTGATGAACATAAGATCAATATACAAAAATCAATTGTATTTCTATACTTTCACAACGAACCATCCAAAAATACAACATTCTTTAAAAAATAATTCCATTTACAATAGCTTTGAAAAGAATAAAACACCTAGGAACAAATTTCACAAAAGAAATTTACAATATACACTTCTGAAACTATAAAACATTGTTGAAAAAAGTTAAAGAAGATGTAAATAAATGAAAGTATATCTGACGTTCATGAATTGGAAGACTTAGCATTGTTAAGATGGCAATATTCCCCAAATTGATGTACAGATTCAATGCAATTTCTATCAGAATCCCAGAACCGACTTCTTTGTAGAAATTGACAAGCTGATTCCAAAACTGGTATGGGATTACAAATGATCCAGAATAGCCAAAACAATCTTAAAGAAGAACAACAAAGTTGTCGGACTCACATTTCCTGATTTCAAAACTTTTACAAAGCAACAGTAGTCAAGACAGTGTGGTACTAGCATAAGGATATACATACAGATTTGTGGAATCGAATTGAGAGTCTAGAAATAAAACTGTGTGTCTATGGCCACATGATTTTTGAAAAACGTAAAACACCATTCAATGGGGAAAACATAGTCTTTCCAACAAATGACACTGGGACCACTGGGTAAACATATATGCAAAAGAATGAAACTGAACTCTTATCTCACACCATACACAAAAATTAACTCAAAATGAATGACAGTCATAAATATTATAAGAGTTTTACAGCTAAGAAAACTGAGGGGTCTTCATGACCTCAGATTTGACAACGGATTCTTATATGTGACACAAAGGCAACAAAGAAAATATACGTAAATTGGAGTTCATAAATATTAAAAACTTGCACTTCAAAGGATGCAACTAAGAAACTGAAAATACAATGTCTTCCACAGCATGGAAGAAAATATTTGCAAATCATATATTTGATAAGGGATGTTCATCTAGAAGGTATAAAAAACACACTTCAAAAATAAAGAGGCAAGTAAGCCAATTTAAAAATTAGCCAAAGGATCAAAACAGACATTTTTCTGAGGAAAATATGCAAATTGTCAATAAACACATGAAAAGGTGATTGACATCATTAGTCATCAAGGTAATGTAAATCAAAACCACTATGAGTGACCAGTGCACAACCAGCAGGGTGGCTAGAATCCAAAAGTCAGATAATAACAGGCGTTGGTGGGGATGGATAGAAACTGGAAACCACACACACTGCTGGTGGGAAAGTAAAATGGCAGAAAGCAAACTGCCAGTTCCTAAAATGATTAAACATGAATTTACCAGATGACCCAGCAATTCCACTTCTAAGAATATATTCAAGAGAAATGAAAACATATGTCCACACAAAAACTTGTACATGAATTTTATATCAGCATTAGTCATAAAAGCCAAAAGCTGCAAACAATCCAAATGTGAATCAACTGATGAATGGATAAACAAAATGTGGTATATCCTTACACTGGAATGTTATTTGGCTGTAAAGAGACATGAAGTATCAGCTGGGCATAGGGGTTCATGCCTGTAATCCCAGCACTTTTGGAGGCCAAGGTGGGAGGATCCCTTGAGGCCAGTAGTTCAAGACCAGCTTGGGCAACATAGCAAGATGCTATCTCTACAAAAAAAATTTTTTTTTTTTTTTTTTGAGACAGAGTTTTGCTCTTGTTGCCCAGGCTGGAGTGCAATGGCGCGATCTCGGCTCACCACACCCTCCGCCGCCCAGGTTCAAGCAAATCTCCCACCTCAGCCTCCCGTGTAGCTGGGATTACAGGCATGCGCCATCATGCCTGGCTAATTTTTTTTGTATTTTTAGTAGAGACGGGGTTTCTCCATGTTGGTCAGGCTGGTCTCGAACTCCTGACCTCAGGTGATCCGCCCACCTCGGCCTCCCAAAGTGCTGGGATTACAGGCATGAGCCACCGCGCCCGGCCCAAAAAAAATTTTTTAATTAACCTGGTGTGGTGACACATGCCTATAGTCCTAGCTACTGAGGAGGCTGAGGCAAGAGAGCCCCTTGAGCCTCAGAGTTCGAAGTTACAGTGAACTATGATCATGCCACTGTACTCCAGCCTGGGCAACAGAACGAGACTCTGTCTCAAAAAAAAAAAAAAAAAATGAAGCATTGACACATGCCACAACATGAATAACCTGGAACATATTATGCTCAGCTACAGAATACAAATACAAATACAGAATACAAATACAAAAGGACACATACTGCATGATTCCATTTATATGAAATGTCCAGAATAGGTAAATCCATAGAGATAAAAAACAGACTAATGGTTGCCAGGTGCTGGGAGAACGGGGAAATGGAGAGTACATTTGTTTCTCAGGGCTGCCATAACAAACTACCACAGACTGGATGGCTTAAAACAACAGAAATGTATTGTCTCTCAGTTCTGGAGGCTAGAAGTGCTAAATCTAAGATATCAGCTGTGCTATCTCCGGAGGCTCTAGGGGAGACTCTTTCCTTCCCCACTTCTAGCTTCTGGTGGCTCCTGGCAAACCTTGGTGTTCCTGGGCTTGCAGCTGCATCCCTCCAATCTCTTTCTCTATTTTCTTTCTTTCTTTCTTTGAGATGGAGTTTCACTCTTGTTGCCCAGGCTGGAGTGCAAGGGTGCGATCTCAGCTCACCGCAATCTCTGCCTCCCAGGTTCAAGTGATTCTCCTGTCTCAGCCTCCCAAGTAGCTGGGATTACAGGCATGCACCACCATGCTCGGCTAATTTTTGTATTTTTAGTAGAGACAGGGTTTCTTCATGTTAGTCAGGCTGGTCTCGATCTACTGACCTCAGATGATTCACCCACCTTGGCCTCCCAAAGTGCTGAGATTACAGGCATGAGCCACTGCGCCCAGCCTTCTCTATTTTCACGTGGTCTTCTTCTCCGTGTGTCCTCTCCCCTCTATAAGGACACTCATTACTGGCTCAAGGGCCCATGCTAATCCAGTATGACCCCATCTTAACTAATTACATGTGCAAAGACCTTATGTCCAAACATGGTTACTTTCTGAGGTTCCAGGTAGATGTGAATTTGTGGAGGACACTGTTCAATCCACTATAGAGTGACTGCTAACAGTTAAAGTTTCTTTTAGAGGTTATGAAAATGTCCTAAAATTGACTGTGGTGATGATAGCACATATCTGTGAATATACTAAAAAACATTTAATTATATACTCTAAATAGGGGAATTGTGTGGTATGCAAATTATATCTCAATAAAGCTATCTAAAATGCAAAAAGAATTAAGATTCAACAAACCCCCAGTAGAACATCTAAGAGATATACAGGAAGAAGAGGGAAAATTATCCCAGAAGGAAGATCTGAAAGTAAGAAGAAACAGTTAGTATGAGCTGGAATTTAAGTCCTGTATGTCAGATACTTCATTTTGCTCACTGTTGAGTCAGGCCTATAGTAACTGTTCAAAAAATATACGTTTGATAAACAGTTTGATGTGCAAACAAATTAGTAAATAGAGGCACAAATAGAAATAAATATCTTTATTGAATAATAATGTTGAATTTTGTGATTAGAAAATAAGATATAACGAAAATACCAGACAATAGCATTGTAAGCTGGAAGAGTACGGCCAAAGCTAGAGCAATGAAAGGTCTTGGAATTTTTGAAACATAGGCTAAAGATATGGAATAATTTTGGACTTCATAAGTTAAATGTGCATGAAAAACATTTCAAAAGTAACCATTACGAGAATAAAGAGGGTATATAACTTCCTAGCTAATTAAGCAAAAACTTGGGGGAAAAAAAGCTCAATCCAATAGAATGCTGGAAATGAGAAAACTATAGACAAAGTGGAACATTTAGAAAGCAAAAAGAGAGAGAGGACAGAAAAATTCAAACACACCAGAAATAGATTTTTCTATTTAATCTTTTATCTTATAATTGTTATTATTTTTTTGAGACAGGGTCTCGCTCTGTCACCCAGACTGGAGTGCAGTGGCACAATCACAGCTCAACCTCTCGGCTCAAGCCATCCTCCCACCTCAGCCTCCTGAGTAGCTGAGTAGCTGGGATCACAGGCATGTGCCACCACACCCAGCCAATTTTTTTTATTTTTATTTTTAATAGAGGTGGGGTTTCATTATGTGGCCCAGGCTAGTCTAGAACTCCTGGGCTCAAGCAATCTGCCTGCTTCGTCCTCCCAGAGTGCTGGGATTACAGGTGCGAGCCACTGCATCCGGCCAGAAATAGATTTAAATAGCCTAAATCTTCCATTTAAAAGACAGATTGTTATATTAGATTAAAAGCAAATCCAGCTAAATGTTACTTAAAGATACATACCTAAAACGTAAGAAGACAGAAAGACATTTATAGACAGTGCAGCCCAAACTCTTAACCCAAACCCTAGAGCCAAATGTGTTTCAAATTCAGATTAATTTAAGAAATTAATATAGGGTCTATGTTATACATTAACACAGTGGAGTTTGAGGCAGCACCCCATAATCAAACACAGTAATATTTCTGAAAGAAACATAAATATTCACACTAAGTAGAATAAATAAGACTATAGTGTTACATTGGCATAGATCAGGTTTTGCTGCCAAAAGAATTATAAAAATAACTTTGTTTTCCAAGCTTTTTGGTTTTCAGAACTGCAGATATGGAATCACAGACCTGAACCAGGCAAATATTAGCCAAAAGAGAGCTGGCGTACTCATGGAATATCAAACAAACGAGCTTCTCAGGAAAACAACATTATTAGGGTTTACCTTACGTGAAAGTGTTTGCCAGAGCCTCAACTCTCCAGGAAGATATAATTCCATATTTATAGACTTTATTGATATAGCCTCCAAACATATGAAGACAAATTGATAATATAAGGAAATCTGGGTGTACACACCAAATCATTTTCAATTTATTATTTTCTGCCTGTTCCATATTTCAGTGTGTGTCTTGTCTTCCCAGCTACACTATAATAAATAAGCGATGAGCGGGTGGGGAGGCAGGAGGGAAGGGAGCTTTCGTGCAATGACTTCCGCAAAAGGCTCTGGCCCAGCTTACATACTCATTGACTCCTTTGAGTTACCTGACCCTACAAAGTGGGAATTGTTGTCTTTTTGTTGCAACAAGAGAGATTAAATAATTTGCCTAAAGTCACAGTAAGTGTCAGAGTTTAGATTTAAGTTCAGTTCTCTTTGACTCCAAAGATCCAAAACCTTTTCAGTGTATCATAAAATAAGCCTGAGACGTTGACCCTTGATTTAGTGAAATTAAAATGGCAGCCATTATATATGACGGATTGCAATCAGGAGTAGGGTCTCCGCATACCATCCATGATCATTTTCCAGGAGGCATAGTATCAAGTGTCCATGCATGAGCGACACATGCTGAGAGCTTACACAATCATTCTACATCACCTCCAAACCTCATTTTCCCACTGACCTTCAGACAGCTTCTGAATGAGAGGAATTCAAAATCCCAAGACATTCTGTTATTTCTCATCCTTAAACATACATTTTTTATGCTTTTAACACAAAAATGGGGAGTTTTCTGGATAAGGAGTGAACTTCGAATTTAAAATGTAAAGCCTTTTTAAACCTATTTAAATTTTTTTCTATTTCCATTCGCTAATTATCCTCCATAAAATAGAAAGAGAAAATAATTATAACTAAAATTGGTCACAGTAACAGCAGTGGGCATAAAAATACACGGTCAAAAAATAAAGTCTAGAAATAAAAACAACACATTTGCCCTTATGTTTAAAGAACATCAGAGACTACTCAAGAACTAGGATCATGCAGGGAGTACTTCTCCTCACCCCGGATGTCAGGGAATGCTCTGTACAAAACACTGTTCCCGTCTCACAAAGCATCTTGAAGATGGAGACGTGCATACTCACAGTTCACCACAAGAGGGCGGTCATCAAAAGGGAAAGGTCACCCTGCCCTAAGCCCACACCGGAAGGGTGAATCCATGTTTAAGGAGGTTGAAGGTATTTTTATAATCATGGGCTGCTCCTGGAATTGATAAAACACGATCCAAATTAAGATCTGCTTTTCTTCAGTACTATTTTTATGTTGTTAATCCCATTTCAATAATAAATTCTTAGAGATAGTGTATAAAGAATAACAAATTTTCCTGTCTATAGAGTAAAATAGAAGCCACATGAACTACCCACACAAGGCAATTCCAGTGTCAGCAGTAAATGGATTTTATTTTCGGTAAACTTTGCTGAAAAGTGGAGACTAAAAGGGATTCAACCTGCATATACCTTTTTTAAAAATGTGAATTTAAGCCTTGTATTCCTTATAAACTATTGAGAAGTGAAAATGAGTTTACATTCCAGTTTTATTATCTTTTCAAAGGGTGCAAGTATAGCAGCAGTCTTAGCCTCTTTATCAACCCATATCGTCAGCACTAGGTTGCTCTTGCATAACTCATTCTTTCAAATGGCTTCCACTGACAAATGCAACCCACAGATCTGATCTTTTCAATGTACCAGCCAACCAAGAATCTGCCGAGCTTCTTGGCACCAGCCAACTAGGACGTGGCCAGAGCAGGCTCTGGGGTCTATGTGTCTGGGTTTGAACCCTGGCTCCAATTCTTAGTAGCTATGTGTAACCATGGGTCAGTCTCTTACTCTGCCAGTCTCTTTCCTTATCTGTAAAATGGGAATAATAATAGTACCTGCTCCATAAAGCAGTTGTAAAGATTCAGTGATATACATAATGTAAAGCAGCAGTCCCCAGTTGCTGTGGCATCAGGGATTGCCTTCTTGGAAGACAATTTTTCCCCAGATGGGACGGGGAGGGGGTTGGTTTCAGAATTATTCAAGCTCATTACATTTATTGGTGCACTTTGTTTCTATTATTATTACATTGTAGCATATGATGAAATAATTATACAACTCACTATAATGTAGAATCAGTGGGAGCCCTGAGCTTGTTTTCCTGCAACTAGATGGTCCCATCTGGGAGTGATGGGAGACAGTGACAGATCATCAGGAATTAGATTCTCATAAGGATTCTCACAACCTAGATCCCTCACATGCGCAGTTCTTAATAGGATTCATGCTCTTATGAGACTCTAATGCCACTGCTGATGTGACAGGAAGCAGTGCTCACATGGTAATGTGAGTGATGGGGAGTGGCTATAAATACACATGCTTTGCTCACTCACCTTTGGCTCACCTCCTACTGCGCAGCCCTATTCCTAACAGGCCACTGATGGGTACCAGTCCATGGCCCCATGGTTGGGGATGCCTGATTTAAAGCACATGGCAAAATATGTAGTCTCAGAATATGCTCAGTAAATGTTAATTAGCATGGTTTACTTATTCACAAATATTTATTGAGCACCTAGGATGTGCGGAGTATTCTGGGTGCTTGCAACTTAACTATAAACAAAATAGTTAATGATCCCTGCCCTTAAGGGCTTGCATTCCAGCAAAAGGAGGTAGACGGTAAACAACAGGTGTTCTAAGTGACTAAAGCATCCTAGCAGGCAAGAAGACAGTAAATGCTGTGAAAAAGAAAAGAACCAACAGGCTATAGAGACTTGGGAGGGGTGGTTACAGTTTTAAACAGGTTGGTCAGGTGGGCCTCATGCAGAAGGTATGGCTTGTATAAAGAAGTGGAAAAGGTTTGGGAGTACCATGTAGCCGTGGGGGAAAGAGCAATTCTTTTTTTTTTTTTTAGACAGAGTTTCGCTCTTGTTGCCCAGGCTGGAGTGCAATGATGCGATCTCGGCTCACTGCAACCTCTGCCTCCCAGGTTCAAGTGATTCTCCTGCCTCAGCCTCCCAAGTAGCTGGAATTACAGGCATGCACCATCATGCCAGGCTAATTTTGTATTTTTAGTAGAGACGGGGTTTCTCCATGTTGTTCAGGCTGGTCTTGAACTCCTGATCTCAGGTGATCCTCCCGCCTCGGCCTCGCAAAGTGCTGGGATTACAGGTGTGAGCCACTGCGCTGGCCCGGGAAAGAGCATTTCAAGCAAAGGGAACAGTCAGTTCAAAGGCTCTGCAACCAGAGTGTGCCTGCTTGTTCTAGGAATGGCAAAGGAGCGCAGAGCAGCTGGGGTGAAGAGAACATCTCCAAACTGGATGACCCATTCTCTAATCATACATCTCCGCCCACCTTTTTGATCAGTGTTCTCTGTTTATTGATGCTAAATTCTTCCAAGATAACTCTAAAATCACTGTTTTAACCCTACTCTACTTCATTCCTTAAATTCTAGTCTTTTTTTTTTTCCTCTCTTTTTAGTGTCTTTGGATTTAGCCCTTTCTTTCCATCTCCTCTGTCATGACAGAGACAGATTAGGGCCTGTCCCAGGACAAAAAAGTGCATGGTGCCCTTCTTTATAAGTTACAAAGGTCTGTAAAACCTGTAATGAAAGCTGAGGGTTTCTCATTTTTAGGTGCCCCAGCTTTGTCCCTGAATATGTGCTTAATCTGCCAGCCAGGGATCCAGAAGCACCATCTCCCTGTCTGCATTCTGATCACCCACCTCACTTCCAGGTTAGTGCAATTATTTCTTAAAGAGTTTTCCCCTTCGGTACCTCCCAGCTATAATCTATACAACACTATACAATCAGAACTTTCTGATTGACCTAAGATTTGCATTCACTAGTCATCTCTGTATTTAGGGACTTATAATGACCATTTATTACTTACCAGATAAAGTCTTAATTGCAATGCCTGTCCTCATACTTATGAACAACTCGAGGTCAAAAACCTAGTTTTAAACTTCTTTTGTAATCTTAGAAATGCTTAGCAGGATGGATGATACATGTAAACACGCAACGCTTTTTGGATTGATATGAACAGGAAAGACAATTGAAAGAACAAAAGTGAAACTCACAAACTGTCAAGTTCTTCCAGCTCTGAGGACCATATTGATTACTGAACATAATACAAATTCAACTTACATACTAAAAGATTTACTCTTTATAGTGTATCAATCTCTGAGTTTTGACTAATGCATATGGTAATGTACCCACCATCGTAATCAAGATATAGATCAGTTCTATCCCTCTGTGTCTAAACATCTCCTGGTGTCCCTTCGTAGCCAGTACCTCCGCCTGACTCTGGCAATCATTGATCTGTTTTTTTGTACCTATAGATTTTCTTTTTCTGGATGTCATAATGGAATCATCCAGTATATGGCCTTTTGAATCCAGCTTCTTTCACTTAGCATAATGCATTTGCGATTCATCCATTTCGTTGCATATATCAGTAGTTTGTTCCTTTTGCTGAGCAGTCTTTCTTTGTATGGGTAAATCACAGTATGTTTATCCATTTACCAGCTGAAGAACATTTGTGTTGTTTCCAGTTTGGGACAATTATAAATAAAGTTGCTATAATCATTCATGTCCAGGTTTTTGTATAAACATGTTTTCACTTTCCTTGGGTAAATGCATAGAGGTGGAATCGCTGGATCATGTGGCATGCTTAACTTTTTAAGAAAATGTCAAAAAAAAAAAAAAAAAAAAGAAAATGTCAAACTATTTTCTAAGGTGGCTGTAAACATCTGATGTTCCCACCAGCAATAAATGACAGTTAGAGCTGTTCTGCATCCTCACCAGCACTAGGTATTATCCATTTTTTCTTTTTTTTTCTACACCTCATTATTGATCACAGTATTGTCAGTTTTTAAAATTTTTATTATTTCATCAATTAAAATAGAAATATTTATTGCGGGTTTTAAAATTTTAAGCATATTTTAATTAAGCTAATATATGCAAAAAACTACTGTTTCCATCTATAAACAATATTCAAAATTATTCATGAGATTTTTTTATTGATACATAATTGTACACATGTTGGGGGTACATTTGGTATTTTGACACATGCATACAATATGTAATGATTGAACCAGAGCAATTGAGACATCCATCACTCTAAACATTCACCCCGTTTATGCTGGGAACATTCTAATTCCACTCCTCCAGCCATTTTGAACTATACAACAAATTACTGCTAACTATAGTCACCATACTGCACTATTCAACAAGAGATCTTATTCCATTTAACTGCATTTTTGTACCCATTAACCAACCTCTCTTTTTTTCTCTCCATCATTACCCTTCCCAGCCTCTGGTAACCACTAATCAACTCTCTGCCTCCATAAGGTACACTTTTTAAGCTCCCAAATGCGAGTGAGAACACGCAAAATTTGTCTTTCCGTGCCTGGCTTATTTCACCTAACATAATGACCTCCAGTTCTATCCATGTTGCTGAAAATGACATGATTTTATTCTTTTTAAGGCAGAATAATATTCCATTGTGTACGTGCACCTCAGTTTCTTTATCCATTCATCTGTTGATGGACACTTAGGTTGATTCCGTATTGTGGTTATTGTAAACAGTGTTACAATAACATATATCTCTTCATCATACTGATTTCCTTTCTTTTTGGATATATACCCAGCAGTGGGATTGCTGGATCATATGGTAGCTCTGTTTTTAGTTTTTTGAGGAACCTCCAAACTGTTTTCCAGAATGGCTATACTAATTTACATTCTCACCAGCAGTGTACAAGTAAGCGTTCATTCCCCTTTCTCCACATTCTTGACAGCATCCATTATTTTTTGTCTTTTTGATAAAAGGCATTTTAACTGAGGTCAGATGATGTCTCATTGTGGTTTTGATTTGCATTTCCCTGATGATTGGTGATGCTGCACACTTTTTCATATATCTGTTGTCCATTTGCATGTCTTCAATTGAGAAATGTCTACTCAGATCCTTTGCCTGTTTCTTTTAGATTTTTTTTGTGTGTGTGTTTTTGGCTGTTGAGGTGTTTGAGTTCCTTATATATTCTGTTTATTAATTCTTTGTCAGAGGAATAGCTTGCAAATATTTTCTTCCATTCTGTAGATTCTCTTCCCTTTGTTGTTTTCTTGCTGTGCAGAAGCTTTTTAGCTTGATGTAAACCCATTTGACAATTTTTGCTTTTGCTGTCTGTGCTTTTGAGGTCTTACCCAAAAAACTCTGTGCCCAGATCAATGTCCCAAAGCATTTCCTCAGTGTTTTCTTCTGGTAGTTTCATGCTTTCAGGCCTTAGATTTAAGTCTTTAATCCATTTTGAGTTTTTTTGTGTACACAAGGTGAGAGATAGTTGTTTAACGTCATTCTTTTGTATATGGTTATCTAGTTTACCCAGCACCATTTATTGAAGAGACTCTCCTTTTCCCAATGTATGTTTTTGGAGCCTTTGTCAAAATGGGTTGGTAGTAAATGCATGGACTTATTTATGGCTTATCTACTCTGTTCCATTGGTCTATGTGTCTGTTTTTATTCTAGTACCACGCTGTTGTTTTTTTATTTCGTTTTTGTTTATTTTGAGACACTGTTTCACTCTTGTCACCCAGGCTAGAGTGCAATGGTGTGATCTCGGCTCACTGCAAGCTTCACCTCCCAGGTTCAAGTGATTCTCCTGCCTCAGCCTCCCAAGTAGCTGGGGTTACAGACATCCACCACCATGCCTGGCTAAGTTTTTTTGTATTTTTAGTAGAGACGGGGTTTCACCATGTTGGCCAGGCTGGTCTCAAACTCCTGACCTCAGGTAATCCACTCACCTTGGCCTCCCAATGTGCTGGAATTACAGGTGTGAGCCACCAAGGTCACCACCTGGCCTACCTACTGTTTTTGTTACTATGGCTTTGTAGTAAATAGTCAAATATTTGAAATTGAAGTCAAATAGTGTGATGTCTCTAGCTTTGTTCTTTTTGCTCAAGATTGCTTTGACTATTCAAGGTCATTTGTGGTTCTATGTGAATTTTAGGATCTTTTTTTTCTATTTCTATGAAGAATACAATTGGTATTTTGATAGGGGTTGCATTTAATTTGTAGATCATTTTGGTTAGTATTAACATTTTAACACTATTCTTCTAATTCATGAGCATGAGATATCTTTCCATTTCTGTGTGTGTGTGTCCTCTTCCATTTCTTTCATCAGTGTTTTATAAAATTTTTGGAGACATCTTTCACTTCTTTGGTTAAACTGATCCCTAGGTATTTTATATTTTTTGTAGTTGTTATAAATGGGTTTTTTTTCTTGATTTCTGTTTCAGATTGTTCACTGTTGGCATATACAAATGCTACTTATTTCTTTTGTTGATTTTGTATCCTGCAATTTTATTGAATTTGTTCATGAGTTCTAATAGGTTTTTTTTGGTGGAGTCTTTAGGTTTTTCAAAATATGATATCATGTCATCTGTGAACAAGGTTAATTTGACTTCTTTCTTTCCAATTTGTATGCCCTTTATTTTTTCTCTTGTCTAATTGCTGTGGCCAGGACTTCCAGTACCATGTCGAATAGACGTGGTGATCCCTGTGGGCATCCCTGTCTTATTCCAGATCTTAGAGGAAAGGCTTTTAATTTTGCCCTGTTCAGTATATGTTAGCTGTGGATTTGTCATATATGGCCTTTATTATTTTGAGGTATGTTCTTTCTATACCCAATTTGTTGAGGATTTTATCATAGAAGAATGTTGGATTTCATTAAATCATTGTGGTTTTAAGTTGCAGTTCCCTAATGACAATGTTGAGCATCCTTTCCTGTGTTTCCTTGCCATGTGTACATGATCCTTGATTAAGTATCTATTCAAAACTTTTGCCATTTTTAACTGGGTTGTTTGTTTCTATATTGAGTTTTGAGAATTCTTTAAATATTCTGGATATACATCCTTATCAAATACATGTTTTGCAATTATTTTCTCCTAGTATGTGGCTTGCTTTTATTTACATACAATAGAATTCACATTGGTATACATGTCTATGAGTTCTAACACATGCATAGATTCTTGTAACTACTACCACAAACAGGACATTCCAACACCTAAAGAATTCCCTCATGTTCCCCCTTTGCTCAGACCCTCTCCACACCCCAACCTCTGGCAACATATTCGCTGTCCCGTAGTTCTGCTTTTTCCAGTATCTCAAATAAATGAAATCATATGATATGTAATCTTTTGAGACTGGCTTAGTTCACATAGCATAATGCTGAGTAGTATTCTGTTCTGTGAATACACCATGGTTTATGTATCCATTTGCCCATTGAAGGACACTGAAGTTGTTGTTTCCAGCTTTTGGTAATGAAGATTTTTGGGAAATAAATGCAATTTTCACAATGAATAAATACAAAACATTAGACATTGTTGAAGACAGCAGATTCAAGCAGCACTGTTATGTTTGAGAAAGTCAGTAAAGAACAGGCATCAGGAAAGTGGAAAGAAAGGCCACCATGGGCTCAGCTCAATTAGGATGATATACATAACACGGAATGAGAGAAGCAAAAAATTCTTATGAGGAACTGGATGAGCCAGAAGAGTTGCCCAGGTCAACACTGGACCCTGGCTTGCAGTTGAGTGCAGGAAAGAGAGAACTGTTGGTAATATCATGAAGCTACAATCACATTAAATATTTTATTTAGGCCGGGAGCAGTGGCTCACGCCTGTAATCCCAGCACTTTGGGAGGCCGAGGCGGGCGGATCATGAGGTCAGGAGATCGAGACCATCCTGGCTAACACGGTGAAACCCCGTCTCTACTAAAAACACAAAAAATTAGTCGGGCGTGGTGGCGGGCACCTGTACTCCCAGCTACTTGGGAGGCTGAGGCAGGAGAATGGCGTGAACCCTGGAGGCAGAGCTTGCAGTGAGCTGAGATCGCGCCACTGCACTCCAGCCTGGGCGACAGTGCCAGACTCCATCTCAAAAAAATATATATATTTATTTATATTTTTATAATTTCCCTTCCCTGCTTCTGAGAAAGCATTATCATAAAAAGCTATTTGCATCAAGACAGCTAAAAATTGAATCATAAAGCAAATTCAGAAGCCATATTGAGGAAGAGGCAAGGGGGAAAAATCAGCTAAGAACCTGAAATGAGATATGTATTTATTTTCTGGGATTCCTATGGTCTAAGACAAAAAGAGATAATTTTTATTCTCTTGGTTGTTAATTGAAAGAACATCAGTTTTCTAGGAAAAGGAAAACTTTTTTCTGTCATTAAATCCTCAGATATATTTGTCATATAATTTCGGATATAAAAGACCCATAAGACCTCTGGAAGGCCAAGGCAGGCGGATCATGAGGTCAGGAGATTGAGACCATCCTGGCTATCCTGGCTAACACGGTGAAAGCCCGTCTCTACTAATAATGCAAAAAATTTGCCGGGCCCGGTGGTGGGCGCTTGTAGTCCCAGCTACTCAGGAGGCTGAGGCAGGAGAACGGCGTGAACCCGGGAGGCGGAGCTTGCAGTGAGCCTAGATCGCGCCACTGCACTCCAGCCTGGGAGAGAGAGCGAGACTCCCTCTCAAAAAACAAATAAACGAAAAAAAAACACCATAAGACGCCTGGCACGGTGGCTCATGCCTGTAATCTTAGCACTTTGGGAGGCCAAGGCCAGCGGATCACCTGAGGTCATGAATTTGAGACCAGCCTGGCCAACATGGTGAAACCCCGTCTCTACTAAAAGTACACACACACACACACACAAATTAGCAGCGTGGTGGCGTGTACCTGTAATCCCAGCTACTCAGGAGACTGAGGCAGGAGAAGTAATTGAACCCGAGAGGAGGAGGTTGCAGTGAGCCGAGATCACGCCACTGCACTCTAGCCTGGGCAACAGAGCGAGACTGCATATCAAAAATAAAAGACCCATAAAATATATCGAATAACACCATGAAAAACAATAGTTTCACAAGGGATGCAAAACATTTCTTCATATGAAAAGTTATTGTATCTACCTTCAACATGACCGAGTGGAACATAGGTTATGCAGAAATTCAGTGCATTCACTTTCAATTTCCCAAATATGGTCAGTAGGTATCACTTGGATCAAAATTACCTGGAGCTACATGATACACATACAAATTCTTAAGTCCTATCCCAGACCAACTAAATCAAAATTGGTGGGGGGTGACATGGACCAGGAATCTAGCACATTAAACTGTGAGAACCACTTCTATAGAATAGCATATCTGCTTTTAGGTCCTGTAGTAATGCAGAAACAGAAATGGAAAAATTTAGAAAAATGAATAATTCACATGTCCTGGAAAGGTTCTCTTTTGATATTAATTGCTTCTGTTGTGCTTTGGCAGTCCATTTGAGTTCTTTGGTATTGGGAAGTGACAGCGTGCTGACAGTCCTCAGAGCCCTCGCTCGCTCTCTGCGCCTCCTCTGCCTGGGCTCCCACTTTGGCGGCACTTGAGGAGCCCTTCAGCCCACCACTGCACTGTGGGAGCCCCTTTCTGGGCTGGCCAAGGCCAGAGCCGGCTCCCTCAGTTTGCAGGGAGGTGTGGAGAGAGAAGCGCGAGCAGGACTGCGCGGGGCTTGCAGGCCAGCAGGAGTTCCGGTTGGGCCTGGGCTTGGCGGGCCCCGCACTCGGAGCAGTCCGCCGGCCCTGCTGCCCCGGGCAATGAGGGGCTTAGCACCCGGGCCAGCGGCTGCGGAGGGTGTACTGGGTCCCCCAGCAGTGCCAGACCACTGGTGCTGCGCTCAATTTCTCGCCGGGCCTTAGCTGCCTTACCGTGGGGCAGCGCTCGGGACCTGCAGCTAGCCATACCTGAGCCTCCCACAAGCTCCGTGGGCTCCTGTGCCGCCTGAGCCTCCCTGACGAGCGCCGCCCCCTGCTCCACGGCGCCAAGTCCCATCGACCACCCAAGGGCTGAGGAGTGCCTGTGCATGGCGTGAGACTGGCAGGCAGCTCCACCTGCAGCCCCAGTGCAGGATCCACTGGGTGAAGCCAGCTGGGCTCCTGAGTCTGGTGGGGACGTGGAGAACCTTTATGTCTAGCTCAGGGATTGCAAATACACCAATCAGCACTCTGTATCTAGCTCAAGGTTTGTAAACACACCAATCAGCACCCTGTGTCTAGCTCAGGGTTTGTGAATGCACCAATTGACACTCTGTATCTAGCTGCTCTGGTGGGGCCTTGGAGAACCCTTATGTCTAGCTCAGGGATTGTGAATACACCAGTCGGCACTCTCTGTATGTAGCTCAAGGTTTGTAAACACACCAATCAGCACCCTGCGTCTAGCTCAGGGTTTGTAAATGCACCAATCGACACTTCTGTATCTAGCTACTCTGGTGGGGACTTGGAGAACCTTTGTGTCCACACTCTGTATCTAGCTCATCTGGTGGGGAGGTGGAGAACCTTTGTGTCTAGCTCAGGGATTGTAAACGCACCAATCAGTGCCCTGTCAAAACAGACCACTTGGCTCTACCAATCAGCAGGATGTGGGTGGGGCCAGATAAGAGAATAAAAGCAGGCTGCCGGAGCCAGCAGTGGTAACCTGCACTGGTGCCCTTCCATGCTGTGGAAGCTTTGTTTTTTGCAATAAATGTTGCTACTGGTTACTCTTTGGGTTCACACTGCCTTTATGAGCTGCAACACTCGCTGTGAAGGTTTGCAGCTTCACTCTTGAGCCAGCGGGGCCATGAGTGCACCAGAAGAAAGAAACTCCAAACACATGTGAATATCAGTAGGAACAAACTCTGGACATGCTGCCTTGAAGGATTGTAACACTGCAGCTTCATTCTTGAAGTCAGTGAGACCAAGAACCCACCAATTCTGGACACAGTATTAATGACTACTCTTTGAAAATGGAAATACTTTGAAGTCTGTAGCCTCCAAAAACAGCTGTATGGTTGCTCATCTCTTGGAAACAAAACAAAAAAAAAAGCAAGGAACTTAATAAAGATAATGAAATAGTTCATAGTATTTTCATGTCTAATTGCCCAAATGATCTGCTTTGAGAATGTTAGTGTCTACACTGTCCGTCACAAATGAGACATAAACAGACCAGGAGGCCCTTGACGTGGAAACACCTTGTCTCCAGCTTTAGTTTATGTGTGTGCCTGAAAGTAAGTGATAAACTACAGTTCTTTAAAAATATTCTGTGGTCTAGATGTGCTCCCACTGTTAGTCAAGGTTATTGGAGTGTTACAGTTGATGATTCATGAATCTCCTTATTCATACTTCAAGAAACTTGTGGAGGATTTGGAAATTTTCTCTTAAAAAGCAGGATAAGTAGATGAGGCTAACTAGTGAGAAATAAGTGGAAGTTTCAAGAAAATATACTGCACATGTATTATAATCAAATTTACGCTTAGATCTATCACATACCCAAAGATCTTGACATACATATACTTCCTGGGAGAAGACGGCAGCTTGTATTAACAATGTCCAAGGGCCTTATCTGTGTCTGACAGCAAATGGCATTTGTTAAGCCCCGTGGAGAGTGTGAAATGCTGGATGTGTTAGAAAGCATCTATGAGTCTACACTGTGGGAGGAAAAATAACACCATTAACATTGAAAGACATGTTGGAATAACCTGAATTTCTAAAACTCAATAGGAAAATAGGAAGAATATTTCCACTAAAAATAACACTAAACTTTAAATCTATAAATTAAAAGCACCATTTTGCCTATCAGAATGTGCCAAAAGAATATCAATAACCACCTCCTTTGTTTGCTTTGGAAAAGTTAGCAAAACAAGATTTGTGAACATTGTGTCTGACTTGCTGATTAAAATTAACTTGCATTTCTATTTAATTCAATTCTTTTTGTCTCATGGGCTGAAATAGTCTAAGTTTCCTATCCAATATGGAACGCTCTTCCTTTTCCCCACTTCCACCTTTGACTCCCAAAGTATGTACTCCCCAGAGGGACTTTATGATCTATTTTCTCATTTCTGCACTATATACTATATTATGTATACAGGGAGATATGCACTGTATGATTTTTACCCCTAAAGGACCTTGGTTTGTCTAGTTCCCCTGATACTCAATTTCTTTTCGATCATGCAGTTCGCAATAGCTGGAAGTTCTCTTAGATATTTCCCCAATTTTAAACATTAAATATTTTAGACTCATTCCAGCCCATTTCCTTTTCTAGTCCTTGTCTTTCTTGAAATGACCCCCTTTAGTTCAGCCAAATGTAAACAAAACTGAATTTTAGCTCTGCTCTTCTAAGAGTTGTGTTTAGACTATGATTTGCTCCAGGCCAATGCTTTTCAAAGAGGAGATTTTGATCTCTGGAGAATCCTTGAAGGTGAAAGATACCAGAAATAGGAAGCCTGGATTTTCAAAAATATATATTTGTTCATTATAACTCATGTGGGAAGAAAAAATGACATTTAGATGTAAGTAAAAAGCATCTAAGCACGGAGGGCCACTTACATAACTCAAAAATGCAAAATGATCCCATAACTCTTTGAAATAACTATCTGGATTCCCACCTTATTTCAAAATGGATTTTATTGTATGATTCTATCTGTAAGAAATGTTCAAAAAAGACAAATCTATAGAGACGGAAAGTAGATTGGAGGTTGCCTGGGGCTGGGCAGGGAGGATGAGGGCAATGGGGAGAGGCTGCAAATGGGGATGGGGTTTCTTTTCGGAGGATGAAGTGCTCTAAAGTCAGAAAGCACTGATAGTTGCACAACTCTGTGCATATACCAAAAGCCACTGAATTGTACACTTTAACAGGGTGAATTTTATGGTATGAGCATTCTGTTCCAATAAAGCTGTGATTTTAAAAAAGTGATTTATATAATTCCCATCAGTCAGTAGGAGAATAATAAACAATACACTAGAAAATAAGCAAAGGATATGTGTTGGAAACACACAAAAGAGGAACCACAATTGGACCAATAAGTATGAAAACAGACACAATATCAGGAGTGGTCAGGAAAATGCAAAACAAAGCAAGATATTTTAAACCCATTACATTGGGAAAAATTATAATAATTCCAAGTGATAGCAGGATGTGAGAATGAGAATCTCATACACAGCTGGTGGGGATGTAAATTGATAATGACAGCTTTGGAGTGCAATTTGGCAACACCTCAAAGTTGAAAATAAGTACACCTTGCAACCTCGTAGTTCCATTTCCCAGTGCGCTGTCACATATACAAGTAAAGACGCATGCACGGGAGCCTTCATTAGCATTGTTTGTAATAGCGGAAAATAGAAACAATTCAAATACCTACCAATGAAGGGTTGCAGAATCAAGCTCTAGTGCATATATATCATAGAATACTATATGGCACCAAAATAAATAAATTAGATTCCCTGGGAAAGAAATGTATTTACAAAACACATGCCACAGGATTTTTTAAAGGGAGATAGAGTTGAAAAAAATAAGATGACCCTAAGGGTTCCTGCTATGCACAGTGCAAGGTTTGACTCCCCTGCTAGAGCTGGGTCATGAGTTGGCACTAAAGATTTAGCGGCCAATGTAAAAAAGGAAATGTGATCAATGACAGAATTAGACTGTGTTATAAAAACATGCAACTATTCCTGGCACTAAGATCAGAGAAAAATTTCCTCCAGAACTTTCATAAAGAGGCCACCATGCAAGGTGGGTGGTAGGCAACTTTGTCAGCCTCATTCTCTCATCCGTAGGACTGAGACTTGTTTCCTCAAAGACGAGTGTAAGTGCTGCAGTCTCCAAGTGCTTTATCTGAAGATTCATTTCTAAGAGCAAGAGTTAGAAATCGGTGTACCCAAAGTGTTTCGTTTGGCCAGAACACTGTTTTACATTTTTATTTTATTTTAAGAGACACAGTTGCTCTGTCACCTAGGCTAGAGAGCAGTGGCATGATCATAGCTCACTTCAGCCTCAAACTCCTGGGCTCAAGTGATCATCCTGCCTCAGCCTCTCGAGTAGCTGGAACTATAGGCACATACCACCAAACCTGGCTAACTTTTTTTTTTTTTAAAGTTTGTAGAAACAAAGTTCTGCCTATGTTGCTCAGGCTGGTCTCAAACTCCTGGCCCCAAGAGATCCTCCTGCCTTAGCTTCCCAAAGTGCAGGGATTACTGGCATGAGCCACCATGCCCAGCTAAAACTTTAAAATCTGAATACCTTACATGAGACATGCGTTCCTTAGAATAACACTGTCAAACAACACTTTCTGCAATGATGAACATGTTCTCTGTCTCCACTGTCCAGTATAGTAGCCAATAGCCATATGTGGCTACCTACAGACCACTTGAAATGTGGCTAGTGAGGTGGAAGGGATGAATTTCAATTGTATTTAATTTCAACTAATTTTAATGTAATAGTCACATGTGGCTAGTAACGATCCAATTGCATAGTACAGCTCTGGAAGGCCACAAGTCCCACCATTCCCTACTTTATCAGCCCCTCACTCTCAGCATCACACATTTTGGTTTTGTGTCTGGCCTCTGAAGGTATTTTGTTTGTGACTCATATTTTATTTATCTTTTTTTTTTTTTTTTTAATTTTGAGATGGAGTCTCGCTGCGATGCCCAGGCTGGAATGCAATGGCATGTCACTGCAACCTCCGCCTCCCGGGTTCAAGCAATTCTCCTGCCTCAGCCTCCCAAGTAACTGGGATTACAGGTGCCTGCCACCACGCCCGGCTAATTTTTGTAGTTTTAGTAGAGACAGGGTTTCATCATATTGGCCAGACTGGTCTCAAACTCCTGACCTCAAGTAACCCACCTGCCTTGGCCTCCCAAAGTGCTGGGATTACAGGCGCGAGCCACTGAGCCCAGCTTTGCGACTGATATTTTAAAGTACTGTGTCTCAAGGAATGGACAGGTTGTACATCCTCTTGTGTTCATTTTTCAACAGATACTCGTACCTGGCTGGTATCAGTTCTGTCAGACACAGCACTTCCCACGTAAGAGGGAACACGCCCAGGTGGACAGCGGTACTGCAGGACGCGAGATGCACAAGGCAGAGGAAGAGCAAGGGCACTGCAGGCACTCGGGAAGGTGTCTCTAGAAAGTCTAATCTGGATTCCGCGGGATAGGAAAGTGCCCTCTCCGGGAGAGCTAAGAATAGAGACAAGTCAGCCGGGGTCGGGGCCAGTACCCAGAAAACGGCATGGCCTATTCTAGGGATTCAAAGATATTCACCAGCATTTAGAATGTGGGGGTGGGAGATTACAAAAGATTGGCAAGGGTAAAATCTTGCAAGATATTTGAACCATATTAAACCAACTTTTGCCTGAAAGCAATAGAAAGCCATTGAAAAATTTTAGGCAGAGGAATAGATTCTTGTCATCTCTACATTGAAAATAATCCACCCAAATTACCATTTGATCCAGCAATGCCCCTTCTGGGTGTATATATACCCAAAAGAATTAAAAGCAGGGTCTCAAAGGGATATTTGTACACTCTTGTTTATGGCAGCATTATTGACAATAGCTGAGAGGTGGAAGCAGCCAAATGTCCATCAACAGATGAAAGGAAAAACCAGATGGGAAATGTACATCCAATGGAGTATTACTCGGCTTTAAAAAGGATGGAAAGTCTGGCAGGGCGCGGTGGCTCACACCTGTAATCCCAGCACTTTGGGAGGCTGACGTGGGCGGATCACCTGAGGTCAGGAGTTCGAGACCAGCCTGACCAACATGGACAAACCCCGTCTCTACTAAAAGTACAAAATTAGTCGGGCATGGTGGCACATGCCTGTAATCCCAGCTATTCCTTGAATCCAGAAGGCAGAGGTTGTGGTGAGCCAAGATCACAGTATTGTACTCCAGCTTGGGCAACAAGAGCGAAACTTCATCTCAAAAAAAAAAAAGGATGATGAGCCTTGAAAATATTGTACTAAGTTAAAGAAGCCAGACACAAAAGGCCACATATTGTGTGATTCCACTTACATGACATAACAGGAGTAGTCAAATTCATAGAGACAGAAAGTAACAGTGGCTGCCAGGGCTGAGGGGAGCAAGGAATGGGAGTTACTGTTTCATGTGTACAGAGTTCTGGTTTAGGAGGATAAACAAGCTCCACCATGGATGTTGGTGATGGTTGCCCCACAATGTGAATGTTCTTAATGCCACTAAACCGTACACTTAAAAATGGTTAAGATGGCAAATTTTGTCATGTATGTTTTACCATAATAAAATATAATAAAATAAATCCACCGTTATCTCTTTGGTTTTGGGTTTTTTTGGTGTTGTTTTTTGTTTTTTTTTTGAGACGGAATTTCGCTCTCGTCACCCAGGCTGGAGTGCAGTGGCATGATCTCAGCTCACTACAACCTCCGCCTCCCGGGTTCAAGCGATTCTCCTGCCTCAGCCTCCCAAGTAGCTGGGACTACAGGCTCCTGCCCCCACACCCAGCTAATTTTTGTATTTTCAGTAGAGACAGGGTTTCACCATGTTGGCCAGGCTGGTCTTGAACTCCTGACCTCAAGTGATCCACCCGCCTCAGCCTCCTAAAGTGCTGGGATTACAGGTGTGAGCCACCACGCCTGGCCAAATCCACCATTATCTCTTGCTAAAACTATGCATAAGCCTCCTAACTGATCTCTCTGCCATTGTTTTTGATCCCTTACAATGTATTTTCCACAGAACAGAGACAGTTGTTTTGAAACAGGAGGCATGTCTCATCTCCCCCCTGCTGAAAAGCTATCAGTGGACGGCCAGGCCTTGCCTGGTCTGGTCCCTCCTCACCTCCCTGGCCTCATTGCCTCCATTCTCCCTCTGGCTCACTCCACTCCAGCCCCACTGTCCTGTTTGCTGTTGTTCAAACACACAAAGCAAGGGTCCACTCTAGAGTCTTCTCACCCAGGAACGTTCTTTCCTCTGATATTCGCCTAGTTTGCTTCTTCACTTCTTTCTACTCAAATACCACTCTTCAAGCCCTCCCTTGACCACCCGATCTAAAAACATCCCTTCCCGAGTTAGTGGGTGCAGCGCACCAGCATGTCACACGTATACATATGTAACTAACCTGCACATTGTGCACATGTACCCTAAAACTTAAAGTATAATAATAATAATAATAATACATAAATAAATAAAAAATAAAAACATCCCTTCCTTGTTCTCCTCTGTAGCAATTATCCCTACCCATCATTTTATCATATATCCATTTGTTCGTCTGCTTATTGTCTGCTTCTTCTGCCATGTAAGTTCCGTAAAGGCAAGGACTTTGCTTTGTACACAGGACTGGGACAGTACCCAGCACGTGGGAAACATTCAATAAATATTTGCTGAATAAAAGAATGTTTGAATGTGCATCTTAGAAAGATTGTGAGAATGGATTGGAGTGGGAGTCCAATAGGAGGCTGGATGGCAGCGACTCACGCAAGCAGTAGAGAGGGCCAGGACAGTGGCAGCTGGGACACAAAGAAATTTAGGGATACAGAGATCTTTAGAAGAGAATCAAGAGGCTGGATGCAGGGTCCATTTGCCAAGCTGGAAACTCAGGAGGAGGAGCAGGTTTTCAGGAGAAGAGAAGAAGCTTGGTTTTTGAACTTGTTCAGCAGACTATCCCAGTAGAGATGTTCAGTGGGCAGTTGGATATGCTCAGCAGAGAGTTCTGGGCTAGAAATATAGATTTAGCAGTTCATAAATATAACATTAGTGGAAATTTTGATAACTGCGAAGCAGCAGTTAGTTGGAGGTTATACATTTGAATAAGTACTTGAATGCACATATTCAATGTTGCCAATTAATGTCAGACTCGTGTGCTTTCATAGTCTGCCAAGCTGGTCATATTTTAAAAAATGTGTATGGAATGCAGGAAATGAAACATCTACTTAAAAATAAAAAGTATTGCTTTGCTGGGAAGGGATTTAAATTTTTTTTAAGATTAAAAAATTTTTTTAAATTAAGTAAATAAAAAGTAAATTTTTATTGTAACTGGATCAACCTTAATGAATGATATCCAATCTTAAGGCCATACATTCTTCAATCTGGCTAATTAAATATGTAAATTAATGTTCAGCCTCTATGGAAGCATCTTCATCCTTTATATTTAAAAGAGATCTCCTACTCGAACCTCATCATTTCACACATGAAGAAATAAAATCCCAGAGAGTTGGATTAGGAGATCTCTTTTAAATATAAAGGATGGATAAAGAGTTCATAATTATGGGTACATTGTTTTCATTTGTGTTTCAGTATATCCTTGGAAGACTCCTTCAAAATTGCTCATTGTGATTTCTCAAAGAACTAAAAATAGAACTATCATGTGATCCAGCAATCTCACTACTGGGTATCTACCCAAAAGGAAAGAAATCATTATATCAAAAAGATACCTGTACCTGTATGTTTATTGTAGCACTATTCATACTAGCAAAGATATGGAATCAATCTGTGTGTCTATCAATGGAGTACTGGATAGAGAAAAAATCTTTCTCTCTCCCTCTCTCTCTCTCTCTCACACACACACACACACACACACACACACACACACACACCATGGAATACTACTTAGCCATAAAAAAAGAATGAAGTCAAGTATTTTACAGCAACATGGAGGGAACTGGAGGCCATTATCCTAACTGAAATAACCCAGAAACAGCAAGTCAAATACTGCATGTTTTGCACTTGTATGTTCATCACAACACTATTCACAATAGCAAAGATATGGAATCAACCTAGGTGCTTTATCCAACTGTGGCTTAGATAAAGAAAATGTGGTACATATATGCCATGGAATACTATACAGCCATAAACAAGAATGAAATCATGTCCTTTGCAGCAACATGGATGCAGCTACAGGCCATTATCCTAAGTGAATTAACACAGAAACACAAAACCAACTACCACGTGTTCTCACTTATAAGTAAGAGCTAAACATTAGGTACTCATGGACATAAAGATGGCAACAACAGACACTAATAGAGGGGGGAAGGAGTCGAGGAGCAAGGGTTAACAAAAAGAAGCCAAATATTAAAATAAATCAAATTTCTATATTATAGAATATTAAAAAGTTTTTCAAAAAAGCTGAGCAAATCCAAAATAGGAAAACCCAAAGAAATACATTTCAAGGCACATCATAAGTAAACCTCTGAAAGCTAAAGGAAAAAAAAATCTTGAAATAGAAAAATTAAAGAAAAAAAGAATTATATGAAATTCAAATCATAGTGGCTATAAAGTTATATTGGAACACACACGCACAAAAAACATACCCCATGTTCTTATAAATGGACACTAAACTATGGGGACACATGAACGTACAGACTGGAATAATAGACACTGGAGACTCAGAAAGGTGGAAGGCTGGCATGAGGGTAAGGTTTGAAAAATGACCTATTGGATGCAATGTTCACTATTCTAGTGATGGGTACTCTAAAAGCCCCGACTTCATCACTACACAATATATGCATGTAAGAAACCTGCACTTGTACCCCCTAAAGTTAGAAAGTTGTTTTAAAAAATTGCTTATTGTTACTGAGCTGTAGTTCATCAATATCAAGGCTACCTGAATATCCTGCAGTTACCCATCTGTTTCACTCAGTGAAGCCACTGTCAAACACTGAGTTTTCACTTTATTACCTTTCAGTAAAATGTAACTGGATGTAGTGACACTGCTGGAGAGAAGAGATATGATCTTCAAGGTGTGTTCAGATTTCACACTACAATTACGTTAGTGCAAACGTAATTGCGGTTTTGTCCATAATAACCTAATAAAAAGTATAGCCATTTCTACCTTGGTTTAAAGTTTTTTAGACTTTAATACCATTCAAAGGCTAGTCTTGAACGAGTTTCCTACTTCATGGAAAAGTAGTATCAGAGGGTGTCCCTGAGGATCAAAATTAAGTGACTGCTCTCAGCATTGAAAGTATTCTATTAGTGGCAGAATAAAGCATGATCTCAATTGTGATGGTCAATCAGCCAGAGCTAGTAATTTTTCTGTTCATTCCAGAAATTAATGGTGGCAGATCCTTTGAATGGCTACTCCTAAAGCCTTCACAGCCTCTTCTCCCTGTCTTTCCTGCTGGCAGCTCTTCCTTGCAACAGGAGGCAGTCAAGTGACCCAATACAAGACCATGAGACATAAGTGGAAGTCTTCTTGGACAAATGCCTGAAAGTTGGCATAGCCATCTCCCCCATTTTCCTTTCTTCCTTCTGGACAAGATGACTTGAATTCAGGGGCCATCTTGAACTTATGAAGGAAAAGGACAAGGGACTCATACACCGTGGGTCCTGACAATGTCTAATTGATAAACAAAAACCACCAATTCCGGATTTCTTGTTGTATGAAAACAAAAATTTTAATTTAAGCCATTGTAGATGTATTTTGTTTCCTGCAGCTAAAAATTATTGCAACGAAAATGCGAATGAAATAACTCAAGTTGCAAGGGTTGGAAGATAGAATTGGGCCTATCAGAATATTTTTGGGTTGGCCCCGGATGTTTACGCATATCTATGTGTGTGTGCATGTTTATATGAAGTCCCTAATACCTCCCCACTGGTTGTAAACTACTTGTGTAAGGTTCTCTGTTGCCCTGGAGTGCAGTGATACGATCTTGGCTCGCTACAACCTCCACCTCCTGGGCTCAAGGGATCCTCCCACCTCAGCCTCCCCAGTTGCTGGGACCACAGGCGCACACCACCACACCTGGTAAATTTTTGTATTTTTGGTACAGATGCGGTTTCACCATGTTGCCAAGGCTGGTCTGGAGCTCCTAAGCTCAAGTGATCTACCCACCTGAGTCTCCCAAAGTGCTGGGATTACAGGTGTGAGCCACTGAGCCCGGCTAGGTTTCCATAATAGGTCCAGTTTTGTCTCTTTTACACTGCCACAATCAAGAATGAAGAAAAAGAGAACCTAGAGAGTTGGTATCGGAAGACAACTTCCATACACATGAAGACTTTTCTAATTTGGTAAGCTTTGAATATCACCAAAAGATTTGAGATATCCTAAGAGCATGAAATTATAAAAACTGTTAGGGACATTCTTAGAGAATTTATGAAGCTCTATAAGGCTGCACCCATGTGACCAAGTGCTGAGGCGCTTAAGGAAAATCTGCTTTGCCCAGCCAGGACTCAGGTGCCGCTCTTGTCCTTACACAACCTTGGAACAACCCGCTTCCTCGTCTGTGCAGTCAGCTTCAGCTGACTAAGCCATTGCGAGCAGTGGGCTCTGTTGCTATTAGTGCCTTGGCCAGATTACTATAAACCATCTGCTGGCTTTCCCTGCATCCCTCATCCTGCAAAGATCACAGTTCAATCTGTTCTACCACACTGGGGCCAAAGCTCCCTGATTGACAATGTTAGTCAATTCAGATGTGAAGATCTTGCCAACAATGGATTGTTTCTTACATCCTTTATATCCCCTGCCCTGTTTCAGTTTTACAAATAACTTTGATAGTTGGCCTTTGAAATCCAGAGACATTTGCTTGGCTCTCTAACTTTGCAGGAAACAGCTGGGCAGATGTCTAAACAATATTTTGTCATCCTTCTAAACTTACCACTAGCCCACTGTGAAACAGGTGAAATCAGCCCTTTCTGGCTGTACTAGAACATCCCCTTAGCACCCTCAGCTTCCTTTTCTCCCCGCTGCCACCTTGTGACTCCCTGACTGGCCAGACCCACCCCCTGGAAAGCCTGTACACGTCTCCCCAGCCAATCATCTGTCACGTTAGGAAAAGTGGCCTCTCATAAGCAAGCTAGCCTAGGCTTAAGGTTTTATACCATCAGGGCACCAGCTTTTCAATAACCACTGTAAATCCAAAAGAGTGAACCTGGTGGCACTATTTCAGGCACCAGTGACAGGCTGCTGGGAGACACTGTGTGCCAATACCTGCCCCAAGAATGCCTCGACCCAGCCTTACTTCATGAGGGGGCCTCTGTGTTCTCCTTACTGTGGGACGACGTGATTACTCTAGCACTTAAAAATAACAAAGTAAAAATAAATGCAAGCTGTACATGTTTTATTTGTCCTCTTCCTGCTATCAATTATTACCTAAATCAAGGCATCTTTTTGTTAGTTATATGAGTTAGAAAATGGTGTCCATGTGTGCAGTGGTGGAAATCCTAGAAGCTTACCCAACCAGTTGACCTGTATCATGCCACTGTAACCACACACAGGCAAAACTTTCCGTCTAAATGAGTCCGAGAAGAAGTCTACTGGGTCACTTTCCTTCGGATCAGAGTCTCTGCCCAGTAGCCACTAAGTATCATTCGATTGCTCTCCCATAACATGAGTGTTCTCTGCTGTGACTTAGTCTGTTTTCGTTTCATGAATTTCTTTGTTTATTCTGCTTACTACAAATGAAACATCAACAAATTATTCTCTCATTAAGTGCATTGTTAGACTCTCCCGCAAATTTTGCAAATTATTCTTTTCAGTGGTATGTGGAAGCTGGCAGAATAAATGATCTGCTGAGTATCTGTCCTGTTTCGGTGGCTCTTGCAGAAAAAAGCATGACAATTATGATAGCAATGTTTTGGGTACTTAAGGCTGATGTCATAACTCATTTCGAAAGTCCTTATAATTACCATCTCCACTCATACCTCCTGCCAGACTTTTTGAATCTTGTTAAAAGTGTCTTTAAAATCATGAGAAGCATGTTCAAAGCAATTTAAGAAAACAAACTTTACACCTTTGCAAAAATAACCCGCCGGGAATTATTGGTGTCAATTCCAAACCCTGACAGACTGCGTGGTGTGAATTTCACCTGCCACTTATGAGTTCCCAAAGGCTTGATTCAGGGCAGCTGGAAAGTAAACAGGAGACTTATGGAAAAATAATTAGTAGGGGACCCCCTGTCCCAGGAGTGTTTTTTATTTCCTTCTCATTCCGTGTGGAATGGACTCCCAGCCTAAAAATCCTTCCTGTTAGAATATGCCAAACAAGAAATGGGCAGATGCGTTCCTGTCTGGGGTGCAAAGCAAGCTTATGCTGCTCACTGTTACTGGGAGCAAAACAAACCAACATGTAGACAAAATGTACTACCAGGCATATGAAGTTACGGATGGACGATTTCACCTGAGGTGCTTCAATGAATTATCAGTTCAATTAACCAGTCCTACTGTGAGCTCTTCTCTCCTCTTATGTCCCTGGTGAGCCCTCAAAGGAAGCCTCTGCTCTTCCAGGTGTGAAACAAGCACAATGATAAGCTCACATATTAGTCATGTCATCAAGGATTGGTCTCACAGCCCTGTCTCTGTGTCTGTCTCACTTTACTTGCCTGAGCCTATAAGACCAACACAGAAATGTGCAAGGGGAATGTCTGTTTTTTTCGCTGTCTTCATCACAGCCTCTTTTCTTATTCCTGCTGTTGATGCTGTCTCTCTAGCTCTACTAACTTCCATCTGGGTGCCAATTCTGTCCTGCAAAGCCAGATGGAATTACAACCCAACACTGCATGGTTTGGGTGCAAGTAGGTTACCTACTTGTTCTATACATCCTATCAGTACTTAGATAAATGAGAATCTTTGGACATCATAAAATAATGATTACTTTTTAGTTTACATGTTCAAAGGGCATGAAGAGATACAGGAGGGAGAGTCTTATTCAGTTTCTTTTTTCTAACTACATGCTTTCAATCAATTCAATGGGATTATATGGTAAACTTATAAGGAAGTAATTTTGTGTCTATTCTCTGCTAATCTGGGAAAAAAATAGGGGAAATGGTAGTGCTATAATGCAGTGAATTAGCTCAGGCTTAACAAGTTCCTGCAATGACTGCTTTGTTAGGTAAATGATATCTTCACATGCTTTAAGGATTAGAAAAACCCAGTGCTGGAGAGACAAAAATGGATCTGTCAAACAATCTGAATGAACCCTGCCAGAAGTTTTCCTTACTTTTACTTCTAGAGGAAATTAGGCTTAGTATTAATTTTGTGATAAATTTTTTAAACCCTCAAAAAGTCTTTGAGAAGGCTGAGCATGGTGGCACGTGCCTATAGTCCCAGCTACTCGGGAGGCAATGCAGGAAGATTGCTTGAGCCCAGGAGTCTGAGGCCAAAGTGCGCAATGATCACACTTGTGAATATTCACTGCACTCCAGTCTGGGCAACACTGTGAGAACTTGTCTTAAAAATATTTTTTAATCTTTGAGAAGTAATACATTTAACAATGTAATATTTAAAGGCAGTGTTTGGCTTCACACTGACATAGTTTCAAATCCTGGCTCTGCCACTCATCAGCTGTATGACCTTGGACATTGGACAGATTAGTAAGACTCAGTTTCCTCATCTACAAAAGAGGAATGAGAGGATTTCTTTCTTTCTTTTTTTTTTTTGAGATGAAGTCTCACACTGTCGTCTTGGCTCACTGCAGCCTCCACCTCCTGGGTTCAAGCGATTTTCCTGCCTCAGCCTCCCAAGTAGCTGGGACTACAGGCGTGCCCCACCACACCCAGCTAATTTTTGTATTTTTAGTAGAGACGAGGTTTCACTATGTTGGCCAGGCTGGTCTCGAACTCCTGACCTCGTGATCTGCCAACCTCGGCCTCCCAAAGTGCTGGGATTACAGGCATGAGACACCGCGCCCAGCCGAGAGGATTTCTATGAGGTTTAATGTGAGACATCATGTATATAAAAGTGGTATAACATAATAGTGATGAGGAATCCCTGACTTGGGATCAGATCCAGGCACAGCTTATTAGTTAGGTGACTTTGTGAAGATTATTTAACTTCTCTGAACTTCAAAGGTGCTGTGATTCGTATGTTACAGTGCTGCTGGAGTTTCAGTGAGACTCTAGTACAGGGGTTGGCAAACTTCTCTCTCTCTCACTCTCTCTTAAAAGCAAGGTCTCACTATGCTGCCCAGGCTGGACTTGAACTCCTGGGCTCAAGCAATCCTCCTGCTTCAGCTTCCTGAGTAGCTAGGACTACAGGCATACACCACTATGCTCGACTACACTTTTCTTTAAAGGCTAAAATGGTAAATATATTAGGTTTTGCAGGCCACATGGTCTCTGTCACAACTACTCAACTCTGCCCTTGTTGCACAAAAGCAGTCATAGAGAATATTTAAATGAATAGGTGTGGCTGTGTTCCAAAAAAATTTTACTCACAAAAACAGGTGGTGGGTCAGATTTTGTCCATGAGCCATAATTTGCCAATTCCTGCTCTGGTAGATGATCGATAAATGATAGCTCTAGGAAGAAACAATCTTATTAATTAAGATAATTGATAACAGATGAGATATAAAGTAAAAAACATTGAAGATTCTAATCTTTCTTTAGACATATGTAAGATTTTCCACAATTACTCCATGTTAGATTTTCATATGGATTTTATGAATAATAGTGCAGGTCACTTCCTTCTGACAAAATCTTTTTTTTTAAGTTGTAATTTCTGGCAAAAAAAAAAAAAACAACAAAAAACAAAGACAAAAAGACACGTTTTCAAGACAATACACAAATCTACATGTTTTTATTACATGTATTAAGTAAAAAGAATTACAAAACTGAAAAAAAAAGCAAAATCCCAAAACACAAATTATGCACAATAGTAGAACTGGCAGTACTCCCTCAAAGACTCCAAAACAACGAGAAATCATCTGACATCAACTAGGTTATGAGAGAGAAAAGAAGAAAGTGTGACAACAAAATTAGAACATGCACCAATACAGAAAGACTTCAATAAACTTGTAAACATTGGGAAGAAATAACAAAAGAAATTAATGGATTTGTAAAAGATAGAATTAAAGGCAAATGCTTCATGGTGCACTTAGAAAACAGAAGCTGCAGGTAAATAACACAGCAATCAGTAAAAATAGAAAATTAAATGGCATACTGAAAATAAAGAACAAGAAGATCCAACTTAAGGATAATAAACTAAATAGATGAGGCTGTAATGTAAATCACCGTGTACAGTCACTGCTAGTTGCTAATTTTATATCCACTCTTAAGAGCATGAGAGAACCACGATGAAGAAAGTCATGTGCTAAGAAAGGCAGAGAAGAAAAGCTGAAGAAATCTGGGTGATTGACAGAAACCATGATTAATGACATCACGGAGCTACTAGACCAGCCCGGGCCTGCCTGTCTCCATGCTTCTTGGAACGTGAGAAAAATAAACTGTATTTGATTATGTTCCTTTATTCAGGTTCTCTTACATGCAGGTGAATATAATCCCTAACTGATGTTCATACTACATATTATCAAATCTAGAATGCTGTAGATTTTAAGATGCCCCTTTTTTTAAATTATACTTTAAGTTTTAGGGTACACGTGCAAAACGTGCAGGTTAGTAATATATGTATACATGTGCCATCTTGGTGTGCTGCACCCATTAACTCGTCTTTTAACTTTAGGTATATCTCCTAATGCTATCCCTCCCCGCTCCCCCCACCCCACAACAAGCCCCGGTGTGTGATGTTCCCCTTCCTGTGTCCATGTGTTCTCATTGTTCAATTCCCACCTTTGTGCACAACTTACTACTAAGGAAACAAATCTTACCAATTATGCTATAACACAATGCCAAGATAGTCATATTAGATATGAGACTTGAACACACCTAGCTTTCTTACTTTGACATTTCTTTTGCTTATTCTGAAGGATTTTTCAGTTTCTCTGGACATCCATTTCATTGTAGGAGGATGATAAGCAATCCTTTCAGACATATTTCAGTGACTAAACCAAATCTACTTGTGGATATCTTTTCTTCAGTTCCACTTGGCTTTTGCTTTTCAAAACCACCTCATATTTTGTGCTTTGCACAAAAGCACCTGACCAAGAGGGACAAATGGGAGCTGAAATCCAGCTTGCACTCGAATATTCTGGCATGTGGCTGCCACCAAAAACAGAGACAGAAACATACTTGCGACGCATCTGCCTGCGGAGAGGACTTCTTCTGGTTTGCACAATGGGTCGGTGTGTGGTACCTGTAACCCTGGCACTGAGGTATGGTGCAAAAAAGGAAAAACACGTTTCCTCACTTCATAGCTTTTCTAGGGAAGAGAGATTGCAAAGAATGAAGTGTGATGATGGCTGTGAAGAAGGTCCCAGGCTCTGGGACACAGGACAAGCACGACTAACATAGGGGGTCAGGAAAGGCCGACACCTGCTGAGCGGGAGTTAGCTGGGTGAAGGGACAGTTGAGATACAACAGCGTGCTGTCAGCCCTCACAGCCCTCACTCGGTCTCGGTGCCTCCTCGGCCTCAGCGCCCACTCTGGCCGCGCTTGAGAAGCCCTTCAGCCCACCGCTGCACCGTGGGAGCCCCTTTCTGGGCTGGCCAAGGCCGGAGCCGGCTCCCTCAGCTTGCGGGGAGATGTGGAGGAAGAGGCGCGGGCAGGAACCGGGGCTGTAAGGGGCGCTTGCGGGCCAGCGCGAGTTCCGGGTGGGCGTAGGCTCGGCCGGCCCCGCACTCGGAGCGGCTGGCATACCTGCAAGCCCCGGGCAGTGAGGGGCTTAGCACCTGGGCCAGCAGCTGCTGTGCTCCATTTCTCGCCGGGCCTTAGCTGCCTCCCCGCGGGGCAGGGCTTGGGACGTGCAGCCCGCCATGTCTGAGCCTCCCCTACCCTCTCCTGACGGGCTCCTGCGCGGCCTGAGGCTCCCCTACGAGCGCCGCTCCCTGCTCCATGGGGCGCCCAGTACCATCGACCGCCCAAGAGCTGAGAAGTGCGGGCGCACAGCGTGAAACTGGCAAGCAGCTCCACCTGTGGCCCCAATGCCAGATCCACTGGGTGAAGCCTGCTGGGTTCCTGAGTCTGGTTGGGACTTGGAGACTCTTTATGTCTAGCTAAGGGATTGTAAATACACCAATCAGCACTCTGTATCTAGCTCAAGGTTTGTAAACACACCAATCAGCACTCTGTGTCTAGCTCAGGGTTTGTAAATACACCAATTGACACTCTGTATCTAGCTAATGTAGTGGGGAGGTGGAGAACTTTTGCCTCTAGCTCAGGGATTGTCAATGCACCAATCAGCACCCTGTGAAAATGGACCAATCAACTGTCTGTAAAACAGACCAATCAGCTCTCTGTAAAATGAACTAATCAGCAGGATGTGGGTGGGGCCAGATAAGAGAATAAAAGCAGACTGCCTGAACCAGGAGTGCCAAATTGCTCCACTATACTTTCATATTGTGGTGGTTATGTTTTTTGGGTTTAGGCTGCTTTTATGAGCTGAAAAATTGTGAAAGTACGTAGCTTTACTCCGGAAGCCAGTATAAGCTATGAACCCACGAGGAGGAAAAAACAATTTTAATGTATATTGCTTTAAGTGCGGTAAGTCACCACGAAGTATATGCAGTCTTTACTTCCGACCCGGCATAGACCATGAGCTCTCGAGAAAAACTGACCGCATCAGAAGGAACAAACTCCAGACACACTCTCCTTAACTGTAACATTCGTGTGACAACAACAACTTCCTTGTTGAAGTCAGACCAATTCTGGACACAGTGGTAGTGAGAGAGAACGGTATGGCAGTACCCTTCACTTGCTCTCAGTTCCTCTTTGTCCTCTGCTCATTCTGGTTGTGCTTGACAAGCCTTTCGGCTCAGCGCTATACCGTGGGAGCTCTTTAGCTGACTGAGGCCGGAAGCAGCCGCGTTGGGTTGCAGGGAGGTGCGGCAGGAGAGGCACGGGCGGGAACCTGTACTGCACGCAGGTGGGCGTGGTGAGCCTTGCACTGAGAGCAGCAAGGGGCTTAGCACCTGGGCCAGCAGCTATGGAAGGTGTGCTGGATTCCCCCAGCAGTGCTGGCCCACGAGTTCTGTGTTCAATTTCTTGCTGGGCCTTAACTGCCTCCTGGCAGGCTATTTGTATGGCTCAGGACCAGCAGCCCGTCATGCCTGAGTCTCCCCATCTTTTTGTGGCCTCCTGTGCCGCTTGAGTTTCCCAGATGAGCGCTGCCCCCTCTTTCAGGGCACCTGGTCCCATCCGCTGCCCAAGGGCTGAGGAGTGGGGGGGTGCGTGGTGTGGGACTCATAGGTAGCTCCACCTACAGCCCCAGTGTGTGATTCCACTGGGTGAAGCCAGTTGGGCTCCTGAGTCTAGTGGGGACTTAGAGAATCTTTGTCTAGCTAAGGGATTGTAAATACGCCAATCAGCACACTGCGTCTAGCTCAGGGTTTGTGGATGCACCAGTCGGCACTATCTGGCTCAAGGTTTGTAAATGCACCTATCAGCCCTCTTGTCTGCAAAGTTTGTAAATGCACCAATCAGCGTTCTGTCTACAAGGTTTGTAAATGCACCAGTCAGCACTCTGGCTACAAGGTTTGTAAATGCATCAATCAGCACTCTGTCTAGCTCAGGGTTTGTAAATACACCAACTGACACTCTGTGTCTAGCTAATCTAGTGGGGAGGTGGAGAACTTTTGTGTCTAGCTCAGGAATTGTAAATGCACCAATCAGCACCCTGTCAAAACGGACCAATCAGCTGTCTGTAAAACAGACCAATCGGCTCTCGGTAAAATGGACCAATCAGCAGGATGTGGGTGGGGCCAGATAATAAAAGCAGGCTGCCGGAGCCGGCAGTGGCAAGCCGCTCGTGTCCCTTTCCACCCTGAAAATTTTGTTTTTTTGTTCTTTGCAATAAGTCATGCTGCTGCTCCCTAGGTTCACCCTGCCTTTGTGAGCTGTAACACTCACCGTGAAAGTCTGCAGCTTGACTCTTGAGCCAGTAAGACCAGGAGCCCACCAGAAGGAGGAAACTCCGAACACATCTGAATATCAGAAGGAACAGAACACATCTGAATATCAGAAGGAACAAACTCCGGACACGCTACCTTTAAAAACTGTAATACTCACCGCGAGGGTCTGCGGTTTCATTCATGAAGTCAGTGAGACAAAGAACTCACCAATTCCGGACACAGTGGGAGCAAAGGCATGGCAGGAGGAGAGAACTGCGTGTGTGAGGAATAAAAACAACATGTTGCAATTGAGGAAGGCGTGAATTTATGGGGAGAATACAGAGATGAAGACTTAAAACGGTAAGAGAGGACGGGTGCACTGGCTCACGCCTATAATCCCTGCACTTGGGGAGGCTGAGGGTGGGGGTATCACTTAAGGTCAGGAGTTCAAGACCAGCCTGGCCAACATGGTGAAACTCCATCTCTACTAAAAATACCAAAATTAGTCCGGGCGCAGTCGCCTGCGCCTATAGTCTCAGCTACTTGGGAGGCTGAGGCAGGAGAATCGCTTGAACCAGGAGGTGGTAGGTGCAGTAAGCTGAGATCATGTCACTGCACTCAAGCCTTGGTGACAGAACGAGATTCCACTTCAATAAAATGAGAAAACAATATATTGGCCAAAAAAATTAATGGATTTGAGAAACATTTAGAAGGTGCAAGTGACAAAATAATTAGATTGGCTTGTGGGGAGAGAAGGGTATAGGGAAGAATGCAGGTAAGAAAACAAAACAGCCCAGGAGAAGATAAGGGGAGAATAGATGGTCGTGCCATTTATTTAACTAGGGAAGAAGAGCAGGTGTAGTCTAGAGACCAGATTATTGCATTTTGAACATGTTGAGTCTCCTGCAATATCCAGCTGGAGACGACAGGTCCTTCCATCTCTCCTCCCTCACCTCCAGCCATGCTCCTCTTGTATATTTCCTCTTCCATGTTCTCCCTCCTGAGTCCAAGACCTCCCAACCTCAGGTCTTAAATTCCCATCAAAGAAAGCAAACAAAAATTTTTTAAAACAAAATAAATGAAAATGATTGATTATACTCCCCAGAGAAGGCATTCACAGCAAGACATGTAACAAACTATTTCATATCAGAATCAAGCATCTGCAGTTGGATTATGGCCTCTGCTCTGGAGCTTCTCCCAAACGATGAGTGGGTAATTAATCCTGTATCTGCTGAGGAAAAATGGTCTCCAGTGGGATCTGTCTCAGGAGACATCAAGAAAGTAACGCCTCTCGAGTAGCTGAGGTGGGCGGATCATGAGGTGAAGAGTTCGAGACCATCCTGGCCAACATAGTGAACCCTGTTTCTACTAAAAATACAAAAATTGGCTGGGCGGGGTGACACGCGCGTGTAATCTCAGCTACTCGGGAGGCTGAGGCAGGAAAATCACTTGAATCCGGGAAGCAGACGTTGCAGTGAGCCGAGACCGTGCCACTGCAGCCACTGCACTCCAGCTTGGCAATAGAATGAGGTTCCGTCTCAAAAAATTAAACTGACGCTTCCCCAACTTATATAATTGCAGAATTCATTCAAGTTAACTATTAATATGCTGTTATGGATTGAATTGGGACCCCCTCAAAATTTATGTATTGAAATCCTAACCCCAGTACCTCAAAATAAGACCTTACTTGGAAACAGGATCTTTACAGAGGTAATCAAGTCAAATGAGGTCATGAAGGTGGGCTGTATTCCAAAATGAATGGTATCCTTATAAAGAGGGACACAAAAACTGGCACAGAAGGAAGACATGTTAAGAAAATGGGCATCCACAAGCCCAGGAGAGATGCCTGGAACAGATCCTGCCTTCTCAGTCCTCAGAGGGAACCAACCCTGTTTGGACTTCTAGCACAACTGTGAGACAATCCATTTCTTTAAGCCATCCGGTCTGTGGCACTTGGTCACAGCAGACCCAGAAAAGGAATGTCCAGGAACACACTTAGGGAAAACACTGAGGAAGGGACAGCATAGCCTGCCTGATGGACCATAAAAAAGTAAGAGTTACTATCATTATTTGATTTTAAGGTGGAATAAATAAAATCATATAATCATAAAAGGTATAATAAACAAGGGCCTGAGAATACCAGAACATCACAAAAGGAAAAAATAGGCAGAAAGAGAACGATAATTTGAAATGTCAGTGTTTCATATAACAAATCAGGAGTATTCAGATTTGATGAAGAAAGTGCGGAGTTGATAAGTGTAATAAATTAGATAGAATTAACAGTCATGCATTTGATAGAATACATGATAGAATCATATCAGAAGCTAATATACTTTTTGCCATGAATGTGTCATCAAAAATATCAAATAAAGCACAAAAATTTCTTCATATAAAGAAAAAGACAGATTCTCCATACTACTTTCCCAAAGTAAAAAGGCATACAATTTGAGATTAAAAAAATTCAAAATTCCTTAAAATTTTTAACTAATCTCCTAAATAATAACCTACATTAGAGAAGAAATCTACAAATAACCCCAATATATTCTAAAAAATATATAGTCATATAATGCACACACATTGATCAATTATAAAGTGCGTATGGCTAATGCATAATTGTGTAAGCAATATACAAGGAAATGCATCAAAATAATCATGTTGTCTTTGCGTTGTGGAAGTGAGCCGTAATTTTTCTTACTGTGTGAATTTTCTAAACTATCTCCTTTTTTGTTTTTTGGGTTTTTTGTTTGTTTGTTTGTTTGTTTGTTTTTTGAGACAGAGTCTTGCTCTGTTACCCAGGCTGGAGTGCAGTGGCGTGATCTTGGCTCACTGCAACCTCTGTCTCCTGGGTTCAGGCAATTCTCCTGCCTCAGCCTCCCAAGTAGCTGGGATTACAGGCACGTGCCACCAAGCCTGGCTAATTTTTTGTATTTTTGTAGAGATGGAGTTTTGCCATGTTGGCCAGGCTGGGCTCAAATTCCTGACCTCAGGTGATCTGCCCCCTTGGCCTCCCAAAGTGCTGGGATTGCAGGCGTGAACCACTGTGCCCGGCCTATCTCCTTTTTAAAAAAGAAGAGAGGCATCGAAAGAGTAGGAAAAGGAGAACTAATAAAGCAAGCATAAATAAAGTAGGAAAAAAACTGTAGAATCAGTAACAGAAGATTCTTTGACAATTTTTTAAAGTGTTAATCATTGAAATAAAAGGAAAACCCAAATTATTAATATTCAGTGTAAGAAAAAGCTATAATTTAAACCAAAATTTTTTATTTCACTGAAATGGAGAGATTTTTTTTCAATTTTTATGTTAAAACCCTTTACAACTGGCCAGGCCTGCAGTGGCTCATGCCTGTAATCCCAACACTTTGGGAGGTCAAGGAGGGTGGATCACTTGAGGTCAGGAGTTCGAGACCAGCCTGGCCAACATATAGCAAAACCATACCTCTACTAAAAATACAAAAATTACCTGTGTGTGGTGGCCTGTGCCTGTAGTCCCAGCTACTTGGGAAGCTGAGGTAGGAGAATCGCTTGAACCCAGGAGGCAGAGGTTGCACTGTGCTGAGATCATGCCACTGCACTCCAGCCTGGGTGACAGAGCGAGACTCCATCTCTGAAAAAAAAAAAAAAAACACTTTTACAATTAAAATGAAATGAGTGAGTTTTGACAAATATAAATCATAAAAGCTAATAGAGCTAGCACAAATACAGTCTATTCCCACTGAGGCAGCCTCCTGCATCAGCTCATGAGATTTCCTAAGAACTTCGTTAAAAAGTGGTCTGTCGGCACCAGTTACGTGGGTTATTCCACCCTTGAGTGAAAAACTAACAGGAGATGATTTATTATAATAGACTCCTTATAGTAGGGGGGAAAAGCTAACATAAATAAATAGAAAAAAATTATAAAGGAAAGGAGGAGGAGAAAGGCACTTGGCCCTGCTGAATTTGCGGATCTTTCAAATAACACAGATTTGTGTCACATGTTCATTGTTGCAAAAAATTGAAAAAGGCAATATGTTTCTGAACTGATTTGATAAATTAAACATGGATTTACTTCCCAATCCTAAGACCAATATCAAAAGGAGAAAATTATAATTTCCAGCATATATGCAAAGGAAGAAAAGGAGTAAGGAGGGTTGAAGAAAGGGGTAGATAGGAGAGAGAAAGGAAGTGAGGAAGTAAAGGAAAGAAACAAGGAAGAAAAAAATCATTCCAAATACTTAAAAATAAATTGTCACTGATCATGAAGGAAAATTTATTCCAAGAATGCAAGGTTGATATAACGCATAAAACATTATCAAGATAATTCATCATATTAACAAGGCATAAAGTAAAAATCATATAACTATACATAGGCGGGTACAAAAAAAGTATTTGATTAAATACAAAATATTTTCTTGATTAAAACCCCTAGGAATTCTTCTTTCTTAATATGATAAAGAATATATATTTAAAACTGATAATAACTATTACACTTAGCATAGAACATTAGAAATGCTCAGGCCGGGTGCAGGGACTCACACCGGTAATCTCAACACTTTGGGAGACCAAGGCAGGAGGATCAACTGAGGCCAGTCATTCAAGACCAGGCTGGACAACATAGTGAGACCCATGTCTTGACAAAAAATAAAAAGTATATCAGCCAGACCTGGTGGTGTGCCTGTAGTCCCAGCTACTCGGAAGGCTGAGGTGGGAGGACTGCTTGAGCCCAGGAGTTTGAGACGACCAGCTGGGCAACATAGGAAGACCCTGTCTCTACAAAAAAAATTTTTAAATTAGCCAGGTGTTGTGGTGGGTACCTGTGGTTCCAGATACTCAAGAGGCTGAAGTGGGAGGATTGCTTTAGCCCAGGAGGTCAAGGCTGCAGTGAGTCATGATCACACCACTGCACTCCAGCCTGGTGACAGAACAAGACCCTATCTATAAATAAATAGATAAATACCTTTAGGATCCATCTTTGAAATTAGGTTGTTGCAGTAAATTAAAATGGAAACGAGACCTGAAGAACCCCTGAGCAGACAAAGCTAATTAGGCCCGATGAGTGACTAACCTTGCTTGATTTGTTAACATAAGCCAAACTTAGCTTGAGCAATGTCTTGCAAATACTTATGTCAAAGAAAAGCAGAACTTAAGCTCAACCAATTGGAAGCAGCCAGCAAAATTAAATTATATAACTAGGGACTTTCCAGAGGGATAGATCAAGTAAGGCAACTTTATAACTGTAACCAACCAAATATTTTCTTTGTATTACTTACAAATTCACTCTATAAAAGTCTGTTCTTGACACTTCAGCAGAGCCCAAAAACCTCTTTCAGTTTGGCGCTTCCCAATTCATGAATTACTGTTTGCTCAATTAAACTCTTTAAAATGTTATTGTGTTTCAATTTACCTTTTAACAAGCTAACATTGATTCATATTATAAAAATCTGGTATTTTTTACAGTTATACAAAATCTGTATATTTTTATAGTTATTTTAAAAAAACCTGTATATTTTTTACAATTGGGACTGTATACAGACAAGTGTACTAACAATAGTTGGTAAGCTATAGAGTGGTATGCCTTTCCAGAAAGCAGTCAGGCAATATTTGAAAGCATTATAAGGTGAAGCATGGTGGCTCACACCTATAATCCCAACGCTTTCAGAGTCTGAGGTGGGAGAATCGCTTGAGCCCAGGAGTTTGAGAACAGCCTGGGCAACACAGGGAGATCCATCTGTACAAAAAATAAAAAAATTAACTGAGCATGGTGGTGCCTGCCTGCAGTCCTAGCTACTCAGGAGGCTGAGATGGGAGAATCACTTGGACCCAGGAGATCGAGGCTACATTGAGCAGAGATCGCACCACTGCACTCCAGCCTGGGTGACAGGGAGAGACCCTGTCTGAAAAAAATAAAATAAAAAGCAGTACAAAATGATTTTGCAAGTTGACAAAATAAAAATAATTTAGATATATAATCCCATTCCCCCCAAACTTCCAAATTTTAAAAATAATTCATACAAGAATGTTCATGGCGACATTTTAATAGGAAGATGTTAGAAACAGCAGCTGCACATACCCAAATGCCCAACAGTGGGTGATGCCTACACCGGGTGACTGTAAATGTCACGCGAAGTCTCTCTTGTCTCTTACATGCACTGACTCAGCGAATAACAGCACCACCCAAACAGTAACCCAACAGAGAAACCCAAGAATTCTTCCTTTACCTTATTCCAGCCCTCTCCCATGTATTAGCTTCCTAACTTGTTTCAGCCTCCAATGTCACCCTCCTCCAACTCATCTTCCACAGTGGTGCCACAGCGCTAATTCTGAAATTCAAACCTCCCCGTCCCCCTCCCCATGATTGCCTATAAGTTAAAATCCAAACAGCATGGCGTCCAAAGTCCTCCAAGACCCGACCCTACCTACCAGTTTGTTTCTTCACCCTCACACACCCTATTCGCTAACCATCTGGACTGTTTACAATTCGACGAGTCCATCATGCTCTTTACAACCCTGTGCTCTGCCTAGATTGCCTTTCCTGGCCTTCTCATCCTCCTGACAAAGTCTCCTCATCTTTTAAGCTTAACTCAACTTTCAAGTCCTCATATACCCCTCCTAATGTAGCAGGGTTGAAAGACATGCACTTCCACTAAGGTATGCAAAAATGTGTGATTTTATTTATTTTCTTTCTATTGTATTATTTCTGCTAATAATAGGGGTAGTGGAGTGGGAGCAACCCAACTTGTCCATTAAATGTAATTCTGTTTCTTTAGCTTTAAAACTGTTACTTTAAGGAAGACAGAGAACCTCCTCCTGAGACCAGAAGATCCAACATTTTATTAAACAATTTCTTTCCTTTTTCTTTTTTTTTTGAGACGGAGTCTCACTCTGTTGCCCAGACTGGAGTGTAGTGGCACAATCTTGGCTCACTGCAACCTCCGCCTCCTGGTTTCAAGCAATTCTCCTGCCTCAGCCTCTCAAGTAGCTGGGATTACAGGCACCCACCACCATGCCCGGCTAATTTTTGTATTTTTAGTAGAGACAGGGTTTCACTATGTTGGCCGGGCTGGTGGTTTCAAACTCCTGATCTCAAGTGGTCCGCCCACCTCGGCCTTCCAAAATGCTGGGATTACAGGCATGAGCCACCGTGCCCAGCCAATTTCTTTCCTTTCAAAGGAACTCATGCACTTCCAACACTTCCCAAGATGGCATCTAGATGCAGAAAAATACGTCTCTTCATTCCAGTGAGGTGACATGCTTCAGATTCCTCCCTGGCTGTGTCGACATGTCATTTGCCTTAGCAGGTTTCTGAATATCCTGAAGTGGTAGCTGCTGAGATGTGGCTTGTCCAGCTTGGTTTGTTTTAACTATTGTGATGATATCATCAGAAATCCAAGACCTCTGGCATCCCTGGTTGAGAAGCCCCATATTCTGAAGCCTCCTCATTTCTGAGCCCAGGAAGCTTTTCTGGCCCCTATCCTTCCACTCTTTTAGAGCCCTGCACTGAGGCTGCTGGAGCTTCTGGGTGTCTTCAGTGCTGTGTGCAGGCTGTAGGCACCTGGTGCACTGTCTCACACCCCTATATTTAGATTTGTCCTCTGCCAATGCTATTCTACTGTTCTTGTGTCATATTGGATGTGGTGATGTGATGAATTACCCCCAAATAATGTCCAAAGAAGCAGGAATCTACCCCAATATTCTGCATTGCCACAAAACTACCTGGGTGTTCTACACCCTCCTCAACTCTGAAGGAGGAGTCCAACATTCATCACTAAAAACTCTTGCCCTTTTTCTCCTCTCTCCTGGGTGCCTTCTGTTAGTGCTGGAATGGGTTTCTAATCTCCCTTCCTGATTTACAAGAGCCCTCTACATCAGTGAATATAAATCGCCTTAGGATCCTATTAAAATGCAGACTCCAATTCAATCATTCTGGAATCTGGCCTGAGAGTCTGCATTTCTAACAAGCTCCCTGGTGATGCCAACCAGGCTGCTCAATGACCACCCTTTGAGAAGCAAGCCTGATCAGTCCTTCTCTTTCACGAGATTCTATTTACTTCCCCCACTCCACGTCTGCAGGACAATGATAGCAGGCAAGGTGCAAGGAAAGGAAATAGGTGATCAATGGGAAAATACGTCAGGAGGTGCTTCAGGAATGTCATCTCAGTTACTCAGACCACCGCCACCTTTTCCTCTCCCACTGGCACCACTGCTCCTTCTTGGGGACTCCTCACAGGCTATAGAAGTTTCAGTCATTACCCGTGTATTTGATGATGTGTTTCTCCCAAGCTATACTATCATTTTCTTGAAAGCATAGAGCAGAATTCCCAAACTGGTGGCGACAGGCTGCATATGGCCCCACAGATGTTTTATTTTACCATTACAGTGTTTTTAAAATATATAAGTTAGTGCCAAATGTAAAGCACTAATCCTCAACCCCAACTGCACACTAGAACCACCTGGAACACTTTCCGAAACATGTCAGTGTTTGAATCCCACCCCCTTAATGATTGAGCTTCAATCTGCCTGGGAAGGGTCCTAGATGTCAGTATCTGTTTTTAGTAAGCTTTTTACTTTAGAACAGTTTTAGATTTACACAATTATTGCAAAGACAATACAGAGTGTTTCCATATACCCCACATTCAGTTTCCTCTCTTATTAACATCTTACATTAGTATACTACCTTTGTCACAATTAATAAACTCATATTTACACATTATTATTAACCAATATCATACTTTATTCAGATTTCCTCAGTTCTTCCCTGATGATCTTTTCTGTTCCAGTATCCCATCTAGGACACCACATTCTATTTATCTGGTGTGTCTCCTTGGGCTCTTCTTGGTCATCATAGTTTCTCAGACTTACCTTGGATTTGATGATCAAGACAGTCTTGGGGAGTGCTGGTCAGGTGTTTGTACAATGCCTCTCATTTGGGATTTGTTTAATGTTTTTTTCATGATTAGGCTGGGGTAGACATCAGTAATTTTTAAAAGATACCCTGGTTATCCTGACGTCCAGCTAGTATTAAGAACCATTGATTTTTAAGGATCTGAAGAATTCATGTATTTCTAGCACTTTGGGAGGCTAAGGTGGGAGGATCACTTAAGGCCAGGAGTTTGAAAGTAGCCTGGGAAACATAGCAAGACCCTGTCTCTACAAATAAATACAATCTGTGTTACAAGAAAAAAAAAAGAATTTGCATGAAATTTTAGACTTTGGCTTCGCTTGACTGTGGGGGGATCTGACCACATGGAGACTGCAATCTTCCATGGAAATAACAGATTGGCCATGAGAAGTGGCTGTCAGCACCCTCCAGTACTCCACAATTGGCTTTGCTATTGGCCCTCATCTTCTGAAATTCCACCACCCACGCAGACATTAACTTCATCATCTTTGATACATAGCACCTAGCATGCTGCCTGACACTTGATGAGTGACTGACTGACTGACTGAATGAATGAATGAATTTATAAAGAATAAATGTGTGGTTACTGAAAATGGCAAACGTGTAGATTATATGATCAGAATAAAATACTGGGCAATGGGCCAGGCATAGTAGCTCATGCCTGTAATCCCAGCACTTTGGTAGGCAGAGGCAGACAGGATGCTTGAGCCCAGGAGTTCAAGACTAGCCAGGGCAACATGGCAAAACCCTGTATTTACTAAATGTGTATATTACATTTAGTTTTACTATATATTTATATTTGCTATTATATATATAATTAGCCAAATGTGGTAGCATGCAGCTATAGTCCTGGCTACTCAGGAGGCTGAGATAGGAGGATCACCTGAGCCTGGGAAGTCAAGGCTGCAGTGAACTGTGATTGCACCACTGCCCTTTATCTTGGATGATGGGAATGAGACCCTGTCTCAGAAAAATAAAATAAAATAAAATAAATACTGGGCTAAATATTGCAGATTGGTTTACTCAACATTCATCCTAACCTTCTTCCTATGTAATAAAATCTTGAAAGCTAAAAACTACATTTCCCAGACTCCCAGACAGCTAGGTCCCCTCTTGGGAAGGTAGTAGGCTGGTGCAAAAGTAATTGCGGATTTTGCCATTACTTTTAATGGCAAAAAGTAATGACAGACTCCTCACAAAACATGGAAGGAAAAATGAAGCCTGATGAGGAGGAAACCAGGCATAGGGAGATGATTTTACTGGCAAACACGGGTGGAGACATTTGGTTATTCTAAAACCAGCAGCTTCCTGATTGGTGCAGAGGCATCGTGGCTGTGGGGCCCAGAAGCAGCCAGTCCTGTGGTGTGGTTCTGGAAAGCTGCTCTTGAAGCATAGCCTCCTCGAATCTGCTCTTTCAATCTTCCCAACAATTTCTCTGTAAAATTACAAAATGATTTCTGTCATCGTCATTACTCATTTTGAAGGATACAATAATTGTGCAGAAGCTGCTAATTGCCTGCCTGATATCCATTCTCTTCTTCACTAACTTCTATATTTGGGAGGTATACACATGTCCTGCCTTTACAAAATGCTCTATTTCCATATTCCCTTGTAGAATGGAAGGCCAAGGAGATGAAATGGAAGACTTTGGACAGAACTTCTGGGAAAGCTCTTTAAAGCAGTCTACTAGACTGGCAAGCAGACATTCATTCTCCTCTTCTGACTTAGACATGGTATTTTTAGCTCCAGCAGCCGTCCTGTGAAGATGGGAGCACACGCTAAGGGCAGCAGAAAAGAAAGCCAGAAGGAGGTTGGATATTGATAACCACCGTGGTGCCATCTTACCAGCCCTCGGCCACCTACCCCAGCCTTCCGGTTATGAGAAAGAAAAACAAAATTAGCTTAAGCTACTATTATGTAGAGGTCTCAATTCCTAAGAGTTTAATGCATTTCCTTAAACACATATGCATGTTGCAGAATGCCCAGCTGGAAATTAAACTTTTTAAAAATTTATTAATTTATTTAGAGAAGGGGAATCTCACTATGTTGCCCAGGCTGGCCTCAAACTCCTGGGCTCAAGTGAACCTCCTGCCTCAGCCTCCCGAGTAACTGGGACTACAGGCATGTACCACCATGCACGGCTGAAATTAAACTTTGTGGGTGTTTTTCAGGTCTGGAAAAGGGGTACCAGAAAGTCAACTTGGCTTTTTCACCTGCCTAGTCCAATCTCTTGAGCCATCAAAATATCTCTCTCCATCTTCAGTGCTGCTTAAGGTTTCTGGAGACTTACCTGGGTAGCCAAGGCTGGGAGAGTGAGGAATAGCTCTATTATCTGGTAAGGAGATTTGTAATCAGCCCCTTCATGTTTTCAGAAATCCAGACAGAGCCCTAGAGAGAGACTGGGGAAGGGAATGCAGTTGGGGCTCTAGATTCATGTATTTGTAGGGAGATTTCTAAATATTGTGTGTCTACTGTATGCCAGGCAGTGTCTAGGCACTGGGGTGCAGCAATGAATGAAAGATAAGATCCCTGCCCTCATGGAGTTTGCACTCTACTGGGGCCTGTGGAAGGAAGCTGAGCTGTGTTACAGAATCACCCCAGTTGAGGTGACTGTGCAGGTGAATATGGAGACAAAATCTACTCTCTGACCTCAGCCAGTGAGGGTGCTACAGCCTGCCATAGAGCCCTGCACTCTTTCAGAGAGGGTTTCTCTCCCAGGCCAGCTGTCACTCTAATCTGCCCTCCCCACTGTGATCCCAGCTGGACACATGGCTCACTGGTTTTTCTGTTACTTTGTAAGTGCAGATAAGAACTCTATTCCTCACACTTTGGGGACAGAACAGAGTAAGCTGGGGTACACTGAGCTTGGAGAAGGGGAAGTACGGGTCTGGCTAAATATTTATAAAATCTTGATTTTTTTTCCTAAGGACAGAAGTCAAATAGAATATATACACTGATTACAACCACTTATTCATTCATTCATTTTATAATGAATATAGAATATGACCAGCAATGTGCTGGGCACTTGATCTTATTCACTTCCACAGAAACCCTGGGAGCAAAGTACTGTTATCTTCATTTTACAAACAAGGAGATCAATGCTTAGAGAAGTGAATTATCTTGATTGGGTGCTGTAAGAAATCAAAATAGATCTATCTGAGTCTAAGGCTGCATTCTTTCTGCTTCATTATTCTGCCTCCCCCATGCCAGTCTGCAACTAAAGACACCGTGTCCTAGAGAATGTTGCCAGTTTTTTTTTTTTGTTTTTTTTTTGAGACAGAGTCTGTCTCTGTCACCCAAGCTGGAGTACAGTGGCGTGATCTCGGCTCACTGCAACCTCCGCCTCCCGGGTTCAAGCGATTCTCCTGCCTCAGCCTCCCAAGTAGCTGGGATTACAGGCGCTCACCACCACACCTGTGCCAGTCTTTATCAAGCAAACCTTGCAAATCCAAAGCATAGCCACAGCAGTCACTCAGCAGTTGCTGAAAGCTGAAGTAGCCTGTCCAGCTTGGAGGAAGGCACAGGAGCCATTATGAATCTAGGAATTTAGTACTTTTCAGTAGATCCTTCTGGAGAGTATATCCAGCCATAAGAAATACTTGACAGTGCAATAAGAATATTTGCCTTTGCTATTTTTGTCATTTACATAACCTATTCTTGCTGCGGAGAGGGCATAATGCCAATTACTGCTTCTCTAAAGAGAGAAAAACGTTTTCTTTTGCCATTTTCACCTGCTCAGTCTTTGACTAAGACTGTGCGGTCTTCAGCAATATCTGCCAGTTAATGGAAATGCACAGTCTAGGGGAAATTGGAGAAGAAAAGGAGTTGCCAGAAATTTTTTCCAGACCACTGGATCTTCCTAGAACTAATTAGCTTGAGGCATGTGAGGAATAGAGATTGTGTACGTCTTATGGTCAGTAGGGGTATAGGCTAGGCACCAACTGTTGCCCTTCCCAGGATGAACGCACTTCCTCCCCCAGAGAGAATCAGCCTCTCCCTCTGCCCGCACCACACTGGGAACATATCTCCACATTCACACTTACCACACTTGAGTTTACGTCTGCCGCCTCAGGATCAGGAATGCTGTCTTTTCATCCGTCTCTATATCAAAACTCTTTCAGTGTTGGTGGCAAAAGACAAAAACTAATTCAAACTGGCTTCAGCCAAGAAGATGGGGTGGGAGGAGAAAATCTATTGGCCCAAGTAATTGAAAAGTTCGGGGCTAGGGCCAGATTGATAGCAGCTCTAATAATATCTTCAGAATTCCATTTTTCTCTGTCTTAGCTCTGCCTCCCGCAGTGTGGGTTTATTTTAGGTACTATGTAGTGGCTCCTGGCCATTCCAGGCTCACGTCACCATTTCGGTAAGTAACTTCAGGAGGAAAATATCTCCCTGGTACGTCCCACTTAGGTCCTTGGTTCATTGCTATTGGAGGAACCTGAGTGACTCAATCACTACATGAATCGCTAGCAAGAGGAATTCAGTGCCGTGATTGGCCAGCCCTCAGTCACGTGCTCCAGCCTGGAGCTGGGGGTGGAGCCTGTCTAAGCCAAGCCGACTAAGCAGGGGTGGGTGGGAGTGGCTCCCTAAAAGAAACTCAAGGGCTGCTGCCAGAAGAAAAGGTGGAGTGGATGATAAGTGACCAATATGACACATGTTCCTGCAGCGACCCCCCTGCCAAACGGCATGGCACACAATAGGAACCCAGAAGTCTTTATTCAGTTTATTGTTGAAGAAGGAAGTGCTGCCAGGTGCAGACTTGGGCTTAAAGCGTTCTCTGATTCAGGCATTGCTGTATAGATGGTGTTGGTAAGAGATGCCCATCACGGCTTTCTCTGCTCTCTTACTACTCTTCTCTGTGTTTCTGACTTAGCCTGGTAAGTTGCACTTGATCCTGGGTACCTTCCTCTGTTTCACAGCATGCCATTTATTTTCCAATCATGACTAGTCTATCCTCTGTCAACTGAGAAAGAGCTCTCTAGAAGGCAGGGCCCAAGTTTCCTCCCTCCTTGGTCTACAGAGCTCAACTGGAACTGAGCTGCCTTGAGGAAACATGAGTTGGGCCAGATGCATTGTTACACCAGGATGAAGGACAAGAAGCAAAGGAATGCCAGAACTGAAATTCTATCCTACAGAGCTCCCATTCCAAACAGCCCATGACCTCTTTTCCACAATTCATCTGGATGATGTCCTGAGAATGAATCCAGTGCCCTTTCAAGATGGCAGCAGTGTATAAATAGTTACAGTGTTGCTGGTAAATTTCCGTCTCACAGTATTTTGCCAATTGACTTAGGGAATATTGTGCCTTGAGGCAGTTAAGTCCACAGCTAAACCCTGTATAGCATCTATGAGAAGATACACCCATTTCCAGGCTGCTGTGATTTTGGAGGCAGTCTTTGGCAACTCCCAAAAGAACTTGGGGTTGATGGAACCTTCCTATATTATTGAACTCCTATGCTAAATTAGCATGGCAAGATACTAGCAATCCTCTTTGTTTTCCTACACTAATGAATTAATTTTTCCTATCCTTTTAAAAAATCAGTGCCCTCATTTAAAAATTTACGTTGTATGTAACAATGATTGGCTTTATCATAAAATGTGTGCTCCACAAGATAAAATAGCCAATTTCCTATTTTCACAATCCATATGCTTTTAAATAAACCTGAAATTTAGGACTCAATTTAGATACATAATCCAGTTCAAGCTTCATATATAAAGCTTGGAGTAACTAATAAACTTTCCATTTCTTATGCATTCCAAATAAGAACTTTAAAAAGAAAATAGGGAAGTAATTCATCCAGCACAGGAAATTTTGATGAGTACCTGAGGATTTGCTTTAGAATATTGCTTTAGTATACTTTAGTTACAGGAAACTGAAAGTAAAATATAGTGTTGCTTACAGTAAGTGGTGTATCCCATATGCGTGCAGTACATTTTGTAATCTTTATCTTGGTGATCTTTATACCGACAAAGAGTTGAGTAGGTGGTTCAATGAGTCCATTTTACAGATAAAGAAATTGAGACACAGAATAATTGTGTTTCTCAAAATCACATACGTCAAAGATAAAGCTAGCAGTCAACTCCAATCCCTTAGTTATCAGTCAGTCCAGAACTTTACTAACTCATATTTTTAGAAGCTAAGACCCGTCTAGCTTGCTTATTAACCTTTATCCTACATGCTGTTATTCTTTTCTGTCTTCCTTGAAATCCTGTTCTTGTTTGCTTCCCACATGTCAATTCTCTTCCTGACACCCGATTTTTTTTTCTAATCCTTAGTTGCCACTCAGTATAAATTGATTTCCTGTTTGTGTTCCTGAAGCTCATGAATGCATTCATTTTACCACCTAAAAAACATGAGTCCAAATCCTTGTAACACACATTGTAATGCAGTCAAGTTGTTAAATGGAGCAGAAAATGTTGCAAAAATCAAAATGCAAAGGTATACCAGTACCCAGTATACAGGTTTTATGCTACCCACTGCTGATTTCCAGAAGGCATGTGTCTGCCCTTCCCTAATGTATGTCTAAACTTGACAAATTTACCTTGTTTCAGCCAGTGTTAAATAATTATTAATTTCCCAAGAGAATAACTTCCCGTAGGTGTTACAGGAAAATGTCTTTGCCATGCCTCATCATGGCTAGGTGACAAAAGAGTTGAATCTTTGGTTTTTAAATATGCTTTTGACAAGCACAGTGCTTCATATGGCTTGCACGCAATACCAAGCTCTTTTCTTGATCATTCCATTTGTTCTTTAACCTAGTGCATCTTCCAAAAAGAAAAGCATTCATTTAGCATTGACTGACTTCTAGGACTCTCTTCTAGATGCTTTCTCCCTGATCAAAAATGTATTGTTGAAAATTAAATACAGAGAATCAATAATCAATATTTGATTAGGTCTTTGATAAGAGGGTACAGCATGTTGATTGACAGCATGAGCTTCCAAGAGATGTGGATTCAGAGCTCAGCTCTGCTGCCTTGGGAAAGTCAATCGATTTTTCTTGTGCCTATCACCTCCTCTATAAAACCGTGTTAATGATACCTACTTTCTAGCGTCCTGATGAAGCTAAAATGAGATAATGTATGTAAAGTGCTTATGATACTCAAGGAATAGCAATTGTTAGAGGTTATGTTTGAAACTAAATAAGGCTATTAATTGCCCTTGTGTGTATGAGAGTATTCAAGGCCATTTCTTCCTGAGAATCAGTGAAAACTTGAGCTCTGAATCATGTTCTGTTCATTTTACATATAGAGTGTATATCAAGCATAAGATAGCAATTCACTAGGTTGTTTGATTATCATTTGAATGAGTATAAACAGTCTAGTTCTCTGTCCTGTGTGTGGTAGAGATTTATGGTTCCATAAGAAGTTAGAAAATTGATTTTCCATCATGCAGAGAGGGTTCCCTCCACTTCTTCTAGGGTCACAGAAAGGTACTGATGCATCCTTGAAGAGTAGAAAGCTAGGCTGGTTACTTTTTGAAAATCTTTGTAGATGTGATGGAATTGAATTTAGCTATTTTTGAAAATAGTCTAATCGGAAATTCTAGGCAAATGAAGGCCAAAAAAATCCTCACTAAACATTGAACTAGAACTGTAGCTTATTGCACATCCTTTGACACCACGGTAGCCATAAAATGGCTGAACCCAAGGGCTTAGACGTAACCTAAACTCCGTTGCCTTTTCTGTTTGGTGTATTCTATAAATGTGCAGGAAACCCTGCGCTCCATCTGTATGAATTTACAACCAACAAGGCTGCTGGACAAACCAGCAGGGCTTTATTCATGAGCCTCTGAGTTGTTCCTTCAGGCTCACTCTGCTGCAGGTGTCGAGAGCTCTGCGGGTCACTGCAGGTCAGTGGTCCATGATAGTCCCAGCACCAATGGAGCTCATGAGCACTCCCGTTTCCTGTGTGAATGGGGCAGAGGTCATTCACAATGTCCTACCAGGTGGGATTCAGTTAGCTGCCATTAGATCAATAACCACCCATAAGCCACTGCCCCCTACCAGGTGGCCAACCTGTGGACAGGCAGCACTATTACAGCGCCATTGTCATTGCTAGGAATCAGGTCAACAGGATTCCTTAATGCTGGGGGACATGGGTGGTCTTGCCCACGTAAGTATGAAGAGAGACCTTCATACTTTCATTACTGGGAAATGCAGTGCTAAGGATGTATTAGGAATAAGGTAGGAAGAGTAAGAACATGTAATGAATCAGGAAGCAGGAATCAGAGAAATAAACATGAGGTCATGCTGGTTAGCTATTATTACAGCACTTTTTTAAACCACAAAATGTACTTGTGTGTACATGAGGGCCAAGGAAGTCAACTAGCATCTATCAAGCAACAACTTGGATCATGATGTTGAGTTGGATGTGGTTGGAAGTACATTAGAAGTGTCTCAATTCTGCCCATCTTTTAAGACCCAACGTATGTACCCTAGCTTCTGAACACAAACACAAAAAGAACCCTCCCTTACCTGACCCTTCATTCTATTTATTCTCTACCACAAAAGTTTCACACTTTTTAAAGCCATAGGACTCTTTATTGAGGACAAAAATCTGCAGAAACCAATATGAAAACCAGATATAAGAAGAGGGGTTCTGGCTTGGTGCAGTGGCTCATGCCTGTAATCCCAGCACTTTGGGAGGCCGAGGTAGGAGGATCGCTTGAGCCCAGGATTTCAAGACCAGCCTGGGCAACATAGTGAAACCCAATCTCGACAAAAAAGAATATTTAAAAAAATTAGCCTGTAGTGGTGGTGCTCCTATAGTCCCAGCTACTCAGGAGGCTGAGTTAGGAGGATTGATTGAGCCTGGGAAGTCAAGGCTGCAGTGAGGTGTGATCACACCACTACACTTCAGCCTGGATGACAGAGTGAGACCATGTCGCTCGCACACACACACACACGCACACACACAGAAGGGTTCTGGTAGATGCAAAGTGTGGCCACCTGGGCATCTCTCTGTTGAGAGCCTGAGAAACCCTAGGGTACCATAGAACACAGTTTGTATAGAACAAACTGTCTGTATCATTTACTCGGCAGTTAATCACACATTGCCTTGTGTTTTTCCATGATTCTTGTAGATTTGCTAATTAGATTACAAACTTCTAAGGGGCAAAGATTCAAATGAAAGACAACAGAATCAGCGAGAGGTGGGAGTTGAGAGATGGAGGTTCTGTGCCTGGCACCAGCACTGGCCCTAGCTTGCAGATCAGTTCATTCGGTGTGCTGGGCCTGTGAGGGCTGAACCAAACAATATGTAAGAAATGTAATCGGCCGGGCGCGGTGGCTCACGCCTGTAATCCCAGCACTTTGGGAGGCCGAGGCGGGCGGATCACGAGGTCAGGAGATCGAGACCACGGTGAAACCCCGTCTCTACTAAAAATACAAAAAATTAGCCGGGCGCAGTGGCGGGCGCCTGTAGTCCCAGCTACTCGGGAGGCTGAGGCAGGAGAATGGCGTGAACCCGGAAGGCGGAGCTTGCAGTGAGCGGAGATCGCGCCACAGCACTCCCGCCTGGGCGACAGAACGAGACTCCGTCTCAAAAAAAAAAAAAAAGAAATGTAATCATAATTTCCAGTGGTCCATGATAGTCCTAGTTTACACCTGCTATAAATCAAATGATTATTTAGAATTGTTTTCACTCTCAAAAGTCTCCCAATTCAGATGATCAGTCACATGCTCTCCCTCTCTCGAAGGCTCTTTTTGATTCATGATGCTACATATGTGCTGCCCCCTATCCACTCACCCCACCCTAGGATCTAGCATAGGGAAAAGGGCATAGTAAGGACTCGGGATTTATTAAATTAATTCAGGATAAGACATGATTATCACCTTACAGGAGCCCAAAACCCAATTTAGAAGGTGATGAGTTATATGGATGAATCTTCTAGAAATCAGTACAATCCGGGGAAAGGGGATAAGTTGCAAGACACATGAGAAGGGCCACAGGTAGATCCCATGTTTTCAGAACCATGGGCAGCCATTCATTTCCATCAGAGTACATTAAGATTTTGAAAAATAGAGCCAGGGAGAGAGGCCAGATGAGGAATGGGCAGACAGGCCACCTCGTGGAACATGTGATTGGGGTGACAAAGTAGTTACAAGGTGGTGAGTGCTGGGGGCACAGCCTGGCCCTGGTTGGCTGTCTTGCTGTCTGGCAGAACTCCATGGAGTGAGGCAATTGGTAGCGATCCAGGCAGGCAGTTGGTGTCAGTGAGGTCCATATGTGGATGGGACCAACAGCAGTGTGGGCAGCGCAGTAGGGGAAAGCCAGGCACTGGGTCCTGGGAACCCCAGGCAGCCCCCAGCCCTGGAGAAAGGGAGTACTGAGGTGAGAACAGGGAACCGAGGTCTAGTCAGGGACTTTCTGAAAGTTGGGGGAATGTGGAGGCTGTCATTTGGGCCAACTTGGCTACACAGCATGCTGGGATCTCAATGGTGGGTGAGCACTGAAAGAATGAGCTAAAAATTGGCAGTGACCAAGCAAGAGGGATTAATTTGGTTTTTGGCCCAGCCCCAAGGAAAGAAGCCAGCTGTCCAAACCACAAACTAGGGTCTGACATGCGCTGGTGCCAGTGTTCAAATCTGCCAGTAGGGGCCCGGTGCCTGTTTCTCCTCTCAGGCAGGAACCAGGCAAAACTGCAGGGGCAAATCCCATGAGCTACGGTAGATTGCTGGACACAGCAGGTCTTACCTAGGGCAATGGCTACTGTGGCGAAGGCTGAATGAAAATACAGACTGAGAGTCATGTCGAGTCTTCGAGAGCAAATCCAAAACTGGGTCATAAAATGAGTTTGACTGAGAATAAAGTTAAAAGAGCCTGATGGGAAATCATGAAACTAGGAAGCAAGAGAGGAATGGAGGACCAGGTATACAGGATACATCCCAGAGCAGTTTCATAGCAAACTGTAAGCTTTTGTGTAAGTACTATATATATATATATATATATATAGCTTATATATCTATAGCTTATATATATATATGTGTGTGTGTATATATATATGTGTGTGTGTGTGTGTGTGTGTGTGTGTGTGTGTGTATAGTGACCTTATAGGTAGTAGTCCCAACATGGGCTGACATACATGTGCTTGAGCATTAAACAGGGGCTGACAGGGAGCAAGGCAATAACACACAACCATCTCTAGGTAGCAATCATGCGTGTAGTCAAGCAGGAGGGGGTTTATGGTTCTGGGAAAGTCCTGGCCAACTGATTACAAGACTCCGTCTAGCAGCTGGAGGGACCAGGCCCAGCCTCCAGGAAGAGGAGGTAGGCAAGGCCCCAGGAGGGACATGAGGGCCTCAGCAAAGTAACCTGGGGTCAGGGCAGAGCTTCAGTTGCAGAAATAAAAGTCAGGACCCAGGGCAGACACACAGTCACATAGACAGGGCACACACAGGTGAGGGTGAGATGGGGAGCTGGAGCTTGTTGGACCCCCCCCAGATGTACCTGATATTGGCCAGGGGCAGTGAGACTTTGGGGTGGCAGAGTTTGATCTATACTCTGGAGTTGACTAATTGGGGTTTAGTCTTGATGCTGCCATTTACTGGCTGTGAGACCATCAGCTAGTTAATCAACATCTCTGAGTTGTGTTTGCCTTATTTTTAAGATGGGAATAACAACATGTACTTGGCAAGGTTGTCGTGATGATTCAATGATGCAATGTGTATGACGCGCCAAGCTCTGTGCCTGGCACCATCACAGGTGCTCCATAAACAGAGCTATTACTATCATTAAGACTAAATCCAAACCACACCTGCAGGGAGGGAAGCAGGGATGGGGCTTGAAATACACTGCCAGGCTGGGCTGGATTACCAAAGTAACTACGGGATGCTGAGCCTGGGTGTGCAAGGCTGGATGGTGCTGGGAGAGTCCGGGACTAGGACTGGACTGGGTCCTATGGAAAAAGCAAGGGCTATATTTCCCAAATAGAATGTCATGTTCAGAGAAGGACCAGCTGTGAGTTGCCAATTTACTGTTCTTTTTCCGGTTCGAGGAGTACTAAGCCCACAGGCAGAGTCCAAACAGCCTTTGCAGAAAGAGGAAAGAGACATGGGATTAGGTAACCAATCAGCCCATCATGCAAAGAGCCAGTGCATCCTGTCATCCAAAAATTACCCCCTCTCCTTCATTCAGGGGCAGTGTTCCCCAAAATTTTACCATCATATACTAATTTCTTTTTTTTTTTCTTTGAGACGGAATCTCACTCTGTCTCCCAGGCTGGAGTCAGTGGCGTGATCTCGGTTCACTGCAACCTCCGCCTCCCGGCTTCAAGAGATTCTCCTGCCTCAGCCTCCCAAGTAGCTGGGACTGCAGGTGCGTGACACCACGTCCGGCTAATTTTTTGTATTTTTAGTGGAGACGAGGTTTCACTGTGTTAGCCAGGATGGCCTTGATCTCCTGGCCTTGTGATCTGCCTGCCTTGGCCTCCCAAAGTGGTGGGATTACAGGCGTGAGCCTCCGCGCCTGGCCTACCATCACATATTAATTTCTTTAACTTAAATATTCTTGTCCGAAGGCAAATGTCAGTGTTGCAGGATGTAGGACAAATCGAGTCACTCATAGTTCATGTGTCCAGGCCTTGATCTGCTGAGATGCCTACAAGTCACCAAGAGGACTTATGGAAGCATGGACCTTTCCCAGGCACAGGGCAGCTGGCGAAAGAGAAGAAGAAGCATCTGTAGGACTTTGAAGTCTTGGGAAGGAATTAGGAAAAGCTGGAAGCTCACAGAGTGTTTGTTCTCCTCTTCCTGCTGACACTGGCAGAGTTTCATGGGATCTAGTTTATACATTCAGTTCTGTTTGTGGCACAGAAGGTCTTGAGCAGCTTGAGAACCAGCAACTGGTTGTGAGGACAATGGTCTAGAAAGGGAAAGAGACACTGTCTGTACAATTTCCTCTCCTTGGGGCTCAAGCACCTGATGCGACCCTGTTCTTTGGTCTCCAGACTTCCCCTAAAGAAGCTAATACCTGTAATCCTTAGCTATGAAGCTGGCTGAGGTAGCTTTGAATTTAGGTGCCAGTGCCACATTGGAAATGCATGTGCGTGATTGGCTTGCAAAGGTAGGGTTTTTGTTGTTGTTTTGAGACAGGATTTCCTATGGTACCCAGGTTGGCCACGAACTCCTGGGCTGAAGTGATCTCCCACCTCAGCCTCCTGAGTAGCTGAGACTACAGGTGCATGCCACGGTGCCAGCTCAAAGGCAAGTTTTTTTTAACCTGTGTGGTCCAATACAATAGCCCTAGCTGTGTGTAGCTGGTTCAAATTGAGACGTGCCATAGATGTAAAATACACACCAGAGTTCAAAGACTCATTACAAAAAAGACAAAATAATGTGGCTGAATGTGGTGGCTCATTCCTGTAATCCCAACACTGGGCCAAGGTAGGAGGACTGCTTGAGTCCAAAAGTTCTAGGTTAGAGTGAGCTATGTTCGTGCTAATGCACTCCAGCCTTGGCGACAGAGCAAGACCTTATCTCTAAAAAACTAAAAAAAAAAAAAAATAAGTAAATAGACAAAAGAACGTGAAATGTCTCTTTAATAATATTGTACATTAATTCCATGTTGAAATGATCATATTTGGGATATGTTGAGTTAAATAAAATATATTATTAAAATGAATTTCACTTTTTAAAGTTTTTAATGTGACTAAAAATTTCAAAATTCCATATTTTTGTATTATAATACATATTTTGCACAATAACAAACATTGATGAGTTTGTTTTGCCCATTGAGCCCCCACTCGAAAGGTCTGGTCACTCTCACGGTGACTTATCAACCTGGTGGGTACCTGATATTTGGCTGGTCGCAAAAGAGTCAGCTCATCTGGGGAGAGGCGGGGTGATAGCCCCAGGCAGCCAAAGATAACTGGACAATCCCTCTGTCCCTGCTGCTGGAATCTTTTAGAAGTGCTGTCTCTCTTCATGTCAGACACACGGGACACTTAGGCGGCCGAGAATCTCTCCAAGCATTTGTCTGCCCATCACCACCTAATGGCCACGTCCTGGATGTGGGGAAACAGAAACTCTTAGCCCTCCTGTTTTTCACCTGTTGGTATTCTGGAGGGACAGCATTGCCATTAAGACACCTTATGTTGTTTTTGCCTTGTTAAGTTTGAGGCTCTGAGTTAAGACTCTCTCATCTGGATCAATAAACCTGCTCTAGCTCCACCTCAAAAATGCAAAAATTACCCCTTTATAAGACTCATAAAGGCACAAACCTCACCTTGTTTCTTTATTCATTCAACAAATATTCAAGTAGCATCTAATACTGGAAGAGAAGAGAAGGGCTTACAAGACAGACATCTGGCTCTGTCTGCCAGTAGCCTTCCAAGAGTCCATCGCTTCTTCCTTCTTGAAAACTTTGCTTCACTTGCCCTTAGACCTCCCTTTATCTCAGTTCTTCTTCTTCCTTCCTTCCTTTCTTTCTCTTTCTCTCTTTCTCTCTTTCTGTCTTTCCTTCTTTCTTTTGAGGCAGTCTCACTCTATTGCCCAGGCTGAAATGCAGTGGCCCAACCTTGGCTCACTGCAATCTCTGCCTCCCAGATTCAAACGATCCTCCCGCCTCAGTCTCCCAAAGTATTGGGATTACAGGCGTGAGCCACTGCACCCAGCCAACAGTTTCCTAACCGATCTCATTGCTGTAATCCTTGTATTCCTATATAGCCTATTCTTAGGTCAGCTGCCAGAGTGATCCTTGAAAAATGTAAGTTATAACAAATCACTCCCCTCCTCAGAACTCTCCAACAACTTGCGTGTCTCTCTGAGTGAAATCCAAAGTATTTACTGAGTCTACCAGGCCTCATACACTTGCTCTCTCCAATTTAGCCACTCTGGCCTCCTTGCTTTTCTTAAACATGCCAGCCAAGCTTCTCCCACTTCACAGCCTTTCAACTTACTGTTGCCTCTACCTAGAAAACTCTTCCTCCAGATACCTGCATGGCTTGGCTCCTTACATTCTTCAGGTCTCTGCTGAGATGTCACCTTGGGGAGACCTTTCCTGACCATGTCTCAGAAAGCAGCACCCTGCACCCTACCTTTCTATTCCCTTATCCTGCCAGATTTTTCCTCCTGGCGCTCATCTCCACCTGCCATGTTGTACACTCACTTGCATGTTGATTGTCTGCCTCCATTGGAATGTCAGTTCCCTGACAACAGAGATTGCATCTTTTCATTCATTGATGCCTCCCAGCATTTGCTACAGTGTCTGGCACATTGTAAGTGCTCAATAAATATTTGTTGAATGCATGAAGGCAAAGAAATGGTTCTCCTTTGTAAAGATGATAAGAGGCAGACAATAAACAAGTAAAAGAAAAAGTACATATCATCACCAATTGTGGCAAGTGCTTTGAGAAAACCAAGAGATACAGTAATGGAGAGCCTGCTTTACATAGATTTTCCAGGTGGTCAAAGGGGAGTTTCTGAAACAAGTGACACTCAGGTTGGGATTAAAAGGAGGAGATAGGGCCAGCCCTGCAAATTGTGGGAGAAGACGGTGCTGGAGGGGAGGGAAAATAGCACATTCAAAAATCCTGAGGCAGGAATGAGTTTGATGTCTTCAAAGAATTGAGAGGGCAGGCCCGGCGCAGTGGCTCACGCCTATAGTCCCAGCACTTTGGGAGGCCGAGGCAAGCAGATCATCTGAGGTCAGGAGTTCGAGACCAGCCTGACCAACATGGCGAAACCCCGTCTCTACTAAAAATGCAAAAAATACGCCGGCATGGTGGTGGGCGCCTGTAATTCCAGCTACTCTGGAGGCTGAGGCAGGAGAATCACTTGAACCCCGGGAGGTGGAGGTTGCAGTGAGCTGAGATCACACCACTGGACTCTAGCCTGGGCAACAAGAGTGAAAGTGTATCTGAAAAAAAAAAAAAAAGGATTGAGAGGGAACTAATGGGGAATGAAGAAAATGACATGTGATGTTGAAGGGGTGTTTAGGCCAAATCATAAAAGATCTGGTGGGCTACGGTAGAGTTTAGATTTTCTTCACAGTTTTGTCTAAGGCTGGACCTGTTAGTAGCAATTTGAGGGGAAAATCTGAGATGGTATCCAGATGGTGGAATCTGGGTTTCTGGACCATTAACTTAAGCTTCTGCATAAAGTTTCTTAGATAGAAATAGAGTGGCCTTCACAAGGCCCACAGACTGATCCTCCTACAACAGGGCTTCCAAGACAGTAATTCCTGTAAAAGAAACAACAGCCTTCTCCCTCTATCAGAGCAGGTCTGCAACACTCAAACTCTTCTGTTATGTGGTCCCTCTTTCATTACGTAGCTGGCCTTATCTCCAGCTACAATAAATTGTCCCAGATGGCATTTCCAATCCAGTGGTCTGGTCCCTATTCTGTTTCCTGCATTTTCATAGCTACTCTGGGGCTTTTGCTTGTGTTGTTCCCCTGCAAAGAATTGTCCTGTGCTTCATCCACATGTCTAAAAGCCAGCTCTAATTCTAAGGTAACCATGAGATCAGGTATACAGGCCTAGGTCATGATCTAAAAGTTAGTTTATTACTATGTTAGGTTGGATAATGGCCTCCCAGAAAGACTTTCTCATCCTAATCTCTGGAACCTGTAAACTTGACTTTATATGCGAAACAGCGCTTTGCAGGAGTGACTAAGGGTTGTGACTTGGGGAGATCATCCTGGATTATCTGAGTGGAACCTGAAAGCAATCGCACATATTCTTACAAGAGGAAGGCCAGGCGCGTTGGCTCACGCTTGTAATCCCAGCACTTTGGGAGGCTGAGGCTGGCAGATCACCTGAGATCAGGAGTTCAAGACCAGCCTGACCAACATGGAGAAACCCCATCTCTACTAAAAAAAATAAAAATGCAAAATACAAAAATTAGCTGGGCATGGTGGCATGCACCTGTAATCCCAGCTACTCGGGAGACTGAGGCAGGAGAATCGCTTGGACCCAGGAGGTAGAGGTTGCAGTGAGCCGAGATCATGCCATTGCACTCCAGCGTGGGCAACAAGAGTGAAACTTTGTCTCAAAAAAAAAAAAAAAAAAAAAAAAAAAGAGGAAGGCACAGAGAGAACCCACAGACAGGAAAGCAGAAGGCAATGTGACCACAAAGGCAGAAACTGGAGTGAGGCAGCCACAAGCCAAGGAATACCAGCAGCCACCAAAAGTTGGAAGAGGTAAGGCTCAGATTCCCCCCACCAGAGCCTTCAGAGAGAGTGAGTGTGACCCTGCCCACACCTTGATTTGGGCCCAGTGATCATGATTTTGGATTTCTGGCCTCCAGAACTGTGAGATAATAGATTTCTGTTGCTGTAAGCCACCAAGTTTGTGGTCATTTGTTGCAACAGTTACAGGAAACAAATGTAGTTACCTTGTCCTGTACCTTGGCATCTGTCCTTCATGTCATCCTTATTGCTCCCCTGTCGGCTTCCCTGCTGAATTACCAGGTACAATTGGCACTCCGTATCTAAGGGTTCCACATCCACGGATTCCACCAACCTCGGATGGAAAATGTAATTAGAACTAGAAGGGTTGTGTTTGTACGGAACATGTACAGAATCTTTTTTCTTGTCATTATTCCCTAAACAACACAGTATCAAAACTATTTACGTGATATTTATGTCATATTAGTATTTTAAGTAATCTAGAGATGATTTAAAGTATACAGAAGGGTGTGCATAGGCTATATGCAAATACTACACCATTTTATATTCAGGACTTGAGCATCCATAGATTTTGGTATCCTTGGAGTCCTGGATCCAATCCCCCAAGGATATCGAGGGATGACTGTAGTTCCTGTTCTTAATTAGGTTCAATCAATATATCATAAAAATTCCGAGAGAAATTCAATTACAAGTCAAGGCTATGAAGCTAACAGGGGTATCTTGGATCCTGGATCCAATCCCCCAAGGATATCGAGGGACGACTAGTTCCTGTTCTCTTACCCTTTTTAATGTTATATGTACTCATATTTACTGCATGCTAGTTTCACAGGTTTAGGTAGGTATTTTATCTCTCCCACTCTCTTCATTTTAAAGCCACATTATCAAGTCAGACAGGCTCCAGGGAAATAAATTCTCAGTAGCAGCATGTGGGATAGATCCTGGTAGGCAGGCCTAGGAGCCAGAGAGATCAGCTAGGAGGCCAGGTCCGTGATTCATAAGTGAGGTGACGGAGGTGTGGACTAGTAGGTGGTTTTAGCTGGTTAGTTTGTTCTGTTTTTTGAACTTTGGTAATCCTAAGTGCCTGGAATTGTGATGAGTAAAGGCAGAAAACAAAGTCCCCCCAGGCATTACTGTGCCCAGGGCGTAAGGGACCTGAAATGTTAGAAAATAACTGATAGGACTTAATAGCTGAATGGAATGAAAAAAATCATAGCACAAGGTTTTAAGCCTGAATCACTGAGAAAATAGTACTTTTTATAGCAATAGAAAAATTAGGAAGCCATGAGGGTTGTAGAGAGAAAATTATGAATTCTTTATTTGAAATGTTGAATCTTAGGTGAGCTGAAATAACTACTTGAAAGCCGTAGTTGTGGAAGCTCCCCGCAACCACATATCCAAGTCTGAAAGTCTGGTGCTTCCAGAATCTCCTGGTTATGCTTTTTCCCTAGAACTGATAACCCTATATCATGAGTACAGGTCTACTTTTCCATCTTCCTGACAGTCTGAGTTCCTTAAAAGATGAGATTGTGGCCAGGCACGGTGGCTCATGCCTATAATCCCAGCACTTTGGGAGGCCGAGGCGGGTGCATCACCTGAGGTCAGGAGTTCAAGACCTGCCTGACCAACATGGTGAAACCTTGTCTCTACTAAAAAAAAAAAATACAAAAATTAGCTGATCGTGGTGACGTGTGCCTGTAATCCCAGCTACTCGAGAGGCTGAGGCTGGAGAATCCCTTGAACCGAGGAGGCAGAGGTTGCAGTGAGCCGAGATCGTGCCGCTACACTCCAGCCTGTGCAACAGAGCAAGACTCTGTTTCAAAAAAAAAAAAAAAAAAAGATGAGATCGTGCCTTACTATATCTCCAGCCTCAAATATACTACCTGGTACCTAGTAGATGCCCAATCAGTAAATTTTCAATGAATTAGCAAACAGGGTTGAGCTCAGACAAGAGGTCTAGGCTGGAGATGAAGATCTTGGAGTTTCCTTTCATAAGTGAGAGTTAAAGTCATGATAAACAGCACCACTGAAAGGGACGACAGTTTGGTCTGTCATTGACTGAGTTCCTCAATAATAGGAAATAGTTCTAGCTAAGTAGATTTTTAAAACTTTGCCCTCAGAATCAGGTGCCAGGGATCAATATCTGAATAAGGAAGAAGACAAGAGTCTGAGACTGTCATCTCTCCAGGGCTGTCATGAAACTAAAAGTCATTTTTCATTTACCAGCCAGTTCAAGGTTCACTCATCCTTATCAGTGTGGTCACGCAACATTATAATAAGCATCGGTCAGAGGCACAAAGATGTTCTGCATGTGACATTTCTGACTTCTGGGTATATTTTGTGCCATATCAAAAATCAGTCAGGTGGGAAACTATAGAGGGAATATACTTTTTTCTTGGATATTGCGACTTCTAAAAAGCTGCCAAAGACATGGGAGGATTCCTTAAGATGTATTTCAAGGCTACTTGAAATAAAGCCTACTACTTTAGAACTCTCTTTCTTATATTTCCAGCTAGATCATTTTTACACATACCCCTTGTAGGCATCAGGGCTGGGGGTCAAATTCTTTTGAATGCCAAAAAAGATAGATAATAATCCTGGCTGTTTTAGATACCACTGTTAGCTTCATAGCCTTGACCTGTAATTGAATTTCCCTGGGAATTTTATGATATATTGATTGAACCTAATTAAGTCAAGGACCTGCTCTCCATTATCTGCCTTCACAGCCTCTACACAGAGCCATTCAATCCAAACAACATTTAGTAAGTTCCTAATAAGTACAAAGCCCTGTGCTGGGCCTCTGCAAAACATAAAGATAAATAAGCTGTAGTCACTTGTTCTTCAGCAGTCCAGTCTTGGAACAGTTAGGGTGCATACACATAAACTCGAACACAAGAAAACTAAAGCAAACACTCTAGAAGAAATGTACAGACCTACAACCTTAGTGCAAAGTTGGCCATTAATTACTGGGTGGAAATGGTAAAGACCGAAATTACTTGTTTGAAATGGTAATGACTCTTTCTACACACTTTCAAGCATTTGTTCTTTAAACAGAGTATAAGGAATACTGACTCACTTGGTATTACATACCCCTGTCATTTCCTTCGTAATTAACCCAGGCACATTCTTCTGGTAACCATCATTCTTGTTCCTCCACTTCTGGAGTTCTCATTTGAACATACACAGGGTTTGGGGATAATCTCCTAGGGAATGCGGGAACATTTTTAGGATGACCCTGGGTAACTCCTGTTTCCTTAGTTGCAAAATCTCTTTTTCACATTCTCATTACTTGATTGCCAGTTCCAATAGGTCAGCTCCATGTTGCCCTGAAACTCTGGGCCACTGAGCATCAACATTCTTGTGTGTGACTCTCCTCTCCACAGGACTTTCCCTAGTACCTTAGCAAAGACTGTGTAGTGCTGAGTTAACATACTTCACAATTCTTTCCCGCTCCTTCATCATGAGAGACACGAATATTCTTACAAATCAACTACCATCAAGGCTCCAAGCCGGGCATTTAAGAATTGGATGAACCAAACTTTTATTTTTAAATTAAATTTAATTTTTTTAAAGACAGGGTCTTGCTCTGTTGCCCAGGCTGGAGTGCAGTGGCACCATCATAGCTCATTGCTAGCCTGAAATCCTGGACTCAAAGGATCCTCTCACCTCAGGGTCCTGAGTGGCTAATACTACAGGCACATAACACTATGCCCAGCTAATTTTTTAATTTTTTGTAGAGACAAGATCTTGCTATGTTGCCCAGGCTGGTCTCAAACTCCTGGCCTTGAGTGATCCTCCCACCACAGCCTCCCAAAGTACTGGGATCACAGGCGTGAAATACCGTGCCTGACCACAAACTTTTAAACAGACATCTCTGGCCAGGAGCAGTGGCTCACACCTGTAATCTCAGCACTTTGGGAGGCTGAGGAGGGCGGGTCACTGGAGTTCAGGAATTCAAGACCAGCCTGGCCAACATGGTGAAACCCTGTCTCTACTAAAAATACAAAAATCAGTCAGGTGTGGTGGCAGGCACCTGTAGTCCCAGCTACTTGGGAGGCTGAAGCAAGAGAATCGCTTGAACCCAGGAGGCAGAGGTTGCAGTGAGCTGTGATCGTGCCACTGCACTCCAGCCTAGGTGACAGAGCAAGACTCCGTCTCAAAAATAAGTACATACATAAATAAAATAAATAGACATCTCTCTACCCTAACTTTTGAGAAAAAAAAAATATGTTTGAGGAAAATACAGCTATTTCCTTAGAATATCATTTGACATAGTGCTATCATATAACTTCAAGGTAAATGGTATTAGACTTGTATATATGTGTCTGTGTGTGTATATATATATATAGATTTGTATGTATGTGTATCCATCCTAATGCCTATATATACAATGTGTATGTGTGTAAACTTGTAATTTTACACTTCATGGTTATTTTCAGAAACTGCACCCGTAATTAGAGCAGACTACAACCAGGCACTAAGTGCTTTGATTGCATCACGCAGACTTCCAGACTTAAACTGTACGTGTGGTTAATTTAGAAAGTGATCACCATGCTTTCCCTTTGCATAGTAGCTTGAGAAAACCACTTAATCTAAGACTTTGTTACTTTTACAAAATGAGAATGATAATATCTGCCCTTCTGAGCTTTCAAGGTGATTATGAGGAGCAAATAGGATGATGTTGGTAAAACCGCCTTATCTAAATGAAGGGAGTTGTGATTGTTATTCAAGTGTCTTCTAGACCTTTGGGTCCTGTGCCCTTTGCAGACCGTCTGGCAACTTAGCCATTGAGAGCATCGAAAGTGGACTTCTTTGTGTCTTTCCATTAAAATTACATGTAATCTTGGGCCCTAAAACATCTAAGACCAGAAGCTATTCCTCTCAGAAAATTCTAGAACCTTACCTGTCACTTATTTATTCAATGATTGTTTTATTAGATCTTCCTGTGTGCCAGGCATAGCAAGAGACCTTGGAGATACTAAGACAAATAATTGACAGTCCCTGCCTCCCATCTAGCAGAATATTGGCTTGGAACCTAACAGAAAGAAACAAATCAATCAATAAAATATTATAGGCGCTAAATAGAGGCATGTGTGGAGGAAAAACAGCAGAGAGGAGGGAGTGGTTGAATCTAGCAGTGGGTGGGAGTATGCTGAACTTTGCTGATTGCCTCCCTAACAATCATGCTTCCCCCTTCCCCACACCGTCTCCCACTAAATCGACTTGAAAGTCAAGTATTGTACTCTCTCTCTCACCCTTCCTAGCAACTAAACATGCATGTGACATAGACAGATTCGATATAAGTGTGTGTGTAACTGGTGGGTGGTTTCTGGGAAAGTGTTGCTTTCTTAATAAAGGGCTGTGACTGTGTTTTTCAGAGATAGCCACAGCAATATCTCCCACCCTATGTGCTCTTCTCATAATGTGATCTTAAAACTCCCCCTCTCAGCCGGGTGCAGTGACTCACACCTATAATCCCAGCAATTTGGGAGGCCAAGGTGGGCAGATCTTTTCAGCTCATGAGTTCAAGACCAGCCTGACCAACATGGCCAAACCCTGTTTTTACAAAAAATAGCCAAGCTGAGGTGGGAGGATGGCTTGAGCCTGGAGGTTACAGTGAGCTGCGATCACGCCACTACACCCCAGCCTGGGTGATAGAGCCAGACCTTGTCTCAAAAAACAAAAACAAAAACAAACCCCAAAACTTCTACTGTTAAGAGATGGGGTCAGGCTGAGCCCAGTGGTTCATGCCTGTAATCCCAGCAATTTGGGAGGCCAAGGAGAGAGGATGGCTGGAGCTCAGAAAGTGAAGATTGCAGTGAGCTGAGGTCAGCACTGCACTCCAGCCTGGGTGACAGAAGAAGACTCTGTCTCAAAAAAAAAAAAAAAAAAAAAAAACAGCAAAGAGAGAGAGAGAGAGAGATGGAGTCAATGTCCTCTTTCCTCTTCCTTGACCCTGGAGTGAACTTTATGATTGTCTTAGCCAGTACAGTGCAATGGAAGTGACATCGTGTGACATCTGAAACTAGATAATAAAAATTCCATGCATGTCCACCACTTTGTTCTTTCAGAATACTTGCTTCTGGAATCCAGCGGCCATGTTGTGAGGAAGCCCAAACTAGCCCATGCCAAGAGACCACATGACGAGGCCACATGCAGATCCGAGTCCCAGCCAGCAGTTAGCATCGACCAGACATGTAAGTAAGAACATCACTCAATTGCAGCCCCAGCCCCTGAGTCATCCTCAGCCTTTGAACCTTCCTAGCAGAGACCCCAGACACTGTGGAGCAGAGACAACCTTTCCCTACTGCACTCTGCACAAATTTCTGTGCCACAGAATCTGTGAACATAATAAAATGGTTGATGTGTGCCACTTAGTGTTGGGGTGGTTTGCTTCACAACTCTGGTAACTGGAACATAGATGTGTCTGGCATTACCATTTCTCCTTTCTTCCAGCCTGGATTCTAGGAGCTGGGCAGGGTGTGAGCAGAGACATCTTACCACCATGTGGTAAAAGCATGATGTTGGCTTTGATGTTGCTGATTTGCTAAACCAACACCCACAAATGTTTATCTCCAGGCCTCCTGGAATATGAGAGAAAAAAACAAAAAACAAAAAAAACCCCTCTGGTTTATTTAAGCCACTCTATGCCAAGTTACCTGTTACTTGTAGTTAGAAGCGCCCCTGCTGGAAAGATCTGGTAGATTTGTGGGGGATAAAACTTGATTTTAAAATGTTAATGTATGTCTAATCAGAATAAAAGTAGAGATAGCAATTATAGCCTACTCTTCTATTTGACTATGAAGAAAATGAGAGAAATGAATTAGTAGCTAGGGGAATCCTAAGGGCAAATTTTATAGTCTGTGAGGAAATATCTAGTAGAAGCAGAAAGATTAAAAACTGGAGCAAGAATAACCTCAGCAATTACTGGTACAGTTCAGCCCTGCATTGGCCCTCCTGTCTTCAACAAGTCTCAAAGACTCTCTTGGAAATTTTCAAAGCAGGGCTGGCTTCATGGGCTTGTGACCTGCACAGTTTCACAGGTCACCTTGCTTAGAGGGACCTTGTATTTGATTTAATGCTCTGCTGTCACTGTCTTGAAATTAGTAATTTTTGAACAAGGGACCCTATGTTTTCATTTTGCACTAAGTCACATAAATAATGTAGTCAGTCTCACTTAAAATTTTCCTGCTTCCATTCATGTGAAGATGTTTAGAAACAACCTGGAGGCCAGGCATGGTGGCTCACACCTGTAACTCCCAGCACTTTGGGAGGCCAAGGCAGGAGGATCACTTGAACCTAGGAGTTTGAGACCAGCCTGGGCAACGTAGTGAGACCCAGTCACTACATAAAAATTTTTTAAATTCGCCAGGCATGGTGGCACGTGCCTGTATACCCAGCTACTCACTGGGCTAAGGCAGGAGAATTGTTTGAGCCTGGGAGGTCAAGGTTGCAGTGAGTTGTAATTGAGCCCCTGCATTCCAGCCTGGATGACAAAGTGAGACTGTAGTCTCAAAAAGAAAAAAAGAAAAAAAAAAAAAAGGAGAGAGAGAGAGAGAGGGAAGCAACTTGGACTTTGATTACCAATGGATATCTGTCTTAAAGGCACTGTATTTTTCCATTTTTTTAAATTCACAAGGACCTTGGGTCCCTTGAATTTATTCTGTATATTTATGTAAACCAGCATATAGCCATTGTTGTTGGAGGCCTACATTCTTCTGATTTTAAATAACATGATATATGTCATACATACAGTTGATTCTTGAACAACATAGGTTTGAACTGTGCGGGTCTACTTATTCGTGGATTTTTTTTCCAATAAAAGTATAGGGTGTGTCTGCCTCTCCTGCTTTCCCTTCCACCTCTTCCACCTCTTCTGCCTCTGCCACCCCTAAGACAGCAAGACCAATCTCCTCTACCTCCTCCTCCTCAGTCTACTCAATGTGAAGACAACAAAGATGAGGAACTTCATGACTGTCCACTTTCACTTAATGAATAGTAAATATATCTTCTCTTTCTTACAATGTTCTTAATAGCATTTTTTCTCTAGCTTACTTTATTGTAAGAATAAAGTATATAATAATATAACATACAAAATATGTGCTAATTGACTATTTATGTTATTGGTAAGGCTTCCAGTCAACAGTAGGCTATTAGTAATTCAGTTTTTAGGGAGTCAAAAATTATACTCAGATTTTCAACTGGACATGGGGCTGGGGGTTGATGCCCCTTACCCCACCCGGTGTTGTTCAAGTGTCAACTGTACATATCCTCAGATGGACATTAAGACAGTAGCCTTTTCTTTTCTTTCTTTCTTTCTTTCTTTTTTTTTTTTTTTGAGACAGAGTCTCGCTCTGTCGCCCAGGCTGGAGTGCAGTGGTGTGATCTCAGCTCACTGCAACCTCTGCCTCCCAGGTTCAAGGTTCAAGTGATTCTCCTGCCTCAGCCTCCTGAGTAGCTGGGACTACAGGCACCTGCCACCATGCCCAGCTAATTTTTGTATTTTTACTAGAGACGGGGTTTCACCGTGTTAGCCAGGGTGGTCTCGATCTCCTGAGTTCGTGATCCGCCTGCCTAGGCCTCCCAAAGGGCTGGGATTACAGGTATAAGCCACTGCGCCCAGCCAACAGTAGCCTTTTCTATCGGGGAAATTTTCCAGCCCTGCAGAATCCTGGGCTAGATTATTGCAAACCCCGTTAGACTCCTTATTAAAACCCTGCCATTTCAGCCTGTGTATACTCCACTCACCACCTGTATCACAATGGCCAATCACCCTCACGGAGCTGTGCATCCGTTCCTCAAGAACTATGCCACACATCACCCAGAAGATTGGGCAGCTTGGCAGCCCACTACTGACTAATACCTTCCATACGACTAACTAAAACATCTCTTCCACAGTAACTATGGCTCCTCCCAGCCATTCTTTCCACCGCCTACCCCGGAATTACAATCAGGCCTATAGCATAAGCTCCAAGTCAATCTCTGGCATACAATTCATGGGGCAAAGACTTGGTATGAGGTCTCTAAAAAAAATGCAACTAACTAAAGGAGATCCTTTATAGGTAGAATGGCCTTGGTTGCTCTGTGATATACTTTGGATATTTGTCCCCACCCAAATCTCATCTAGAATTATAATCCTCAATGCTGGAGGTGTGGCCTGGTAGGAGGTATTTGGATTATGGAGGTGGATCCCTCATGGCTTGGTGCTATCTCTGGAATAGTGAGGTCTCAAGAGATCTGGTCATTTAAAAGTGTGTGGCACCTCCCCTCTGCACACACACTCCCTCTCTTGCTGCTGCTTTAGCCAGGTGTGCACCTGCTCCCCCTTTGCCTTTCGCCATGAGGCCTCACTAGAAGCCAAGCAGACGCCAGCACCATGCTTCCTGTACAGCCGGTAGAAGCATGAGCCAATTAAACCTCCTTTCTTGATAAATGACCGAGTCTCAGGTATTTCTTCATAACAATGCAAGAACAGCCTAATACACTATACCTTTTACATCTAATCTCTCTGGCTGTCCAGAAGACTTCAGGATGTCTCTCTGAGGACATGGATGGCTAAAAATGGTCAAATGAGAGTGAGAGTTCATCAACTTTCATTGAGGTGGACAAACAAAACAACATCTCTGTTTCTTGTCTATGTTGAGCTTACCAGAACCCAGGACTTCCCCCATTGGTCCCCATAGACACTTCTCAAAGTGGGGTAAGCAGAATGTTCTGCAAAGTTGTCATTTTCAGCCATCAGGCATATGTCATAATTATAGATTTGGAATTCCAGAGGCAGAATTAATTCTCTTTCTATAGACAAGGTGATTGGGTCTCCAGCTAGCTGAGCTGTTTGCAGCCCCACCCAGAGCGAAAACTAGGAACGGGGGTGGGAGGTGTGTTGGGTGGATGGACCACATATAATGAGAGTGTAGTTAGAGAGACAGAGGGATGGTAGTGGATGTCCATGAGGGTGTCTATGGCTCCTTCTCCCCCAGGAATAAGATGGCAGACCATTGCCAAGCTCCCTCATCCTCCCCAACAGTGAGCAGGAAAATGCTGGCATCCCCCAATGGACCTGGTTCTAACTGGTTCTGGGCTTGGGGTGAGGCTGATAGTTGTTCTAGCAGATGAAGGTGTATGCTGTGGGTCAGGGACATTGAAGCAGAAACTTGGCCCTTCTCCAGTCACCTCTCCCTGTGCTAGATGGATTCATGCCTGCACTTTTGTTAGCAGGGCTTGACAGCCTTTTTTTGTTTTTTCCTGTAGTCACTAAAGTGTTTGGGACTTTTTAAAAAAATACATCCCCCCCACCCTTGCTGCCTGTGAGATGGAGTCTCACTCTTTCACCCAAGCTGGAGTGCAATGGCGCAATCTTGGCTCACTGCAACCTCTGCCTCCCGGGTTCAAGCAATTCTCCTGCCTCAGCCTCTCGAGTAGCTGGGATTACAGGCGGGCGCCACCACGTCCAGCTAATTTTTGTAGTTTTAGTAGAGACAGGGTTTCACCGTGTTGCCCAGGCTGGTCTGGAACTCCTGACCTCAGGTGATCCACCCACCTCGGCCTCCCAAAGTGCTGGGATTACAGGCGTGAGCCACTGCTCCCAGCCTTAAAAAAATACTTTTTAAAAGAGCAATTTTAGGTTCACAGCAACATAGAGAGGATAGTACAGAGATTTCCCTTATACCACCTTCCCTGACACATGCATAGCCTCCCCATTATCAACATCCCCACCAGAGTGGTGAATCGGTTACAACTGATGCACCTACATTGGCACGTCACCATCACCCAGTGTCCATAGTTTACATTAGGGTTCACTCTTGGTGTTGTACATTCTATGGGTTTGGACAAATGTGTAATGACCTGTATTCACTATTGTAGTGTCATAAAGAACAATTTCCCTTCCATAAAAGTCCTCTGTGCTCTGCCTCTTCATCCCTTCCTCCCCCAAGCCTCGGGAAACCACCTATCTTTTTATTTACTATCTCCATAGTTTTGACTTGTCCAGAGTGTCATGAAGTTGCAGTCATATAGTACGTGGTCCTTTGAGACTGGCTTCTTTCACTCGGTAAAATGCATTCACTTTTCCTCCATGTCTTTTTGTGGCTTGATAGCTCCTTTCTTTTTAGCACTGAATAATATTCCATTCTCTGGACATACCATAGTTTATCTATTCACCTACTTAAGGGCATCTTGGTTGCTTCCAAGTTTTGGCAATTATGAATAAAGCTCAGTGACCATTTTTTTAAAATAAATTTTTGTATTTGTTTTTAATGACAAATGGAGAAATACTATCAGAAAAATAAGAAGCAGAAAATGGAATTCTACTGACCCAGAAGGAAAAGCCAATAAAAGCCATAGGTATTTGGTAAATATCCTCAGGACTGCTTTCTGAGTCCACAGTAGAGAGACCCTGTGGTTAAATGCCTACATAGCGTGGCAGTCTGAAGTCATTGCAGCCCAAATATCTTGAAGAGACACATCATCCACAGGTATACTTTAAAAATCTTCAGTTTCCTCTCCCACCCACTGTCCCACACTCAACTCAACTCTTGCTTCTCAAAACCCGTCCGAAAATATCCTCCTCCAATCCTAGCCAAGGTGCCTCTTATCTTTCTCCTCCTTCTTTCCTCTCAATTCTCATCAGAAAAGCCCAAAGGAGTTCCTTTGGCAAGATAGGTCTTTCTATAGAGAATGAGGAAGAGGAAGAAACCTAGTGGGCAAGGTTAGAATTCTCTTTTGGAGGTGGAGAGAGGGGAAAAGTGAGAAATCATTTTCCTGTCTTATATGTGCATTTTTTTTTTTTTTTTGAGACAGAGTTTCGCTCTTGTTGCCCAGGCTGGAGTGCAATGGTGCAATCTCGGCTCACCACAACCTCCACTTCCTGGGTTCAAGCAATTCACCTGCCTCAGCCTCCTGAGTAGCTGGGATTACAGGCACCCACCACCACGCCCAGCCAATTTTTTTTATTTTTAATAGAGACTGGGTTTCTCCACGTTGGTCAGGCTGGTCTCAAACTCCTGACTTCAGGTGACCCACCAGCCTCGGCCTCCCAAAGTGCTGGGATTACAGGCATGAGCCACCGCGCCTGGCCTGTGCATCTTTTAAAAAGTGAATGTCTTGGTCAGGCACGGTGGCTTACGCCTGTAATCCCAGCACTTTCGGAGGCCGAGGCGGGAGTTCAAGACCAGCCTGCCCAACACGGTGAAACCCCATCTCTGCTAAATATGCAAAAATTAGCCAGGTGTGGTGGTGGGCACCTGTAATCCCAGCTATTTGGGAGGCTGAGACAGGAGAATTGCTTGATCCCAGGAGGTGGAGGTTGCAGTGAGCCAAGATCGCGCCACTGTACTCCAGCCTGGGTGACAGCGCGAGACTCCATCTCACAAAAGAAAAAGAAAAGTGAATGTCTTTCTGCAACAATAGTTTTTGTATAATAATTTTGAATGGCTTCATGTATCTGTTGTATAGATAACCTGTAATTTCTTTCACCAAACTACTGTTTAGTTTATTCTCAACTTCCATGTATACGGAAAAGTCTGAGATAAATTTCATTGTTACCTAAATCTTTGCACACATCCACTATTACTGACCTAGGATACGTCTCCAAAAGTAGAGATTCTGGTACATTACTTAGTATATTTTTGGCTACATATTTAGGCAGTGGCTTAAGTAGCCTACAAGTATATTTATAGGTGAGAAAAAGTCAGAGCTAGCATGGTGATTCTGTTCCATGGTGGCAAGGACTGAGGTTCTTATCCCATGGCTCTCCCATTTCTAGACATTGCTCTTGTCTTTCTGATCTATCACAATTTCATTCCAAACAGCAAAACAGGGAAAAGGAGGAACAACAGCCCTTTAAGGGCTTCACCTTGAGGTTACACACATCACTTCTGCTCTCGTCCCAGTGGCCAGAACTTTTTCATATACCCATTCCTAGCTGCCAGAGGAGCTGGCAATATTACCTTTTTATTCTGGTAGCCTGGCTAAAAATTCTATTACCATAGAAGAAGAGGTTAATGAGCACCCATATTTTTAAGGTTTTGGATATATACTCCCTTATCAGTCTGCAGGAAGATTGTAGCAATTTACACTTCCATCACCCTTGCCAACACAGGACGTTTTAAATATCTTGCCAAATTAATAAGTGAAGAAAATTATCATCACGCTATTTTATTTTGCATTTAATTTCTAGTGATGTTGGCAACATTTTTTTCTACTGAAATACATGTTATAAGTGGCTACAACAATTTATTCTGAATTCAGGGTTAAGTGGGAAGTCCAGATTTCAAGATTAAACACTCTAATCTCGAAATGCACACCACTATCCAGGGCTATTTTGTTACAGTCAGTTCCAATTATGGTTACAGACAATTCCAGTCATGGTTCTCAGGGGTGATTCCTTTCCGTTCACCATGTATGAACCTACTATTGTCAAGTAGGTCTGCCCTTGGGTTTTACTATTTCAAAGACATGCATGGTATGGTGAGGCAGCCTCCTTGAGGCTAGGGAGAGATTACTCAGACCTTGAAGGGACTGCTGCTTGTCATTCCAGCTAGACTAGGGTCAGTGCTATCTTTGCTCATTTGGTTGTGCAGGTCACCCAGAACCGCTAATCCTAAATCACACTGGATAGCCTGAGCCAGGTCCACTAGAACTCCTGCCAGGTCTGGAAGTTGTCCCCTGTATCTGTCAGAAAAACTAGGTTACCCTGGGGTAACAAACACTCCCAAATTTCAGTGTCTTAAAACAATGAATGTTTACATTATGTTTATGTTATTGTTATGTTTACGTTATGTTTACGTTATTGTCAGTCTTGGGTGGGTGTCACCTTTATCAAAAGATCAAGTTAATAGGGCATCACATCTGGAACACGGCCAGTCACTAACATGGTAAACATGCACTCACTCATAAAAGCTTTTCCTCGGAAGCCACAGATGTTACTTCCACTCACATTGGCTAAAGCAAGTCATTTGTCTATACCTAATTTCAAGGGGGAAGGAAGTGTAATGCCATCAAGTGTTCTGACGGAGAAAAGCCAGAAATGCTGGGGATAGCATTAATGACCACCACACTCTATGCCCACGGAAGTGAGAGGTGGGAGAGCGGGCTTCACCGTTCAGGAGGGAGCGTCCAGAGTCATCTCAGCGGGTTTCCTAAGGGTCTAGGCGTGCCTCCCATGGCCCTTATTAGCCTATAGGTCCTTAAAGACAATGGCTTACCTCATTTGCTTTGGCTCCACAGCACCTGACACATCTCTTAGCACATAGTAATTGTTCAGCAAACATTGACTTAATGGGAGATGAGAAAGGGGATAATACTCCTGGAGTAACTATTATATAAAAAGATGCGGGCTGGGCATGGTGGCTCATGCCTATAATTCCAGCATTTTGGGAGGCTGAGGCGGGTGGATCACAGGAGGTCAGGAGTTCAAGATCAGCCTGACCAACATGGTAAAGCCCCGTCTCTACTAAAAATACAAAAAATTAGCCAGGCATGGTGGCAAGTGCCTGTTATCCCAGCTACTCGGGAGGCTGAGGTAGGAGAATCACTTGAACCCAGGAGGCAGAGGTTGCCGTGAGCCGAGATCATGCCATTGCACTCCAGCCTGGTGACAAGAGCAAAGGTCCGTCTCAACATCCAGAGGCTGGAGAGCATTGGAACAAAATGTTAAGAAAGGTGGCCTCTTGCTTAGGGCAGTCGAGTCACCACACGGAAGGAGCTAGACTAGCAAGTAATATGCTATTTAGGTGATGTGGGGAAATAGAGGGGAAATGGTGGGTGGCTAGAATGAAAGGATATTGACCCACTATTGTCATCATCACACCCTTACACATGTAGCCTTTAATCGCACACAGACTCTCAGCATGTCTGAGTTCACAAGTATGTCCAGACATGTCTCTAATATATAATTTTTTGCCAAAAAAATGAGTTATACCGTATATTCTGCATTATACTTTACCTTTTTTTCACTTCAAAATATTTGTGAAAACTCTATATAAAAGAGTGAAGGATCTCAATATAATTTAGGATAGGGAGACTCAAATGAATTGTTAATTAAAAAATAGTGACCAATAGACTAATTAATCAATGTTAGAGTGAGAACTTTGGGGTCATGTTTTTAGATCTACAGCCCTACCCAGTACATTTGAATCTACATCTCTCTGTCTGTATATCTGTCTACCTACATACATACCTATCCATCATCTAACTAGCTATTTACTTTACCAGTGATGATGGGATAGGTTAGCCTCCAGTAACAAACAACTGAAATGTCAGTATCTTACTAAGTGTATTTCTCTATCCTACTACATGTCCAGTGCAGGCTGGGAAGACTTTGCTCTTCTAGCCAATTGGGAGCCAGGATGATGTAGGCTCCATTTATTTCACCCAACAGAGAGATAGAATATGGCAAAGCACACCCTAATTCTTAAAGCTTCACTCTGAAGTGATACATGTTTTTACTTCCACTCACAATTTATTGGCCAAAGCAAGTCTCATGGCCAAGCTAACTCCAAAGCAGAACTGCCGCCATGCAACCCTATCACATCCCCAAAAGAAACTAGAACATTTGCAAATGGCCCAGATGACACTCTGTTTATTTGTTTGAATTTCTCAACAATTTGGCAGTAGAAACTGGGTTGGAATGGAGAGTAAAATCTTTCCTGATTTGAAAATCCTTTAAGAGGATCAAATGATTTAACCATATTAGTCAGAGTTTGCATCATAAACCATTTCCATTTCTATCTAAAACTATACTTTGTCCCTCCCCTTAATCCTCTGCTCATATAATATCAAACAAACCAGAAAGTAAAGAAGTATCTGGCACTGGTAA